>NC_000006.12:70489170-70792200 GCF_000001405.40 Homo sapiens | reverse complement strand
GATTCTGAACTCATTATCCCATAATACACGTTTTATCTGTATGATGTTTACTATTGCTTAAAAAAAAGAAACTTGACATTAACTTTCTTTAAGTGCTTTTAACAACAGAATCATAGAAAGAAAATTTTTTTTAAAAAAACGTTCCTGTAAGTATAAGATAGTAATGGGCGCAACAACAAAAAACTAACTGCTTCTTAACTGTTGAGATACAGCCATGGCACCAATAAATCAGTCATTCTGAAATTAAATATAGATTCAAAGTTCTTTAATCATACCTGTGGTATAAAAAAATTCTAGAAATTGCTGTTTTAATTCTAGGGATCATTCAAAATATCAACAACTATTATAGTGTTCCCGAATGACACACTGCAAAAGGAAGTTAATTTACCATTTAACACTACATAATGTAGCTGGTTAAAACATGACCATACCTCCAATTTATTTTTGTCAACAGCAGCTTGCAGAGAAGGAGAGGATACCAAAGGCTGAAGAGGAGCATCAGAGGAGGAAATCTGTGGAGTACAGGTGAAAAGTCAGGAGGAAAAAAACAAAAAGAAGGTAATGAGAATTGACAGGCACAGGAAAGAAAAAATCCCTGTATATTTTTGAGATATAGAAGCACTTAGAGGCATGTTAATAAAGTAAAACAATGCATCAAGAAATAAGTACTGCTTTTTAAAAATTTCAATTTGAAATTTATAAAAGGATTTCGTACTGAATAATATATGATTTAAAATGGATTTTACTAGGATATAAAATTTAAAATGTAGTCAGATAAGATCATACCAAAAGTATATGGAAAATAATTAAGCTTCTCTCATAGTTCATCTTTAGTCGACGTGACTATTGAAATACAAATGCTCTGAAACGTAAAGACACACTGTCCCAAGTAGTAGAAGAGCAAAAATGAGTTTTTGTTTTTACTTATAATACCTTTTAAGAATGAAAAATAAAACGGAGTTGAAATAGCAAAAGTTAATTAAAATTTTAATCAACTGTTTAAGAAAACAGAAAAAAAGCTAGGAGAAAAGAAGAGCAGATTAATGTAATATAACAGCTGAGCAGCAGACTTATTATAAAGCAATTTATATGCTTCATTAAGATCAGCAGACAAACACCATTTCCAGTGCTATACTTGCTGAATTACCCCAAAGCATTATGAGACAGTTATATATGCAGCACAGGCAATTTACACACGAAAATGGGTTTCATCTAAAAGCTTTTTTCACACATCTTCCTGCCCAATTTCTGCATGCGTAGTTGATCACTTTAATGGAAGCATTATCTTCCTGCTCTTTTACTGCCAAAATGTAACTGAAATACATTTATAAAATGCACAGATCTTTGGGGCCATAAAACTGACATCTCTATACTGCCCTATCATATCAATAGTGCCTATGAGGAATTTTTAAAACTAAAAGGTGCTATTACAGATAGGTCATTATGTAATGTCAAAATAACACTGCAAGATGACAAGTCCTCCCTCAATCTGCTTGTTATTAAGTTAGTTATGGCAGTAATTCCTGAATCACAACACAAGACTATAAACTTCAGGGAATTTTTTTCTCCTTGCTTACTCACTGTTGGCTCTGTTATAATTGTGTAAGCTAGCCACTTAATGAATATTAATGCAAGTTACACAGGATAGAAAATAAACAACACAATAAAATGTAGATCTTCCATAAAAAAAAGGCAAAGTCGAGCCTTAAAGCCTGGCTTAAAACTGGTTTGTCCTATTGGATATTTACTTGCTAGAAATCTTTAATTACTACTTTATACAGAAAATAAGAATAAAGCACTTTGGGAGGCCAAGGCACGCAGATCACTTGAGTTCAGGAGTTCGAGACCAGCCTGGCCAACATGGGGAACCGTCTCTACTAAAAATATAAAAATTTAGCCAGGTGTGGTGGTGCATGCCTGTAATCCCAGCTACTTGGAAGGCTGAGGCAGGAGAATCACATGAACCTGGGAGGCGGAGGTTGCAGTGAGCCAAGATCACGCCACTGCACTCCAGCCTCGGAGACAGAGCGAGACTCCGTCTCAAAAAAATAAAAAATAAAAAGAATAAAAAGCCGTACGATCACTTTAGAAGATAGCTGTATCATAAAGACCTCTTTGCCCAAGCTCATGAAAAGTGGAACAAAAATATAAAAGGATAATACGGGCATTGAGTATGTCAAAAGTTACTAATCCTTAGAAAGCAGCAAGATAATTCATTATATAAGTGCTTGTCCTCCATTTGAGAAGATGATAAGCTGATGTGGCCACTTTTAAAACCCAGTAGCAGGAATATAAAATTCCATTCAATAAGTATCAGTAATTTAACAACAACAACAAAAATTCAGACAGGGTCTCACTCTGTCACCCAGGCTGGAATACAGTGTGAAGATCATAGCTCACTAAAACCTTGAATCCTGGACTCAAGTAAAAACCTTTTTCATTTCAGTAACCACTTTTTTTTTTTTTTTTTTTTTTTGAGACAGAGTCTTTCTATGTTACCCAGGCTGGACTCAAACTCCTGAACTCAAGCAATCCTCCTGCCTCTCAGCGTCCCGGATAGCTGGGATAACAGATGCACATCACATTTTAATACCAAAAAAAAAAAAAAGAAAAAAGAAAAATAAATGATTTAATACCATGTTCCAGTTGGGAAAGAAAACAAACTTAAGAAGAAAGACATTTGAAAAGTCAATGGACAGATGAACAGGTGAATTCATAACAAATCAGAAACATAACGGAAGAAAGACGCAAAAGGGTACACAGTGTGTATGAAACCACTCACATAAAACTCTAGAAAAGAAAATATAATCTATGGTGATTAAAAAAAACAGATCAGTCACCAAGGCCATGGTTGGGGGCTGACTAGCGAGGGGCACAAAGAAACCTTTTGGAGTGACGAAAAGGTTCTATATCTTGACTGTGGTGGTAGTGGTTACACAGCGATATGTATTTGTAAAAATTCATTGATCTGTACCTTAAAATATCTACCTTTTATTATATATGAATTATATTTCAATAAAGTCACTCTTTAAAGTCATATTAGCAGGGTAATATACATTATGTGAGCAACGAATAAAGAAACAGAAATCAACATATTGACAACTGGAAGCAAGTGACAGTACAGAACACAGGGGTAAATGAGGGAAGAAAAAAGGGCAGTGAAAAGGAGAAAACAAATACAGAGACATGAAAAGCTAGGTACTCGAGTCTTCTTTCTAAATCTCTAGTAGGAAATCATCAATATCCATCTTCTGGATTAGTCCTCCTAACTGGTCTCCTTGCCCCAAATCTTGCTCCTCTCCAAATCTATTCTCCATACCATGTCATTCTCGAAGTAAAACTGACCACCACATATCACTGCTTAGAAGGCCTGAATAGTTTATATACATTATATAAGGACAGAGTACAAACTCCTTAATCAGGCCACAAGTGTCATCTCTACCTTATCCCCCTATTCTTTCCTCCCCTGGCTACATTCATATACACTCTGCCCAGCCATATATGACTCCTTCTGGTTTTTCTCTAGTCTGCTTCTCTGAACTCTAGGGGCCTTTCCTCTTGCTAGTCCCTCTTCTTCAGAAACCCATGCTTCTATTAGTTCCTACTCATCCTTTAATTTTGAGTTAAAACTGCTTCCTCTGGGAAATATTCAAAGTATTCCTTGATCTCTCTATAGAGTCTGGAGTACGCACCTCCTATAATATTTCCCTAATATGTAAGTTTTTTTTTATTTTATTTTTTATTATTATGATTACACTTTAAGTTGTAGGGTACATGCGCACAATGTGCAGGTTTGTTACATATGTATACATGTGCCATGTTGGTGTGCTGCACCCATTAACTCGTCATTTAGCATTAGGTATATCTCCTAATGCTATCCCTCCCCCCTCCCCCCACCCCACAACAGTCCCCAGAGTGTGATGTTCCCCTTCCTGTGTCCATGTGTTCTCATCGTTCAATTCCCACCTATGAGTGAGAACATGTGGTGTTTCGTTTCTTGTCCTTGCGATAGTTTGCTGAGAATGATGGTTTCCAGTTTCATCCATGTCCCTACAAAGGACATGAACTCATCATTTTTTATGGCTGCATAGTATTCCATGGTGTATATGCGCCACATTTTCTTAATCCAGTCTATCATTGTTGGACATTTGGGTTGGTTCCAAGTCTTTGTTAATGTGAATAGTGCCACAATAAACATACGTGGGCACGTGTCTTTATAGTAGCACGATTTATAGTCCTTTGGGTATATACCCAGTAATGGGATGGCTGGGTCAAATGGTATTTCTAGTTCTAGATCCCTGAGGAATCGCCACACTGACTTCCACAATGGTTGAACTAGTGTACAGTCCCAACAACAGTGTAAAAGTGTTCCTATTTCTCCACATCCTCTCCAGCACCTGTTGTTTCCTGACTTTTCAATGATTGCCATTCTAACTGGTGTGAGACGGTATCTCATTGTGGTTTTGATTTGCATTTCTCTGATGGCCAGTGATGATGAGCATTTTTTCATGTGTTTTTTGGCTGCATAAATGTCTTCTTTTGAGAAGTGTCTGTTCATATCCTTTGCCCACTTTTTGATGGGGTTGTTTGTTTTTTTCCTGTAAATTTGTCTGAGTTCATTGTAGATTCTGGATATTAGCCCTTTGTCAGATGAGTAGATTGCAAAAATTTTCTCCCATTTTGTAGGTTGCCTGTTCACTCTGATGGTAGTTTCTTTTGCTGTGCAGAAGCTCTTTAGTTTAATTAGATCCCATTTGTCAATTTTGGCTTTTGTTGCCATTGCTCTTGGTGTTTTAGACATGAAGTCCTTGCCCATGCCTATGTCCTGAATGGTATTGCCTAGGTTTTCTTCTAGGGCTTTTATGGTTTTAGGTCTAACATGTAAGTCTTTAATCCATCTTGAATTAATTTTTGTATAAGGTGTAAGGAAGGGATCCAGTTTCAGCTTTCTACATATGGCTAGCCAGTTTCCCCAGCATCATTTATTAAAAAGGGAATCGTTTCCCCATTGCTCCTTTTGTCAGGTTTGTCAAAGATCAGATAGTTGTAGATATGCGGCATTATTTCTGAGGCCTCTGTTCTGTTCCATTGATCTATATTTCTGTTTTGGTACCAGTACCATGCTGTTTTGGTTACTGTAGCCTTGTAGTATAGTTTGAAGTCAGGTAGCGTGATGCCTCCAGCTTTGTTCTTTTGGCTTAGGACTGACTTGGCGATGCGGGCTCTTTTTTGGTTCCATATGAACTTTAAAGTAGTTTTTTCCAATTCTGTGAAGAAAGTCAGTGGTAGCTTGATGGGGATGCAATGACTCTATAAATTACCTTGGGCAGTATGGCCATTTTCATGATATTGATTCTTCCTGTCCATGAGCATGGAATGTTCTTCCATTTGTGTCCTCTTTTATTTTGTTGAGCAGTGGTTTGTAGTTCTCCTTGAAGTGATCCTTCACATCCTTTGTAAGTTGGATTTGTAGGTATTTTATTCTCTTGGTAGTAATTGTGAAGGGGAGTTCACTCATGATTTGGCTCTCTGTTTGTCTGTTATTGATGTATAAGAATGCTTGTGATTTTTGTACACTGATTTTGTATCCTGAGACTTTGCTGAAGTTGCTTATCAGCTTAAGGAGATTTTGGGCTGAGACGATGGGGTTTTCTAGATATACAATCATGTCATCTGCAAACAGGGACAATTTGACTTCCTCTTTTCCTAATTGAATAACCCTTTATTTCCTTCTCCTGCCTAATTGCCCTGGCCAGAACTTCCAACACTATGTTGAATAGGAGTGGTGAGAGAGGGCATCCCTGTCTTGTGCCCGTTTTCAAAGGGAATGCTTCCAGTTTTTGCCCATTCAGTATGATATTGGCTGTGGGTTTGTCATAGATAGCTGTTATTATTTTGAGATACGTCCCACCAATACCTAATTTATTGAGAGTTTTTAGCATGAAGGGTTGTTGAATTTTGTCAAAGGCCTTTTCTGCATCTATTGAGATAATCATGTGGTTTTTGTCTTTGGTTCTGTTTATATGCTGGATTACATTTATTGATTTGTGTATATTGAACCAGCCTTGCGTCCCAGGGATGAAGCCCACTTGATCATGGTGGATAAGCTTTTTGATGTGCTGCTGGATTCAGTTTGCCAGTATTTTATTGAGAATTTTTGCATGTATGTTCATCAAGGAGATTGGTCTAAAATTCTCTTTTTTGGTTGTGTCTCTGTCAGGCTTTGGTATCAGGATGATGCTGGCCTCATAAAATGAGTTAGGGAGGATTCCCTCTTTTTCTATTGATTGGAATCGTTTCAGAAGGAATGGTACCAGCTCCTCCTTGTACCTCTGGTAGAATTCGGCTGTGAATCCATCTGGTCCTGAACTCTTTTTGGTTGGTAAACTATTGATTATTGCCACAATTTCAGAGCCTGTTATTGGTCTATTCAGAGAGTCAACTTCTTCCTGGTTTACTCTTGGGAGGGTGTATGTGTCGAGGAATTTATCCATTTCTTCTAGATTTTCTAGTTTATTTGCGTAGAGGTGTTTGTCGTATTCTCTGATGGTAGTTTGTATTTCTGTGGGATCGGTGGTGATATCCCCTTTATCATTTTTTATTGCGTCTATTTGATTCTTCTCTCTTTTCTTCTTTATTAGTCCTGCTAGCGGTCTATCAATTTTGTTGATCCTTTCAAAAAACCAGCTCCTGGATTCATTGATTTTTTGAAGGGTTTTTTGTGTCTCTATTTCCTTCAGTTCTGCTCTGATTTTAGTTATTTCTTGCCTCTGCTAGCTTTTGAATGTGTTTGCTCTTGCTTTTCTAGTTCTTTTAATTGTGATATTAGGAGTCACTTTTGGATCTTTCCTGCTTTCTCTTGTGGGCATTTAGTGCTATAAATTTCCCTCTACACACTGCTTTGAATGTGTCCCAGAGATTCTGGTATGTTGTGTCTTTGTTCTCGTTGGTTTCAAAGAACATCTTTATTTATGCCTTCATTTCGTTATGTACCCAGTAGTCATTCAGGAGCAGGTTGTTCAGTTTCCATGTAGCTGAGCGGTTTCGAGTGAGTTTCTTAATCCTGAGTTCTAGTTTGATTGCACTGTGGTCTGAGAGACAGTTTGTTATAATCTCTGTTCTTTTACATTTGCTGAGGAGACCTTTACTTCCAACTATGTGGTCAATTTGGGAATAGGTGTGGTGTGGTGCTGAAAAAAATGTATATTCTGTTGATCTGGGGTGGAGAGGTCTGTAGATGTCTATTAGGTCCACTTGGTGCAGAGCTGAGTTCTATTCCTGGGTATCCTTGTTAACTTTCTGTCTCGTTGATCTGTCTAATGTTGACAGTGGGGTGTTAAAGTCTCCCATTATTATTGTGTGGGAGTCTAAGTCTTTATGTAGGTCACTCAGGACTTGCTTTATGAATCTGGGTGCTCCTGTATTGGGTGCATATATATTTAGGATAGTTAGCTCTTCTTGTTGAATTGATCCCTTTACCATTATGTAATGGTCTTCTTTGTCTCTTTTGATCTTTGTTGGTTTGAAGTCTGTTTTATCAGAGACTGGGATTGCAACCCCTGCCTTTTTTTGTTTTCCATTTGCTTGGTAGATCTTCCTACATCCCTTTATGTTGAGCCTATGTGTGTCTCTGCATGTGAGATGGGTTTCCTGAATACAGCACACTGATGGGTCTTGACTCTTTATCCATTTTGCCAGTCTGTGTCTTTTAATTGGAGCATTTAGCCCATTTACATTTAAAGTTAATATTGTTATGTGTTAATTTGATCCTGTCATTATGATGTTAGCTGGTTATTTTGCTTGTTAGTTGATGCAGTTTCTTCCTAGCCTTGAAGGTCTTTACAATTTGGCATGTTTTTGCAGTGGCTGGTACCGGTTGTTCCTTTCCATGTTTAGTGCTTCCTTCAGGAGCTCTCTTAGGGCAGGCCTGGTGGTGACAAAATCTCTCAGCATTTGCTTGTCTGTAAAGGATTTTATTTCTCCTTCACTTATGAAGCTTAGTTTGGCTGGATATGAAATTCTGGCTTGAAAATTCTTTTCTTTAAGAATGCTGAATATTGGCCCCCACTCTCTTCTGGCTTGTAGAGTTTCTGCCGAGAGGTCAGCTGTTAGTCTGATGGGCTTCCCTTTGTGGGTAACCCGACCTTTCTCTCTGGCTGCCCTTAACATTTTTTCCTGCATTTCAACCTTGGTGAATCTGACAATTATGTGTCTTGGAGTTGCTCTTCTCGAGGAGTATCTTTGTGGCGTTCTCTGTATTTCCTGAATCTGAATGTTGGCCTTCCTTGCTAGATTGGGGAAGTTCTCCTGGATAATATCCTGCAGAGTGTTTTCCAACTTGGTTCCATTCTCCCCGTCACTTTCAGGTACACCAATCAGGCGTAGATTTCGTCTTTTCACATAGTCCCATATTTCTTGGAGACTTTGTTCGTTTCTTTTTATTCTTTTTTCTCTAAACTTCCTTTCTCGCTTCATTTCATTCATTTCGTCTTCCATCACTGATACCCTTTCTTCCAGTTGATCGCATCGGCTCCTGAGGCTTCTGCATTCTTCATGTAGTTCTTGAGCCTTGGCTTTCAGCTCCATCAGCTCCTTTAAGCACTTCTCTGCATTGGTTATTCTAGTTATACATTCATCTAATTTTTTTTCAAAGTTTTTAACTTCTTTGCCATTTGTTTGAGTTTCCTCCCGTAGCTCGGAGTAGTTTGTTCGTCTGAAGCCTTCTTCTCTCAACTCGTCAGAGTCATTCTCTGTCCAGCATTGTTCCGTTGCTGGTGAGGAACTGCGTTCCTTTGGAGGATGAGAGGTGCTCTGCTTTTTAGAGTTTCCAGTTTTTCTGCTCTGTTTTTTCCCCATCTTTGTGGTTTCATCTACTTTTGGTCTTTGATGATGGTGACGTACAGATGGGTTTCTGGTGTGGATGTCCTTTCTGTTTGTTAGTTTTCCTTCTAACAGACAGGACCCTCAGCTGCAGGTCTGTTGGAGTTTGCTAGAGGTCCACTCCAGACCCTGTTTGCCTGGGTATTAGCAGCGGTGGCTACAGGAAAGCGGTGGCTGTAGAACAGCGGATTTTCATGAACCGCAAATGCTGCTGCCTGATCGTTCCTCTGGAAGTTTTGTCTCAGAGGAGTACCCAGTCGTGTGAGGTGTCAGTCTGCCCCTACTAGGGGATGCCTCCCAGTTAGGCTGCTCGAGGGTCAGGGACCCACTTGAGGAGGCAGTCTGCCTGTTCTCAGATCTCCAGCTGCGTGCTGGGAGAACGACTACTCTCTTCAAAGCTCAGATGGAAATGCAGAAATCACCCGTCTTCTCCGTCACTCAGGCTGGGAGCTGTAGACCGGAGCTGTTCCTATTCAGCCATCTTGGCTCCACATATGTATATTTCCATACTGGCCATCTGGGTCAGTGGAGGTTGTTGGCCTCTCTTCAAATCCAAAGAACAATAAAGCCCTCACTCAGAGAAACAGAGCAAACAGAAACATCCATAGTAGGGCTAGAAATTCCAGGGGAGGACCAAGAAGGCATCTGTCTTCATGATCACAAGGTCCCAAAATAGGCTGTCTGCAAGCTGAAGAGCAAGGAGAGCCAATTCAAGTTCCAAAACTAAAGAACTTGGAGTCCGATGTTTCAGGGCAGGAAGCATCCAGCATGGGAGAAAAATGTAGGCTGGGAAGCTAGGCCTCATATGTAAGTTTTATCACATGTTGTCTTATAAAAATCTAGTTACTTATCAGTATTCTTTGTTCAACTAAAGTTATCTGTGGCAGATATTATTTCTATTCGGTTCACCATCTTTAGCACCTGACATTCAACAGGTCTCAATAAATATTTTCAACTGTTACAGGAAAAGAGGAGGAAGGAAGCATCTCAGAAGGAGAACCAAAAGGAGGCTCAATCTCAGTAATTGTTCTTTGAAAGTTCATTGGCTTGCTAACATACTTTACTGAAATCCCATAGAAGTTATCCATATTTACTTTCAAATTTAGAATTTATTTTGTAACAGATATTAATTCCATTTCACTGGCTCCTAGTACTTTTATACATGTAGAGTATAAGACTCTGACCTTAGAAAATTTTGCTGGAAATTGGTGGTGTCAGTGAATGCAGTAGTCATACTTAAATGTCCTTCCGAACTCCCACCCACCCCATCTATCCATGAGATAATACGCAGTAGAAATCCAGTAAAGACATTCTTCAGAAACAAAATGAGTTTTCTTCAGAAATAAAATGAGTTTAACAGTCCTTCCTTCAATTATTCTTAAGCTCAGACGTTCTTCTCTAGGCCACCATCAAAGTAACCGATATGTGAAAAAACTCCCAGAACACTACAATTGTATAAACTTACCTCATGCAAAAGAAAAACTGACCACGTAAAACAAGTTCCCAACTCCCACCTACAAGAATAAGGTGAACAAACACCCTTTGAAAAGGTATGAAGTAATTGAAGGCCATAAAGCATAATGTTTAAAATTTTCTTGATGAATTTTTTGAAATATTTGCTACTACCACCCTTTTAAACAGAATAATGCTATGAAAATTAAATCTGGTGGTCCAAAGCAGTGAAAAAGATACAGTCACTGAAAAACATCTTATAGATTAATTATTGGCAATGGATTCCTCCAATCTCATTTTAGAAATTCCTGGATGTGTTTTCTAAGTAGAAATTTTATCACAGCAATTCTCAAATGGCTGTCTCATGAGCTTTTAGTATACCATGAAGCTCAAGTTTTTCAGAAGTCTAGAAATCATTTTAAATATATGATTTCCAGTTTTGCACTCCATGGCATATCTTGGATTAAAAAAGCTGAAAACGTAAACATTTACTAAATTAGTATATAACCCATACAAAACACAACATCAATGAAACTCATCCATAGGAGGATTAAAAGACATTGAAAACTTACCCAAGTAACCATAGCTACCAAGTGTGTAGAAGAAGCCTAAATCTTAATATTTAATATTTTAACTTTAAAATCTGTGGCCAAGTCAATAAGAAATATGTAGAATTCTGGAAAACTTAAAAAAATTTTAAGTCCTTTACATGCTCTATTGGGGTGTCCTATAATTAAAGGGCTGATTAAAGTGTGGAGCAATTAATGAAACAGAACTCAAGCCAAGATTTCTCCAATGATATAAACTCTTATAATTAAGTTTGAGTATTCATTTTTCTTATCTACCTGCTTACAGTCATTTCCTGCCATCACAATAGCTTATATTGCAAGTGGTTATGTGCTAGGCACCCTAATAAGAATAGAGTATACTTCATCTTAATTCTTGCAGCAATACTATGAAATTCAGACACTATGACATCCTTATTTCACAGAAGAGGAAGCAAACTGTAATGAAAAGAAGTAACAAAGAAAACCAAGTAGAGACCCTGCTCTTTTACGCTAATCTCAACTCACTAGCTGAAGAGACACAGAGACAGCATGGCGCAAGGGGAAAGAGAAAAGCTACTGGAGGAAAAGAGCAAATTATGTGGCAGTTCAGCCTCATCTACCTAAGTCCTCTTGTATCTCTTAAACTCACTTAAAATACTTTGCTTCCCATTGTGATTCACTACTGGTAAGTGAGCAAGGGAAGGAGGACAGACAGGACAGATTTCTCTTTTTCTTTTTTGAAACAGGGTCTTAAGTCTGTTGCCCAGGTAGTAGTACAGCGGTGTGATCACAGCTCACTGAAGCCTCAACCTCCTGGGCTCAAGCAACTCTCTCACCTCAGCCTCCTGAGTAACTGAAACTACAGGCACACTCTACCACATCCAGCTAATTTTTCATTATTATTTTTTGTAGAGACAGGGTCTTGCCATGTTACCCAAACTGGTCTCAAACTCCTGGACTCAAGCGATCCTCCTGCTTCAGCCTCCTAAAGTGCTGGGATGACAGACATGAGCCACCATGCCTGGCCAACAGGACAAATTTCTGCAAACTGTTGTCAAATTTCCCATCACTCAATGAAATCAGGCAGAACAAGGGAGGTAGACTCATTCTATATGACCATAGTAGGCAGAATTCTGACAGCCACTAAAATTTCCACCCCCTGGTATATACACTCTGTATAAACACCAACCCTGAGATTGTGGGCAGGACTGTGGTAAATCAAATAATGAGCGGGCCATATGTGGGCTAAAGCAAATGTCAGATTCTGACTTAAAGCCTGCCACCAGATGCAGCCGTACAGTTGAAGTACATCAACTCACTTGCCACTATAAAGCCTGCCACCAGATGCAGCTTAATTGTCACCTACTACTCAATGACAGGGTTTTGATATGAGTCTGCAAGCAACTGATTTACTATGGTCTCTGTGCAGTCAAACCTCTCTGCCAATGTTGATCTGTGTTTGTAGCCACTCCCCAGCACTAGCATCACTGCTTCAGCTCCACCTCAGATCATCACGCAAAACATTCTCAAATGGAGCACACAACCTGGATCCCTCACAAGGGCAGTTCTATTCAACATGCTCTATTCAACACATTGAATAGAGCACTAGGGGAGAACAGTAGGAATCAGTAAGTAAGTGACAAGGAAGCTCAGAGGCAGGGAAACTCGAAATGGCAGCATCAAGAGGGAAGCCATGCAGCTAGCCAAGATAGGCTAGAAGCCAGGAAGGACTCCCCATCATGGTGGCAAGGTAAGCAAAAATCCTTAACAGTCCACATTCCCACCACAGCCCCTGCAATCTTAGCTACAGAAGAGTCCTTCAGCCCTCACAGGCCCTGAGTCTAGTATAAGGAGCTGCCTGGAGTCCACGCAACTAAACTATCTCAGAGAGAATTCATACTGGATCTCACCCACCCACTGGGACCAAGCTGCTGCTGCACAGTGCCATTTTGACAGTACCGCCAACACTAGACTACATCCAGCCCTGAAGCCCAATAATCCCAGCATCTTGACATCTGTGGGATCTCCCTCCCAACATCACTTGACATCTTCCCGGAAGGTCTCAGCATCAGAACACCAGCTAGACTCGGCAGTGCAGCCAAGTCCCTGGCACCTGAGTCCTGCAGAAGCCTACACCCTGGAGAAGAGGCAGTCTTGCACATCAGGGAGTCTGCTCCAGGATATAAGGAGCTGAAGCATGTGCTCTCCAGACCTGAGAACCGCCTGCCTGGGGCTGCCACCACAGACAGTGACCCTGCCCATTCCAAGAGCAGAGCCATTGTGTATCCACATACATTGCCTGGGACACCAATGCAAATGCCTGCACATGCTGCCCAGGGACCTGAGAAGTGACTGGCCCGGTTGGCCACCATCCACACACACTGCCTGTGCAGTGGACAGGACTGAGGAATGGCTTGTCCCTATCACTGTCAGTGCCCACACACCCAGCCCAGAGACCCAAGGAAGGGCTTGGTTAGAGGTACCCCATGGCCACCATATATATCTGGAAAGTCCTCCTGGATGCCTGAGAACAGGCCTACTCAGAGCTGCTGCCACCAACACCAGCATGGACTGCCCAGGGGCCTGACAACCGACGTACTCAGACTGACACTGTTGTTAGCATCCTCCACCTGGGGACCCAAGAACCCTCCCACATAGCCACAGCCACCACCGCCCACATGACCCAACCAGGGGCTTGAGGGTTAACTCATCTGGGTCCTATGACATCCATTGCACATGCCCAATCTGCTCATGATCAACTGGGATTTATCCCAAGCATGCATAAATGGTTTAACATATACAAATCAATAAATGTGATACATCACATCAACAGAATGAAAGACAAAAACTTTATCATCTTTTCAACAGATACAGAAAAAGAATTTCATAAAATTCAACATCTCTTCATGATAAACATTCTCAACAAATTAGGCATAAAGGAACATACCTCAACATAATAAAGG
Source organism: Homo sapiens (assembly GCF_000001405.40). Taxonomy (NCBI): domain Eukaryota; kingdom Metazoa; phylum Chordata; class Mammalia; order Primates; family Hominidae; genus Homo; species Homo sapiens. The sequence goes on along the minus strand of NC_000006.12, from coordinate 70,778,357 downwards.
TCATATATGACAAACCCACAGCTAACATCATAATGAATGGGGAAAAGCTGAAAACTTCTCTTCTAAGAACAGAAAAAAGACAAGGATACCCACTTTCACCAATCTTATTCAACATAATATTCAACATAATATCCTTTGTGTTTGTAACACAAAGGATAACACTTGAGGGGGTAGATATCCCATTTTACATTATGTGATTTTTACACATTCCATGCCTGTATTAAAACATCTCATGTCTCCTATAAATATATACACCTACTATACACCCACAAAAATTAAAAATTATTAAAAATAGATTAAAGACTTAGCTGGGTGTGGTGGCTCATGCCTGTAATCCCAGCACTTTGGGAGCCCGAGGCAGGGGGATCACTTGAGGCCAGGAGTTCGAGACCAGCCTGGGCAACGTGGCAAAACCCCATCTCTAACAAAAATACAAAGTTAGCCAGGCATGGTGGCACGCACCTGTAATGCCAGCTACTCGGGAGACTGAGGCAGGAGAATCACTTGAACCCAGGAGGCGGAGGTTGCAGGGAGCTGAGATTGCACCATTACACTCTAGCCTGGGTGAAACAGGGGGACTCCATCTCAAAAAAAAAAAAACTTAATAATGAAGACTTAAATAGGAGACCCAAAACTATAAAATTTGTAGAAGAAAACATAGGAAACACTGGTCTAGGCAAAGATCTTATGAATAAAACTTCAAAAGCACAGGCAACAAAACCAAAAATAGAAAAATGGGACTACATCAAACTAAAAAGCTTCTGCATGGCAAAGGAGACAATTAACAGAGTGAAGAGACAATCTGTAAAATAAGAGAAAATATTAACAACCTACTCATTTGACAAGAAACTAGCATCCATAATATACAAGGAACTCGAACAACTCGACAGCAAAAAATAATAATAAAAAAATAAGCAAAAGATCTGAATAGACATTTCTCAAAAGACACAAAAATGGCCAACAAGTACATAAAAAAGGTCAAATCAATAATCATCAGAGAAATGCAGGAGGAGCCAAGATGGCCGAATAGGAACAGCTCCGGTCTACAGCTCCCAGCGTGAACGATGCAGAAGACGGGTGATTTCTGCATTTCCATCTGAGGTACAGGGTTCATCTCACTAGGGAGTGCCAGACAGTGGGCGCAGCAAATCAAAACCACAATAAGATATCTTACCACAGTTAGAATGGTTTATTATCAAAAAGATGATAGATACCAGAGAGGATACAGAGAAAACAAAACTCTTAGATACTGTTGGTGGGAATGTAAATTAGTACAGCCACTATGGATAATATGGAGGTTTCTCAAAAAATTAAAAACAGAATTACCATATAAGCCAGCAATCCCACTACAGGGCATTTATCTAAAGAAAAGGAAATTAGCATATCAAAGAGATACCTGAACCCCCATGTTTACTGCAGCTCTATTCACAATAGCCAAGATACAGAATTAACCTAAATTTCCATCAATAGATGAACAGATTTTTAAAGTGTGATATATATACACAATGGAATACTATTCAGCCATAAAAAGAATGAAATCCTACCATTCACAGCAACATGGATAATCCTGGGGGCCATTATGCTAAGTAAAATAAGTCAGGCACAGAAGGATAAATGCCACGTGTTCTCATTCTTCTGTGTGAGCTAAGAAAAACTGAACTCATGGAAGTAGAGGGAAGAACTATGGACATTAAAGGGTAAGGGAGAGGAAAGGATGGGGAGAAATTTTTAACAGATGTGACAGTACAGCTAGATAGGAGGAGTACGATTTAGTGTTCTGTAGTATTATAGGGTAAGTACGGCTAACAATAATTTAGTGTATATTTTCAAAAAGCTAGATGATACTGAATGTTCCCAACACAAAGAAATGATAAATGTCAGCAGGGTGTGGTGGCTCACACCGGTAATCCCAGCACTTTGAGAGGTCGAGGTGGGCAGATCACGAGGTCAAGAGATCGAGACCATCCTGGCCAACATGGCAAAACCCCGTCTCTACTAAAAATACAAAAATTAGCTGGGCGTGGTAGCACGCCTGTAGTCCCAGCTACTCGGGAGGCTGAGGCAGAAGAATTGCTTGAACCCGCAAGGCAGAGGTTGCAGTGAGCCAAGATTGCGCCACTGCACTCCAGTCTGGCAACAGAGCGAGACTCTGTCTCAAAAAAAAAGAAAAGAAAAAGAAGAAATGATAAATGTCCCTCTGTGGATACCCCTTAAGTACTCTAGTACTCCTGGAATACCTTAGATATAAGGTACTTATATTTTTTTAAATCTGTTCCTGTCTCCACTGTGATAAATGTCTCTAACAGTCATGTCCTCTTTGTTTTAGTATCCTAGGAGATTGTGAGCATAGTAAGTGATCCAAATTTATTTGGATGAGTGCTCAATCTATTACTGAAGATGAAACACTGAACAGAAATATGTAATTCTCAGTAATACCTAAGATTAGTTACTTGCTCACTGATCACCATGAAAGAGGAAAAAATCCTTTAAATCTGCTACAATATAAACTTATTTATTATTATTTTGCTTATATTGGAATAGGTGGAATACATTTTCCCTTGGGTTTATTGTGACTTTTGTAAATCTTTCTGCATTTTTATTTCAATAGTACTATAAACTCAGGAGTATATACTGAAGTAAACAGACTTTTACCTTAAAATTTTTACTCTCAAGCCTACATAAAAAAAGGAAGGAACTGTAGAGTGAATACCTCTATAAACATCATTAATATTAGTCAAATACTAACATTAGCCATATTTGTTCTCTCTCTACAGACACAAACACACAAAGCTGCTAGGTTTCACCAAACCACTTGAAAGTGTTAGGTATCATAACATTTAATCTCCAAGTATTTTATTCTACCACGTATCTTATAAATGAAGGAATTTTTACAACTAAGCATACCATTATTACACCTTGAAGGGGGGAAAAAACCCAACTCAGTAACAGCTACCATCCCAAAATAAAACCATCTTACACATTACTATGTAAAAATAATTTCCTAATTATTGCTAAGAAAAGAAACATAATACAAATATAATTTTTAAAATTATATTTTAAAAGTGTTTAATATGAAACAGTATGTTCCCTAAAATAAACTAAAATGATTTCTTAACATTTCATATGAAAATACATTACACTTTTAAGTTAGTCCTTTCCCCCATCAATGCTTACAGCGGCCTTAATTTTATAGACATAAATATTCTCAATACTGTCAATTTTTAATCAACCCTTCAACAGATTTCCTCACATCCACTGTAAATGCAGCTCCAATGCTACACACAAGGATATCTTTGCTCTAAAATACACACTAATGATACTTGAAAACTTAATTTTTTTTTTTTTTTTGACACAGAATCTTACTCTGTTGCCCAGACTGGAGTGCAGTGGCTCAATCTCAGCTCACTGAAACCTCTGCCTCCTGGATGCAAGCAACTCTGCCTCAGCCTCCCAAGTGGCTGGGATTACAGGCATGCACCACTGGGCCCAGCTAATTTTTGTATTTTTAGTAGAGACGGGGTTTCACCATGTTGGCCTGGCTGGTCTCAAATCCACCTGACTCAGCCTCCCAAAGTGCTGGGATTACAGGCATAAGCCACCATGCCCAGTCGAAAAAAAAATAAAAATTTTTTTTAATAAAAAGAGATAGGGTCTCACTATGTTGCCCAGCAGCCTGGTCTTGAACTCCTGGGTTCAAATGATCCTCCCACCTTGGCCTCCCAAAGTGCTGGGATTACAGGCATGAGCTACCATATTGAGCTGATACTTAAAAACTTTTTTAACAAGATTTTTTTATGGCCAAAGATAGCATATTAAAATATCCTAACTTTATTAGGATTTTACTGAATTTTTAATATATTGCTTCTCCATATGGGCCAAATAGGAAACCAGTTTGTATGAAAAATGAGATGAATCTATTTCCATAGTATCTAAATTGCTTGACAGATGACTTCACCAAAAGATTAACTGGTTTATAGCTTATCAATCTAGGAATCAAAGTCCAAAAATGATTTCAACAATAAAGGCAATTAGCCTTAGAATATAATTAACTTGGATGAGAAAATTTTTAAAAAACTAAAAAGAAACAGCTGATAAAACATAACAGTCCTGTGTCATTTAACAATTGGGATACATTCTGAGAAACATATCATTACATGACAGCATCATCGTGCAAACATAATCGAGTGTGCTCATACAAACCTAGATGGTACAACCTACTACATACTTAGGTAATATGGTAACATCTATTACTCCCAGGCTACAAACCTGTACTGCATGTTACTATAGTGAATACTGTAGGCAATTCTAACACAATGGTAAGTATCTGTGTATGCAGATATATCTAAACATAGAGTACAGTAAAAATAAGGGATTATAAACTTATAGGACCAACGTTGTATATACAGTCTGTCATTGACTGAAACCTTGTTATGGGTACCTGATGGTATTTGATTACTACTGTAAAGACTTAACTATTAGGAGTATCAAAATGCTTGCTAATAACAAATGTAAATGCCATCTTTTAATATATTCCTGGGCTACTGGTTTCATTTCTCAATGGACCAACCAAAGAAAGCCCTTAGAGGAAGACATATATTTGCCTTTTTTCTTTTTCATACATTTCTAGAATCTAGGGGAAAAAATTTCTCTCCCACCATTTTCAATTAGTGGTTCTAGCTTTTTTGCAAATTTCAAAAATTAACTTAATTAAATGCCATGTAAGTGGTTATTAGATTTAGAATATGCTCCTTTCTAAATCAAGACTTCTGCTCTGCAAGAGCTCAACATTATATAACCAAAAAAGTTCCAATATTCAAATGTAAATATATACAACTAGTATGTTTTCACAATAAATAAATTAAGCTGTATTGCATGTTAAAAGTTTGAAATCTAGTCAACAAACAATTGATGAGAGATGAAGGTTTTACTTACATTTGTAATAGCTATGGCATTTTTATCGTAGTATTTCTTCTTTTCATATTTATCTCTGATGAAAAATTCCACTGCTCTGAAAACAGATAACTTAAGGAAAAGCATGAATTCAGTGATATGTACACTTCCCTTTATTCACGCCACTCCACAAAGCTGGGACTCTAAATTTAATTTTCCTACTCCTCAATCTGTGCTCTCTTTCACATTATTTCTGCAACTACATTCTGTAAACTACTTTTCTTTCTCTTAAAGAAGTCTACCTCTTTCAGGAAATTTTCTCACTGAACAAAACTCATCCAAACTAATTCTAGAAAGAAAAGTAAATGACAATTCTTAATTCCTACATCACCACCACCACTATCAATGCATCACCACACTTTAAATTCAATTCAGGTTCATTTGGGGTTTTTGGTATAAGAAATTAACATCTATGCAAGTACCCACACTGAGCCAGACATCCTATACTATATATGCTGTACATACTTTGGGTCCTTTAATTCCTCCCACACCCCACGAATGTGCATATTATTAGTTCCATATCATAGATGAAGAAACAGCAACTTGGAAAGATTAAGCACTTGTGATTCCAACATCTATGTTCTTTTCCACTATATATGCTGTCCCTGGGCACATCATATAGGATTCCACATGTATTAGAAGAACAGTGGCCAATTTTATCCTTGCAAAGTTGAGAAATGGAAAAGTCAAGATGATAAAGCCAACGTTAGTCTTCTTTAAATTCTTGAAGTTGTCTGGACTCATCTTACCTGTTAATAGAGTGAGTAATTTATACTGGGATTGAGTGTTTAGAGTTACGTGACATCAATAACTTCTCTTACCACTCATCATATTCCACTGAAATGGAAATTCTTAAAGGGGTTCTTAACCTCTTTAGTGACATGAGCTCCTCTGGTACTCAGGTAAAGCCTGAAGACTCCTTTCTGATAATTATTTTCAATGCATAAAACACACATAATTACAGAAAAAAACCCAATTACACTGAAATATAATATCTCTGTGGATCCCCCAAGTTAAGGGGATCATTCTAGTCAAAAGAAAAGTTACCTGGGCGGTAATACAATACAGTTTCAGTCAATAACCATTCATAAAAATTTTTTAAAAAGCCTTTTAAAATGACAGTTGAGGCAACAGGTAATAGAAAGGGATGACAGACCACACAACACGTCCCAGAATAATGTTGTTTTCTTACGACACTGATGAAACAAAAAATTTATTTCTACCCGAGCCACTGTCTGTGTAGACTTTCCAAATTTTCCCCTACCTACTTGGGTTTTCTATGGGTACTCAAGCTTCATCTCATATCCCCAAGATATGCACATCAGGTTATTTCACATGTCTAAATGGCCCAGTATGAGTGAGTGTGGGTGTATGTAAGTGCACCCTGCAATAGAACAGTGTCCTGTCCCAGGATGGTTCCCACCTTGTGCCCTGGGCAGACGGGACAGCTCCAGCCACCAGCAACCCTAACCTGGAGTAAGCAGGTTGAAAAGTGAATGAATAGTTATTTGGAGCCAAGATGGCCAAATAGGAACAGCTCCGGTCTACAGCTCCCAGCGTGAGCGACGCAGAAGATGGGTGATTTCTGCATTTCCATCTGAGGTACCGGATTCATCTCACTAGGGAGTACCAGACAGTGGGCACAGGACAGTGGTGCAGCACACCGTGGGCGAGCGGAAGCAGGGAGAGGCATTGCCTCACTCGGGAAGCGCAAAGGGACAGGGAGTTCCCTTTCCTAGTCAAAGAAAGGGGTGACAGACGGCACCTGGAAAATCGGGTCACTCCCACCCCAACACCGCGCTTTTCCGACGGGCTTAAAAAACGGTGCACCAGGAGATTATATCCCACACCTGGCTCGGAGGGTCCTACGCCCCCGGAGTCTTGCTGATTGCTGGCACAGCAATCTGAGACCAAACTGCAAGGCGGCAGGGAGGCTAGGGGAGGGGCGCCCGCCATTGCCCAGGCTTGCCTAGGTAAACAAAGCAGCCTGGAAGCTCCAACTGGGTGGAGCCCACCACAGCTCAAGGAGGCCTGCCGGCCTCTGTAGGCTCCAACTCTGGGGCAGAGCAAAGACAAACAAAAAGACAGCAGTAACCTCTGCAGACTTAAACATCCCTGTCTGACAGCTTTGAAGAGAACAGTGGTGCTCCCAGCACACAGCTGGAGATCTGAGAATGGGCAGACTGCCTCCTCAAGTGGGTCCCTGACCCCTGACCTCTGAGCAGCCTAACTGGGAGGCACCCCCCAGTAGGGGCAGACTGTCACTTCACACGGCCGGGTACTCCTCTGAGACAAAACTTCCAGAGGAACGATCAGGCAGCAGCATTCATGGTTCACGAAAATCCGCTGTCCTGTAGCCACCACTGCTGGTACCCAGGCAAACAGGGTCTGGAGTGGACCTCCAGCAAACTCCAACAGACCTGAAGCTGAGGGTCCTGTCTGTTAGAAGGAAAACTAACAAACAGAAAGGACATCCACACCAAAAACCCATCTGTACGTCACCATCATCAAAGACCAAAAGTAGATAAAACCACAAAGATGGGGAAAAAACAGAGCAGAAAAACTGGAAACTCTAAAAAGCAGAGCACCTCTCGTCCTCCAAAGGAACGCAGCTCCTCATCAGCAACGGAACAATGGTGGACAGAGAATGACTTTGACAAGTTGAGAGAAAAAGGCTTCAGACGATCAAACTACTCCGAGCAACAAGAGGAAATTCAAACCAAAGGCAAAGAAGTTGAAAACTGTGAAAAAAATTCAGACGAATGTAGAACTAGAATAACCAATATAGAGAAGGGCTTAAAGGAGTTCATGGAGCTGAAAGCCAAGGCTCGAGAACTACATGAAGAATGCACAAACCTCAGGAGCCGATGCAATCAACTGGAAGAAAGGGTGTCAGTGATGGAAGACGAAATGAATGAAATGAAGCGAGAAGGGAAGTTTAGAGAAAAAAGAATAAAAAGAAACGAACAAAGTCTCCAAGAAATATGGGACTATGTGAAAAGACGAAATCTATGTCTGATTGATCTACCTGAAAGTGACGGGGAGAATGGAACCAAGGTCGAAAACACTCTGCAGGATATTATCCAGGAGAACTTCCCCAATCTAGCAAGGAAGGCCAACATTCAGATTCAGGAAATACAGAGAATGCCACAAAGATACTCCTCGAGAAGAGCAACTCCAAGACACATAATTGTCAGATTCACCAAGGTTGAAATGCAGGAAAAAATGTTAAGGGCAGCCAGAGAGAAAGGTCGGGTTACCCACAAAGGGAAGCCCATCAGACTAACAGCTGACCTCTCGGCAGAAACTCTACAAGCCAGAAGAGAGTGGGGGCCAATATTCAACATTCTTAAAAGAATTTTCAAGCCAGAATTTCATATCCAGCCAAACTAAGCTTCATAAGTGAAGGAGAAATAAAATCCTTTACAGACAAGCAAATGCTGAGAGATTTTGTCACCACCAGGCCTGCCCTAAGAGAGCTCCTGAAGGAAGCACTAAACATGGAAAGGAACAACCGGTACCAGCCACTGCAAAAACATGCCAAATTGTAAAGACCTTCAAGGCTAGGAAGAAACTGCATCAACTAACGAGCAAAATAACCAGCTAACATCATAATGACAGGATCAAATTCACACATAACAATATTAACTTTAAATGTAAATGGGCTAAATGCTCCAATTAAAAGACACAGACTGGCAAAATGGATAAAGAGTCAAGACCCATCAGTGTGCTGTATTCAGGAAACCCATCTCACATGCAGAGACACACATAGGCTCAATATAAAGGGATGGAGGAAGATCTACCAAGCAAATGGAAAACAAAAAAAGGCAGGGGTTGCAATCCTAGTCTCTGATAAAACAGACTTCAAACCAACACAGATCAAAAGAGACAAAGAAGGCCATTACATAATGGTAAAGGGATCAATTCAACAAGAAGAGCTAACTATCCTAAATATATATGCACCCAATACAGGAGCACCCAGATTCATAAAGCAAGTCCTGAGTGACCTACAAAAAGACTTAAGACTCCCACACAATAATAATGGGAGACTTTAACACCCCACTGTCAACATTAGACAGATCAACGAGACAGAAAGTTAACAAGGATACCCAGGAATTGAACTCAGCTCTGCACCAAGCGGACTTAATAGACATCTACAGAACTCTCCACCCCAGATCAACAGAATATACATTTTTTTCAGCACCACACCACACCTATTCCCAAATTGACCACATAGTTGGAAGTAAAGCTCTCCTCAGCAAATGTAAAAGATCAGAAATTATAACGAACTGTCTCTCAGACCACAGTGCAATCAAACTAGAACTCAGGATTAAAAAACTCACTCAAAACTGCTCAGCTACATGGAAACTGAACAACCTGCTCCTGAATGACTACTGGGTACATAACGAAATGAAGGCAGAAATAAAGATGTTCTTTGAAACCAACGAGAACAAAGACACAACATACCAGAATCTCTGGGACACATTCAAAGCAGTGTGTAGAGGGAAATTTATAGCACTAAATGCCCACAAGAGAAAGCAGGAAAGATCCAAAAGTGACACCCTAATATCACAATTAAAAGAACTAGAAAAGCAAGAGCAAACACATTCAAAAGCTAGCAGAGGGCAAGAAATAACTAAAATCAGAGCAGAACTGAAGGAAATAGAGACACAAAAAACCCTTCAAAAAATCAATGAATCCAGGAGCTGGTTTTTTGAAAAGATCAACAAAATTGATAGACCACTAGCAAGACTAATAAACAAGAAAAGAGAGAAGAATCAAATAGACGCAATAAAAAATAATAAAGGGGATATCACCACCGATCCCACAGAAATACAAACTACCATCAGAGAATACGACAAACACCTCTACGCAAATAAACTGGATAATCTAGAAGAAATGGATAAATTCCTCGACACATACACCCTCCCAAGACTAAACCAGGAAGAAGTTGACTCTCTGAACAGACCAATAACAGGAGCTGAAATTGTGGCAATAATCAATAGCTTACCAACCAAAAAGAGTCCAGGACCAGATGGATTCACAGCCGAATTCTACCAGAGGTACAAGGAGGAACTGGCACCATTCCTTCTGAAACTATTCCAATCAATAGAAAAAGAGGGAATCCTCCCTAACTCATTTTATGAGGTCAGCATCATCCTGATACCAAAGCCTGACAGAGACACAACCAAAAAAGAGAATTTTAGACCAATCTCCTTGATGAACATTGATGCAAAAATCCTCAGTAAAATACTGGCAAACCGAACCCAGCAGCACATCAAAAACTTAACCACCATGATCAAGTGGGCTTCATCCCTGGGATGTAAGGCTGGTTCAATATACACAAATCAATAAATGTAATCCAGCATATAAACAGAACCAAAGACAAAAACCACATGATTATCTCAATAGATGCAGAAAAGGCCTTTGACAAAATTCAACAACCCTTCATGCTAAAAACTCTCAATAAATTAGGTATTGGTGGGACGTATCTCAAAATAATAACAGCTATCTATGACAAACCCACAGCCAATATCATACTGAATGGGCAAAAACTGGAAGCATTCCCTTTGAAAACGGGCACAAGACAGGGATGCCCTCTCTCACCACTCCTATTCAACATAGTGTTGGAAGTTCTGGCCAGGGCAATTAGGCAGGAGAAGGAAATAAAGGGTTATTCAATTAGGAAAAGAGGAAGTCAAATTGTCCCTGTTTGCAGATGACATGATTGTATATCTAGAAAACCCCATCGTCTCAGCCCAAAATCTCCTTAAGCTGATAAGCAACTTCAGCAAAGTCTCAGGATACAAAATCAATGTACAAAAATCACAAGCATTCTTATACACCAATAACAGACAAACAGAGAGCCAAATCATGAGTGAACTCCCATGCACAATTGCTTCAAAGATAATAAAATACTTAGGAATCCAACTTACAAGGGATGTGAAGGACCTCTTCAAGTGGAGAACTACAAACCACTGCTCAATGAAATAAAAGAGAATACAAACAAATGGAAGAACATTCCATGCTCATGGGTAGGAAGAGTCAATATCATGAAAATGGCCATACTGCCCAAGGTAATTTATAGATTCAATGCCATCCCCATCAAGCTACCAATGACTTTCTTCACAGAATTGGAAAAAACTACTTTAAAGTTCATATGGAACCAAAAAAGAGCCCGCATCGCCAAGTCAATCCTAAGCCAAAAGAACAAAGCTGGAGGCATCACGCTACCTGACTTCAAACTATACTACAAGGCTACAGTAACCAAAACAGCATGGTATTGGTACCAAAACAGAGATAAAGATCAATGGAACAGAACAGAGCCCTCAGAAATAACGCCGCATATCTACAACTATCTGATCTTTGACAAACCTGAGAAAAACAAGCAATGGGGAAAGGATTCCCTATTTAATAAATGATGCTGGGAAAACTGGCTAGCCATATGTAGAAAGCTGAAACTGGATCCCTTCCTTACACCTTATACAAAAATTAATTCAAGATGGATTAAAGACTTAAATGTTAGACCTAAAACCATAAAAGCCCTGGAAGAAAACCTAGGCATTATCATTCAGGACATAGGCATGGGCAAGGACTTCATGTCTAAAACACCAACAGCAATGGCAACAAAAGACAAAATTGACAAATGGGATCTAATTAAATTAAAGAGCTTCTGCACAGCAAAAGAAACTACCATCAGAGTGAACAGGCAACCTACAAAATGGGAGAAAATTTTTGCAACCTATTCATCTGACAAAGGGCTAATAACCAGAATCTACAATGAACTCAAACAAATTTACAAGAAAAAAACAAACCACCCCATCAAAAAGTGGGCAAAGGACAGGAACAGACACTTCTCAAAAGAAGACATTTATGCAGCCAAAAAACACACGAAAAAATGCTCACCATCACTGCCTGTCAGTGAAATGCAAATCAAAACCACAATGAGATACCATCTCACACCAGTTAGAATGGCAATCATTAAAAAGTCAGGAAACAACAGGTGCTGGAGAGGATGTGGAGAAATAGGAACACTTTTACACTGTTGGTGGGAATGTAAACTAGTTCAACCATTGTGGAAGTCAGTGTGTTGATTCCTCAGGGATCTAGAACTAGAAATACCATTTGACCCAGCCATCCCATTACTAGGTATGTACCCAAAGGATTATAAATCATGCTGCTATAAAGACAGATGCACATGTATGTTTATTGTGGCACTATTCACAATAGCAAAGACTTGGAACCAACCCAAATGTCCAACAATGATAGACTGGGTTAAGAAAATGTGGCGCATATACACCATGGAATACTATGCAGCCATAAAAAATGATGAGTTCATGTCCTTTGTAGGGAAACGGATGAAATTGGAAATCATCATTCTCAGTAAACTATCGCAAGAACAAAAAACCAAACACTGCATATTCTCACTCATAGGTGGGAATTGAACAATGAGAACACATGGACACAGGAAGGGGAACATCATACTCTGGGGACTGTTGTGGGGTGGGGGGAGGGGAGAGGGATAGCTTTAGGAGATATACCTAATGCTAAATGACGAGTTAATGGGTGCAGCACACCAACATGGCACATGTATACATATGTAACAAACCTGCACGTTGTGCACATGTGCCCTAAAACTTAAAGTAAAATAATAATAAAATAAAAATAAATAAAAAATAAAAAAAGAAAAGTGAATACAAATTGTAAAATAAAAATTTGTCAAGTATACAATCATACAAATGCACAATAAATAAATGATGTGGTAAGAAAGTCCTCAGGAAGCCCATCATATTTGTTGTTTTTCAACTTCATTATGGTAGGAGGTGCTCAATACAATTTTTGCTTTACAAACATTTATTCCTTGATTTGACCCACCACCACTATGACTATCACTCATAGATTCACTAAAAATTGGGTAAATAATTATCTCACTTGTTTTTACTAGTCTTCCTTAAATGTATGTATATAACTCACATTTATTTCAAACTTTGGTATTAGACATGTTATGGGTCTTTATTTAGAAATGTCATATATTTGTGACCAGAAATATGCCATAGGAACTTAACTTTTGTTTACATCAACTAGCCTAGGGTAAAACCGGTTTCATTATATGTCATTTTGCTTAAAGTCGTGGTTTCTAAGAACCTATCAAAGACATTAAGTGAGGCTCTATATGGTGGATATGAAAAGAATTGGGGCATTATGAAAGCACTCACAGTGGGCCAGGGACGCAAGCTGGACATAAAATCTAAACATTCCATTTATTAAGAGGAATAATTGGACACTGTTTATAAAGACAAGTTTTCTGGCTGGGCAAAATGGCTCTTGCCTGTAATCCCAGCACTTTGGGAGGCCCAGGTGGGCTGATCGCTTGAGCCGAGGAGCTCAAGACCAGCCTGGCAACATGGCAAAATTCCATCTCTACAAAAAAATACAAAAATCAGCTGGGTGTGGTAGTGGTGTGCCTGTAGTCCCAAATACTCAGGACGCTGAGGTGGAAGGATCACCTGAGCCTGGAAAGTCAGGGGTGCAGTGAACTATGATCGCACCACTGCATTCCAGCCTGGGCAATGGAGTGAGACCCTGTCAAAAAAAAAGAAAAAACACTTGAAAGTAAAACTACTCCTTTATCCATGGGCTGCAGAACAGATGTTGTATTGACAGGCATGAAACAACATGTTTGTGTATCTCCATCAGAGCTCTTGGGTTACTAGGAGCATTGTCAATGAACAGTAATACTTTGAAAAAAATTATTTCTTTCTGAGCAGCAGGTCTCAACGGTGGACTTAATGTATTCAGTAAACCATGCTGTAAACAGATGTGCTGTCACCCAGGCTCTGTTGTTCCACTTAGAGAGCACAGGCAGAATAGATGTAGCTTAATTCTTAAGGGCCGTAGGATTTTCAAAATAGTAAATAAACATTAGCTTCAACTTAAAGTCACCAGCTGCATTTTCCTAACAAGAAAGTCAGCCTGTCTTGAAGCGCTGAAGCCAGGCATTGACTTCACTTCTCCAGTATGAACGTCCTCAATGGCATCTTCTTCCAACAGAAGGCTGTTTAGTCTCCACTGAAAATGTGTTGTTTAGTGTAGTCACCTTCATCAATTATCTTAGTTACATCTTCTGGATAACTTGCTCTTTCATCTTGATTTTTATGTTCTGCAGATGGCTTCTTTTCTTAAACTTCATGAACCAGGCTGGGAACAGTGGCTCATATGTGTAATTCTAGCACTTTGAGAGGGTAAGGCAGGAGGATTACTTAAGCCTGGGAGTTGAAGAACAGCCTGGGCAATATAGCAAGCCCATCTTTACAAAAAAAAAAAAAAATTAGCTGGGCATGGTAGTGTGCATGTGTAGTTCCAGCTACTCAGGAGGCTGAGGCAGAACGATCGCTTGAGCCCAGGACACAGAGGCTGCAGTGAGTTGACTGCCCCACTGCATTCCAGCCTGGGTGACACAGTGAGAACCTGTCAAAACAACAGACAAAACAAAAACACAAACTCATGACTCAACCTATGCTAGCTTCAAACTTTTCATCTGAGGCTTCCTCATCACTCTCAGCCTTCACAGAACTGAAGAGTTAAAGCTTTGTTAAGGATTAGGCTTTGGCTTAAGGAAATGTTGTGGCTGGTTTGAACTTCTATCCAAACCACTCCAACTTTCTCCATATCAGCAAAAAGGCTGTTTTGCTTTTTTATTATTCATGTGTTTACTAGAGTAGCACTTTTTAATTTCCTTCAAGAATTTTTCCTTTGCATTCACAACTTGACTATTTGGTGCAATAGACCTAGCTTTCAGCCTATTTTTCTTTCCACATGCCTTCCTCACTAGCTTAATCCTTTCTATTATAGCTTTTTGATTTAAAATGAGCAAGGTGAGACTCTTTCTTTTACTAGAACACTTAGAAGCTACTGTAGGTGTTAATGTTGTATCACAGAATACGGAGTGCAGAGGAAAAGAAAGGGAAAAGCTGATCAGTGTAGTCAGAATGCAAACTTTTATAAATTAATTAAAAACATGCATTTATGTTATAATTTTGTTATAACATTTGCCACCTTATACTGGTGCAGTTCCCAGTGCCCTGAAACAATTACAACAGTAGCATTAAAGATCACTGATGACAGATCACCATAAAGATATACTACTAATAAAAAAGTTTGAAATATTCCAAGAACTACCAAAGTGTGACATGGAGACCCAAAGTAAACATGTGTTGTTGGAAAATATGGCGCCAACAGACTTGCTTTGCATAGGGTTGCCACAACATTCAATTCGTAAAAAAAAAAAAAAAAAAAAAAAAGTAATATCTGTACAGTGCAAATAAAGCAACATGCAATAAAACAAGGTATTCCTATGTAGAATACTACGATGGTTTTACAAATACTGAGTTTGTGAAAGTTAACTATGTTAAGTATACAATCTTCTGGAGTTGAATACAATACTAACATCTGGTATTATTATCTGTATGTTGCTGTGAATTTTCCAAAATAACATGTATCTGTGAAATCTTAATTTATATTTAATGTATTTTATATAAATAATTCAAATGCAGTTGAGAGTCTCACTTCTGTTTACAATAAGAAATCCTTTCAGAACTTATCTCTAGGAAGTATACATTTTTTAAAAATTATAAGAAGCCAAAGTTGGTATGTTTGGTACATAGTGTTTTTCAAAGATATAAAAATAAAGCATTAGGGTAGAAGAACTTACTAGAACCTTCCTAATTATTAACATAAGATCACTTTTTATACTTTTTAAAAGGCAATCCAAGTACACTACAAAGTGAATTTTTAAATTCCATGGAGTCACCCAAGGAAGAAATCTAGTTTGGAAAACATGCTATATCTTTGGTTGCTCTCAGTTCCTATGTGCCTCCTACTGCAAGAATGTCTCACACAGTCCTTGTATATTTTTGTACAAGGTCCCAAATGCAAGCCAATTCTGTACTGTTAGTTCACCTAAAGAAACAGTTATTTATCCCAGGGGTTGGCAAACTTTTCCTTAAAGGCCCAGAAAGTAAATGTTTTAGGCTTTGTGGGACAGTTGGTCTATGTTTCAATCACTCAACTGTCCCTTCATAGCTCTCCAAAGCGACCACAGAACATTCATAAATGAATGTACATGGCTGGGTTCTAATAAAACCTTATTTACAAAAACAGGCAGCTAGCTCATGGGCCTGTAGTTACTGATTCCTGAATTCTATTCAGTACTAGAGGGCAAAGAACAGCCAAATGGATTATTAGGGGTACATGTGTCTGTAAACTGTCATCATAAACAATCTAAAGATTTTCGAAGGAAATTTTTACCATAGTTTTGCATTATATGTTGACATTCTCAAAGAAGATAGTCTCCAATGTACAGCCTCATTTCCAGTACAGGTAGGCACTTATTATTACACCGGCAGTTATTGTGACCTTTAGGTTAGCTGATCTATTGAACCTATACCTAGATATGTAAAAAAGATAGTAATACTCACCTCACAAGGTTGACAAGAGTTTGAAGATTAAGATATACATAAAGCACTTAGTATAGTATCTAACAGTAAGAATTTAACGTATGAATTTAGTTTTATTTTTATATACTTTGGTGCCTCGGTTTCATCACCTTTAAAATGGGGATAAAACCAGTATCATCTCATAGGATTATTATAAGAATTAAATAAGCCAATAGTATCTAAACAACTAAAATAGTAGATGGTACATAGTGTTATTTAAGTTTTAGCTCTTATTATTAACAAAGGTATTCTGATAGGCAAATCACTTAAAAGATAGGGTCCATGGTAGCAAGAGGAAACAGAATT
Source organism: Homo sapiens (assembly GCF_000001405.40). Lineage (NCBI taxonomy): Eukaryota > Metazoa > Chordata > Mammalia > Primates > Hominidae > Homo > Homo sapiens. Next base: position 70,761,606 of record NC_000006.12, on the reverse strand, counting down.
ACTGTACTGAGGGCTAAGATGGCTTGCATACCATCAAGTTTAAACAGATGAGTAAATGAGAAACGACAACAAAAGAACCAATGAATCTGGAGATCAGGAACTATTTATCTTCATTTTACAGTCTCCAGAAGTCATTTGAGATATAAGGACTTAGTTATACTGACATAGATCAATAATACAACCCAAAAAATTAGAAACAGAACAATAATATTTTCAGGGAGTCAGATAAGAAATACATTATTATAATAACAGTTCAAGTTTTAATTTGGGAATTACTTAGTAAACAATATCAAACTATCCCAGAATCTTCCCCATGCCTACAGTTATAAAGCACTCAGTACAGCACCCCTAATTCTCCCTGTCCCCAAAACTAACAATTGGTACTATACAAGCCTACAAAAATTTCAACATTATTATACGCTTTATCTTTTAACATGTATCTATATATTTTAAGATTTTTTTCTTTTCTTTAAAAATATACCATTTGAAAGACAACTAAATTAATATCTACTCCCAAAGAAGAAAATCTTCCAGTTTCAAACACACAGCACTGACAGCAGTAAAACTTTGAAAAGCTCAAAGGAGAACTGCTGATTAGCTTTGGTACACAATAGATCTCATGGAACTGAAGTAATTAAAGTTTTTTAGATAAGACAAAATATCCTAATAATGAAAAGCTTAATGTAAAGCTTTATCATTTGTCATGCACTAGGACATGCAGCCTATAATTAACCACATCCCACATTAGAAATTACACTTTCACAGCAGCTTTTGCATAACTTTTGTAAATTGCAAAGCTTTTTAAAAAGTGACAAATCTTGTTAAGAATGCAATGAGGTCCCATATTATATGAGTTTAACTTAGTTTGGTTATACTTGCTCTAGGGATGAGACAACTATATTTATATCTATAAAACTACAGAAATGTTAGGCTTTTCAAAGAGCAATGAGCTTTAGAAAGATGGATAGATGAAAGGAAAGACTGGAGGGAGGGAGAGAGAAAGGCAAGCCGGTTTTCTTACCAGCCTCTCCCTACAAAACCTCCAAATTACAGTGTTTCATAATTAAAAGAATAAAAAGTATTGTTATAATAACCAAGGTAATTTTTTTAAAGGCTACAGATTACATTAGATATGGGGACTAGTCTCATGGTCCAAGAATTGTCATCTTATACTCTTAACATAAGTAATCATCTAGCTCAAACATGTTAGACAAAGACCCTCTTTAAACAAGTCTGACAACCATATGAACAATAAAGATCAATACCTCACATAAATATGACCATAATTTGTAAAAAGGAGTAACATTTAGTTTGAAAAATTAAATAAGAATGACTGAGGTAACAACAGCAAATATATAGTTAATCCAAAAGCCTAACATAAATCATACCAGGTAATGAAAAGTTGAAATCTTCACCTAGATCTTACAATCTAGCTGCCAAGAGTGCCAAATTATAATAACCCTATTTTCAAAGGCAATCAAGACTTAAATGTGGCAGCACTGATTTTACTCAGACTACCATCATTAAATAATACTCAAGTGTCCCGATACAGGAGGGAAAGTCTGGAGGCTTTAGGAAGTTTCTTAATAGCTCTTTGAGCATCTCATCCTTCCCACCCCACTCCCCACAAAAGAAAATATTATGCTCTATGTCACCGAGTTATTTTGAGAAATAAAAAAGATAATGTACATAAAATGCCATGGTCAGGGCTTGGCATAGGGCAAACACTTATTAAGCAGTAAAGTTATTACAGCTGTTGTTTCCAGTATTATATCTTCACTGTGTCGAACGTCAAGGATTTACCAATATAGACACCAATCAATTCACTATAAAAATCTCATCTTTCCTGAAATCTATAGAAAAGGACCAAATATTTTAAAATATATCAGCCAAGATAACAGAACTAATAATGCAATATCTCATTAGCACTTTAGCTCTCTAAGGTGCATCATAAAATTGGTGGTAATGAAGAAACAGTATTCCTACCAACCTACACAAAATGGTGCATAGAATAGTTCAATAAGTGAGGATACCAAGAAGATATATACTGTCCTGCCCTCAATATCCTTCATGATAATTTGAAAACAATATGGAATCAGTGTAATAAATTAAATAACTTGGAAGCTACTCTCATGCATAGGTAACACATAAAGGATGAAACCAAAATTTTCAAAAACGTCAAGTAATTTACCCTGTTATATTCAAGGGACACCTAAAAAATCCAACCCAACCCAACCTCCCCACCCTGCCACAGACACAAACTTCCAGAAAAGGAGGATTCTTCAATTCGAGGGGTCATATATATCAACTCAGCCTAGTGAGTGGGGGGCAAAAAAAGAGGGAATAAATTAATGTAACCAGCAAGCAGCTGGTAACAACCACCTACAATGCTGATTTGTATGCTGGGCTGTTTTTCCTTCTACCATGCTTTATTCTTCAGGATTCAGCCACAGGCTTTCCTTTTCCAGAGAAGGAAAAGAATTCTCAGGATTCTCAATAAAATCTGCAAAATAAAGAACTGCTGCCCTAGGTAAACATAAGCTGACCCAGCACTTTATATCATCACCTACATGCTAAGCGACTCCTCAATCTGAATGTACTGCTCTCTTCTAGGGTCCAGACTCATGTTTCCAGCCACCAAATGGGGTAACTCCATGTATATGTGTAACAGAAGTATCAATCTGCCCAAAGTAAGAAAGCATGGCTCATTATCTTTCATTTCTAACTCTTAATCCTCCTGCTGGTAATGAATTCCTTCTCCCAGTGAATAAGCTTTATGGTCAACCAAGCTAGAAATTTCAGGGTTATTTTAGTGACTCCCTCAGAACCAAAGCCAATCTTAATGTAGCTTTCCCAACTTGTTTCCAATCTCTCCAATTTAATCCTGCCCATTCCCAATGCCACTATCTAACTTAGATTGTCATTGCTAATTTTGGGCTGTATAAGTATTTCACATGGTCTCTCTGCTTCTAGGCTCTCCTCCCACCTCCAACTATTCTTCCTTACAGTGGAAGTTAATGTTTCTAATGTTTCTCCTGCTTCAAAATCCTTCATGTGTTTTTATTTTTATTTATTTATTTATTTTTATTATACTTTAAGTTTTAGGGTACATGTGCACAATGTGCAGGTTAGTTACATATGTATACATGTGCCATGCTGGTGTGCTGCACCCACTAACTCGTCATCTAGCATTAGGTATATCTCCCAATGCTATCCCTCCCCCCTCCCCCCACCCCACCACAGTCCCCAGAGTGTGATATTCCCCTTCCTGTGTCCATGTGATCTCATTGTTCAGTTCCCACCTATAAGTGAGAATATGCAGTGTTTGGTTTTTTGTTCTTGCGATAGATTACTGAGAATGATGATTTCCAATTTCATCCATGTCCCTACAAAGGACATGAACGCATCATTTTTTATGGCTGCATAGTATTCCATGGTGTATATGTGCCACATTTTCTTAATCCAGTCTATCATTGTTGGACATTTGGGTTGGTTCCAAGTCTTTGCTATTGTGAATAATGCTGCAATAAACATACGTGTGCATGTGTCTTTATAGCAGCAAGATTTATAGTCCTTTGGGTATATACCCAGTAATGGGATGGCTGGGTCAAATGGTATTTCTAGTTCTAGATCCCTGAGGAATCGCCACACTGACTTCCACAATGGTTGAACTAGTTTACATTCCCACCAACAGTGTAAAAGTGTTCCTATTTCTCCACATCCTCTCCAGCACCTGTTGTTTCCTGACTTTTTAATGATTGCCATTCTAACTGGTGTGAGATGGTATCTCATTGTGGTTTTGATTTGCATTTCTCTAATCGCCAGTGATAATGAGCATTTTTTCATGTGTTTTTTGGCTGCATAGATGTCTTCTTTTGAGAAGTGTCTGTTCATGTCCTTCGCCCACTTTTTGATGGGGTTGTTTGTTTTTTTCTTGTAAATTTGTTTGAGTTCATTGTAGATTCTGGATATTAGCCCTCTGTCAGATGAGTAGGTTGCGAAAATTTTCTCCCATTTTGTAGGTTGCCTGTTCACTCTGATGGTAGTTTCTTTTGCTGTGCAGAAGCTCTTTAGTTTAATTAGATCCCATTTGTCAATTTTGGCTTTTGTTGCCATTGCTGTTGGTGTTTTGGACATGAAGTCCTTGCCCATGCCTATGTCCTGAATGGTGATGCCTAGGTTTTCTTCTAGGGTTTTTATTGTTTTAGGTCTAACGTTTAAGTCTTTAATCCATCTTGAATTGATTTTTGTATAAGGTGTAAGGAAGGGATCCAGTTTCAGCTTTCTACATATGGCTAGCCAGTTTTCCCAGCACCATTTATTAAATAGGGAATCCTTTCCCCATTGCTTGTTTTTCTCAGGTTTGTCAAAGATCAGATAGTTGTAGATATGCGGCGTTATTTCTGAGGGCTCTGTTCTGTTCCATTGATCTATATCTCTGTTTTGGTACCAGTACCATGCTGTTTTGGTTACTGTAGCCTTGTAGTATATTTTGAAGTCAGGTAGTGTGATGCCTCCAGCTTTGTTCTTTTGGCTTAGGATTGCCTTGGCAATGCCGGCTCTTTTTTGGTTCCATATGAACTTTAAAGTAGTTTTTTCCAATTCTGTGAAGAAAGTCATTGGTAGCTTGATGGGGATGGCATTGAATCTGTAAATCACCTTGGGCAGTATGGCCATTTTCACGATATTGATTCTTCCTACCCATGAGCATGGAATGTTCTTCCATTTGTTTGTATCCTCTTTTATTTCCTTGAGCAGTGGTTTGTAGTTCTCCTTGAAGAGTTCCTTCACATCCCTTGTAAGTTGGATTCCTAGGTATTTTATCCTCTTTGAAGCAACTGTGAATGGGAGTTCACTCATGATTTGGCTCTCTGTTTGTCTGTTATTGGTGTATAAGAATGCTTGTGATTTTTGTACATTGACAAAATCCTTCATGTGTTTTTAAACACTTGGGCCAATGAAATGAGGTCTAAACTACTCTACATCATACTGAAAACCCTTCGCAATTTGGACCAAAATACCTTCCAAGCTTCTTCTGACCTAAAAGGTCATGTTCTCTCATACCTCCATACTTTTACTCACACAATTTTTTATACCTGAAATGAACCTTCTACCATTAACCCTGCAAACTTTCTATAACAAATACAGCTTCGGATATCAGACTGCTAAATTTGTGAGAAAGGAGTGGGGCGAACAGAAACAGAAAACGCCAAATACAAATTACTAACTTCTCAATTATAATTTAAAAGGTTTCTGTCCAAATGTGGAAATAAACATATAATGACCTATATCTCTGTGTGAGAAAAGATATTTCCTCCACTGGCCACACAAATTGTTTTACTATACAAATGGGTACAATATAATTGATCGTTAATAAACTACATTTTATTGTCAAAGTCACAAATGTTACCTTCAAACAGAATCCACGTACCTACAATTAATCAGATAATCTTATTTATAAAGCAGCACAATTTTGATGAGCTGCTTTTTTAAACTATGAGTTATAAAAATCCTACAGAATTATGATTTTATATTTAGAAAACATAAAAAACATATTAAAATGTTTTCATGGGAAACTATTCTATCCACTCATAAAGGTGGATTATGTGGGAAACAATTCTATCCACTCATAAAGGTGGATTCATAAAGCAAACATAGTTGTGCAACCTACAACAGAGTGTCAGTAGTGTAAATTACTCAGAATTTACGCTATGTAAAAAATACTATGTAATTTGCCTTCTAAATGCCACAATGCCTCACATAAATATAACTACTATATAAAGGTAATCAAAGAATATATGGAAATGATTTCTAACATACTCAGGATGCTTACAAATCAAGTTTCTAGTAACAGTCTAAAATAATAAACAGCATATACTTTCCAATTGAGAGATGGAGAACAATCAAGAAGAATCAGTCATAACATTTTACACTTAGTAACAGAGATGCCCCTCAACTTACAATGGGTTAGGCCCCAGTAAACCCATCCTAAGTTGAAAATATTTTAAGTCAAAAATGCATTTAATACACCTAATCTACCAAACATAGCCTAGCCTAGCCTACATTAAATGTGCTCAGAACACTAACATTAGCCTACGGTTGAGCAAAATCTTCTAACACAAAGCATATTTTTAATAAAGTATTGAATATCTCATGTAATTTACTGAATACTGTACTGAATGTGAAAACAGAATGGTTACACTAGTACTCAAAGTACAGTTTCTACCAAACGCATACTGCTTTCTCACCATCATGAAGTGGAAAAATCGTAAGTCAAATAATCATTGTGAATCAGGGGTCTGTAATCACATCTAAATACCATATGTATCGTGTATTTTTATGTAATTATGTAATCTGTGTGCCAAATTCCTACTAAAAACCTACCATATACAAAGCACAGCTCACAGCAAGTCAATTTCTATCTTTAATGAACAGTAGCGTGATAAAGTTCACATCTTCCTAAATACTAACAGATAAAATATGAACTGTAAAAATGAGTTAATGTTTTTTAAACTCAAAACAAATAAGTTTTAAAGGATACTGATCTGTCTGTGGTCTTCGAAAGTTCTCTGGAAGATTGGCTTCATAGAGTAGTCTTGCTTTAGTATTTCCCATATCTTGCATGCACTATAATAAAAAAAATTTTTTAATTACTCACATAAACATTAAAAAGTGATTCCTGCACATACATACACATACATACATATACACAAATACCAAATAATTTATTATTTCCAATATATATTCTCCTTAGAAATATAATTTAAATCACAACTACGAAATTAATCACTCAAGTTAAAACAGAAGCATATTTTTAATCCTTCACATTTATCAACGTATGTTGATCCATAGTCCATAATCTAAATGTCTTTTTTTGTGAAAACAGTACCACCTTTACACTTACTACTTCCTAACAGTGAATTCCCTCATAGTTTGTAGGCAGTACTGCCATTTTTTCTAGTGCACCACTTGAACAATGCTCCCGTTTCCAGGGCTGACAAGTTTTCTTTCTTTTGAGCTTTGAAATACCCTGGGATTCTACTGATTTACAATCAAGATCACAATGAAGGCCAGATAAGAGAGAAACAGTGCTGACCTAAAACTCTGTAAAAATGTATTAATTTCTTTTGAGTTATTAATAATAATCCCTTTGAGGAGTTTCCCTACAAAACCCTAATAAATTGTGCCTAATGCCCAAACTTTACATATAAGTTCAGTTCATAGAAACTCCTCCCTAAAAATCTGTGAATTCCAATGGTAAGAACAATTGCTCAGTAAGAATAAAACAATTTGATAATCATTTCAACCAGTTTAATTAGGTTTCAGTGTCATCTATGAGGAATGACTATGCAAACAGTACTTCCTTAATATTCTATTATATTAGAAACTAAATGTAAGATTTAAGAACATTACAATATTATATGACATCATTTACACAGAACTTCAGTTCCTTAAAATGTTTTAACTGGTAGAGAGATCAGTTTTCATAATATTTCTTTTTCTTCCTGTTTCCCAGACACACACCCCTATGTCCTTGAGATGACAATCCAGATTTAACAGGTTACCTGACATCTGCGTTGAGTTGTAGCCCTCAAGTATACACAGAACTATCTTTCTTCAAACAAAAAATATAGTGACTCTTCTCCCAACTGAGAGTTTTAAAGTGCACTAAATTCCAATATACAATCACCTCTAGGTATCTATTCTTCCTCACCTCAATGTAAGTATTCTCTCAGAGTAAACTACATTTCTAAGTCTTCCCTCTAGAGATAATGAGAAAGTGAAGTAATGGGCGGGGGGCGGAGGGCAGTGAGAAAAATGGATTAAAGGGGCGGGCTTTACCATTAAGCTCCAAGATGACATAGAAGGCAAAATAAATCTGAGCTTCAAAATTGTGTAAAATAAAAAAATTATAAAAGGTAAACAGTATAAAGTCAGAGGGCTCTATGACATCACAGTGGCTACTAGCATGAAGTTAGCATAAGAAGAGTTAATACGTAATTCTGTGTGTGGGGAGAGGAGCTGAGAAAATTTCAGTATAGCTCACCCTTCCTGAAAATCGAAAAAATGTTTTCCATCTCAAGCATTCAAATGATGCTGCATCTTTGTGCCGTGATGGGAATTTGTAAACAGAAGATGATCAAGTTATGTAATCATAAAGACATTAAACATTTGGAAAGAACTAGACCAAGTAAAAATGCCTTAGTCTGCAATGAAGCAAAAAGTAATTCAGATACAGTTCACTGAAAGTGCAAAAGTAAGAAAATTTGAAAAGTTTCTATCAAGCAAGAATATATAGAAATTTTAACAGAAAAGTTAAGATTAAAAATGCTATACTATATCTCATCAATCCTCGTTTACATTTTTTCATATTTTAACGTCTTTGAAATAGGAATACATCTCACAATTGATGGTGTCTAATAATTGGTATTTTTTTTCTTATTGGTCCGTAAAGTGGATGTGCTTCTTAAAATCAGCAGTATCTTATATTCAATGACTATGACTGTACATATCTATTTAATGTAGCTCATTAATATCTCGGGGGGGAAATAAAAAATAATTAGGAACAAGGCAGATATGTACATTATACCAAACTATTAAACACTGTTCTAGTGATGTTATCACAAATAGTAACATTAAAATCTGAAAGGTAGAGGTGATGTGGAATAATGAGTCATTTCTATAGGAGACCACTGCCAAAAAGTGACTGCGTAAAAGTGCATGGATGTGTTTGTTAGTTGGGATTTGGGGAAATAAGAATTCAATGACATCACAGATGTAGAGAGATCATTTTGTGACTATAAAAAATATATTGGTAAGCTTAGTTTCTAGGTTTCTAAAAAGTAGACTAGAAAAGGGTGGGAGGTAGGGGAGCAGTGAAAGAACCAGTGAAAATGAAAGATTGGGCAATTTGGAAATGAGAGGGCAGGGGAAAAAAACAACAGGAGCTGATGTTTTGGGGAGGCGATAAAGAATATGGGGCAAACTAGCTGTCCTCAAGGACTCAAGGCCCTGAAGAGTAAACTCTGCCCAGTAAGTAGCAGGAAAAAAATAATAAAAATAGCATAATAGCTACAGTGACACAAGCATTAGCCTCAACACTTTACCTATATTTGCAATTTTAAATTTCAAAACAACCATGAGACAGGCATTATTATCCTAATTTTACAGGAAAAGAAACAGAATCTGTAAAGATGTTAAGTAACAGGCCTAAGATTCTATCAGTCTCCATAATTCAACTTGCAATAGAACCAACATCACCCATCAATGATTTTGATATTTCAGGCTTCATCCAGTGGAACTGGGACTATGTCCTGCAGGGCTTACTAACAGCAGGCTCTTAGTTTTAGAGGCCTGGTTTTCACTTTACAGAGAGGAAACTGAGGCACAAAGAGGTTGTATGATTTTTCTACTGGTTAATATAATGCATTAGTGACACGGCTGACACTAAGATTCAGTTCCTTCACTCCCAATCCATATCACCATGCAGCAGCTAGTCAAAATAAGTATCTAGAAAATTTTACGACAAGACAGAAGATGCTATAAGTGTTACCTCTATTATTAAAACATCATTCCTGTTGTTAAAACATTATTCCTTTTCTTTTAGGTTCTCTCACCAAAAATGCTTCTGCTTATTCTTTGGCAATTAATTATTCAGTTTTCCAAAGCTACGTCAAGCAGACTGGTTGCAAAAAAACAGGGGGTGTGGAGGGGATAAGTGACATGTACTTTTGTCTAAAAGAAAAACTAAGTTCTATTTTTTAAATTATTGGTAATAAACTAGCTATCTGAACCTCTACCATCTAGTTCCTATGAATCAAGACGGACCCTAAGTACTATTTTAATACTTAGTACTTAGCATCATTTTGAAACACTTAAATTTTCTAAACTTGCTTTCACTTCTACAGGAGGGATAATTGTGAGGCTATCAAATAAATCACTAAAAATTCAAAGATCTTAGTAATTTTGAAAATTCTTTGGCTTTAGAGAAGTCACATCATTCCCTGTCAGTATTTTTTTTTCTCTTTATCTCACACTTCAAGTATGAAAAAAGAAAGGGGAGGACTCTGAACTACTTAAGTTAAAGTTTCTATTAAATTTATTTTTTAAATATTTTTAAGTAGACATTTATTTACTCATTAAACTATACTTCATCTCAAAATGAAGATTTAAAAAACAAGTCAAGCAAGTGAGGAGAAAATGTATTGATATTCTTGACAAAGTAAGAAATGATTGTAAGAATCTATTGAATACAAACTCAACATTCATGTTTACTTTAAGAAAAATATATTAACATATTGAGGAATAAGTGAACATGTACTTCTGCCAGTAGACTGAACGTATTTTTATTTTTATTTATTTTTTGTAAGACGGAGTCTCACTCTGTCACCCAGGCTTGAGTGCAGTGGCACAATCTTGGCTCACTGCAACCTCCATCTCCCAGGTTCAAGTGATTCTCCTGCCTCAGCCTCCCAAGTAGCTGCGAGTACAGATGCGTGCCACCATGCCCAGCTAAGTTTTATATTCTTAGTAGAGACGAGGTTTCACCATGTTGGCCGGGCTGGTCTCAAACTCCTGACCTCAGATGATCTGCCCGCCTGGGCCTCCCAAAGTGCTGGGATTACAGGTATGAGCCACCGCACCCTGCCAATTGAACATATTTTTAAACTACTGTTATTGACTTTTCCCATTAAATTCAGCCTGTTCTCATTTAACGTATGTTCCCAGAAAGATGAATTTTGTACTGCACTTTTTTAGTTGACTCATCTTCATCCAAACTTACCACCCTTATAATTACAAAGGCAGGCTTCACCTGGAAATGGTGTAATAAACCATTGAAGAATCCTAAACCTTACTATTAAAAGTATTTTGCCCTCATCAATCCATAATCGATGTGTTTTTAGTTTCCCCACATAATCTAGTACATACAACATCACCAGCCCAAAGCATCACATCACTTGGAAGTCAATATTTTAAAATACTTTTTGAATTGCTGAAATTCATCTACTGCCCAACATACTGTCACTGCAATCTAATGTATATGAAACATTTCTATTTGTGAAACTTCCTAAGTACAAAACATTTTACCCAATCACAGTTTTAGCATTAAAACAGCAAAACCCCTATTCTAAAACAATTTTAAGTCATTTATATTTTACAGAGACTGAAGAGAATTGGGGCTGTCAATTTAAAATTTTAAATGACATTTGCTTATCACATTTGTCTAATTTAAGAAACTAAAACATACAAAAAATAACACGTATAACTAAACATGGGAATAGATAAAAAGAAAGTAGGTAGAATCAATGAGTAAGCAAGCAAATGTAATAGGAGATTTCATTCATTTTTAACAGTACTGTAAATATTTTTTTAAAAAATCACTGTTTTATGTCAACAGGGCATCTCCAGTGACAAATGGCAATTAAGCAGCACATAACAGCTTTACTGAAAACAGAACCTTGAAATAAATATGTGAAGATAAAGAGTAGGAACAGATAAAACAAAGTGTGCCCAAGTTTACGTCACTGTCAGGATCAGGAAACAATAATTAAATATAATAAGAGGCAAAATAAATGACATACCACCTGAAATTCCAAATTAATAATGCATTCCCCTGAAAAGAAGACTTGTCAAATATTTTGTTTTAATCTTCCAAAATCTTGGAAACCAGAGGTCTCTAAGTGAATAATCTACTTCAAGGTATGGCTTCTACTTGTCCTAGGCCAACTAAAGCCAAATACAGTCCATTCCATGCTCAGTGGCTAAGCCTCATAAATGTGGCTTCTTGGACTTTCCTTCTTTATACATCTCCCTTTTTCTCAGTATCTTCTTCTTACCCCTGTACTTTGTCCCTCAGATGCTAAGAAGTACCTGAACAACAGCCATTAATAGTAAAACTAAAATTCATTCTAACGTATTGTTTCAGGAAGCTATCTGCATAGTTTTCACAAATTTGTATATGTGTACTGACTTGTCCTTTGAGGTTTACTGGTTGTTGTTTTTTTTTTAAATGAGGTAAGTGGGGGAAAAATAGAGAAGCAGATATTGCAAATGATTAGGTTACAATTAAGTTGCAATTACATCTTCTAAATTCCCAATGGCAAAACTGCAAAATGTTAAAATAGTCAAATCTTAAATATCAATGTTTAACAGAAGGATGCCACATGCCTATGTTTTAATCTGGAGGAAGAAAATTAATCTAATAACTATTTAAAATAGTTTTCTACCCAATTGATATGGTTTGGCTTCGTGTCCCCACCCAGATCTCATCTCGTAATACCCACACGTCAGGTGTTGGGAAGGGACTTGGTGGGAGGTGATTGAATCATGGGGATCTGTTCCCCCATGCTGTTCTCACGATAGTGAGGGAGTTCTCATGAGATCTGATGGTTTTAAAAATGGCAGTTTCCCCTGCACGCTTCTCTCTCTCCTGCTGCCATATAAGATGTGCCTTGCTTTCCCCTCGCCTTCCGCCATAATTATAAGTTTCCTGGGGCCTCCCAGCCATGAGGAACCGAGTCAATTAAACCTCCTTTCCTTATAAATTACCCAGTCTCAGGTGGTATTTTTATAGCAGTGTGAGAACACACTAATATGCCAATTTTCTTCTACTCCATTTTCTGAGGAACTGATTGAGAGAAAGAAGAGTCCTACCTATGGGTCAAAAGATTTTTGTAAGGATATAAAAATGTATGCCAACTATAAGTCTGTGTATATATATATATATGCATAAAATATGTGAGGAAAAATATACAAAAAACTGATAAATATGGTTACTTCTATGGAGGGCAACTGAATGACAGAGACAGAAGTGGGAGGGAGAATATTCACTGCACTTTTGTCCCCTTTAAAGTTTGTACCATGTCCACATATTTTCTATTCCCAACAACTAAATAAAATAATTAGAAGGGGCTATAGTAATCCTGCATTGTTTCTAAGTAAAATACTATCTAGAGGGAGCTTCAGTAGGGTATCCAAGCAGCACTTGAATCAGAAAAAGGAGACTTCCTCCTTTACTAAGGAGAAAAAAGTCTTCTCATAAATCAAAAAGATCATGAATATATATTTTAAAAAATCTCATCCAAGCAGATCTTACACTCAAAATACATTCAAAGCATAAATATGGCATTTATTTACCATGCATTTTTCCAGTATCATCATCTTATAGAAACATCATTGTTGCTGATGATTAAAACTTTCTTAAATTTTTAATGTATTTGTGTGGGAGGGGGGAAACTACTTGCTCTATTATTTTCTATTCATTAAAAGCTTTAAAACACAAAGACTAGGATTTTCAACTGAAAATCTTATTTCCAGCTAAATATACATATTTTTAAAAACTTTTATAAAGAAAAATGAATATTTTTAGTCCCTGGATAAATTCTTCATGGCAGTAACTCACCTCTACTACCACTTGAAATTTTCGAGAAATTTCTCTATCTTCCTCTCAAAATTCACCAGGATTTCTTGCATAGGAGCAAGCCTTTCAGGACTGGTTTCAAGATCTTTTGGATTCCAGCTGCTGGAAAAGAAGGGCCACCGTTTTTGGTCTCAGGAACTCTTTGGAAATATTTAATACAGAGTCCATTCCTTCAGTTTCATAAACTTGTTTTTTAGGGGAAGCTGTTCTCTGTTTTAATTATTTTTTTAAAGAATAAACCACACAATTCAAATTTTTTAATGATGATGTGGAATTAGAGGTAGCAGTTTTCATACTTTTCACAATTTCTAGATATTCTCAGATATTGATTTATCTGTTGCAGCATTTGCTAATTACTACAAACGGAGAGAATGTATTCTTTTTTGTAAGCAATGCAATTAAACATTGTTATGACAAAATTGGAAAAGCTTCACATTACACTCTTCTGTCATCTCTACTTACTATAATATCCATACCACTTAAAGTCCAGGAATAAACCATCACTTTCACTCTAGGTGCTTAAGGCCCAGCTCAGGAATCATCCTGGACTCTCCCCTCTTCTGCCAAAAGTCTTGGTTATTCTGACTCCTCAATATATTCTTTGTAGGCATCTCCTGTTTATCAAGTCCACTGCCATTACATTAATTCAGGATCTAGTCATCTATTGCCTAGGCTATTGCAGGAATATTTTAAGAGCTCCCTACTCTCTCCCTACTATCACTCATAAGATCAGCACCAAACCAGTCACTGGCTGTAACCTTCACCTTTACCTCCTCTGACACATATAACTGCACCTAGCACTCTGGTCACAGAACACTACTTTCTCAAACACGACATGCTTTCTTCCACCTTTCTACCTGAAAGGCCCTCAGCACATTGTGGTATGCGTTCAGTGATTGGTAAACAAATAAAGGTTACTATACAAATAATAGTGATACATTTAAAAAATATTAAAACTTACCATATGACCAGATAATACAATATTTTTTAAAAGCCACTTTCTTCAAGTACTGAAGATCACCCACCATTTAGTTAATAGAGCCAGAAGCAGAACCCAGTTCTACAGTCCCAGGCCAGTATTTTAACTATGAATGCTATCTTCTACCATTATATTCACACAAAGCAGGAAAGTGAATACACCTCTAAAATATTATGTGCAATAAAATTAATAATTATGTTTCTAGATGACTGATACATACATGTATTCTTTCAACACCACCTAACAACTTCCTGTACTCTATAGGGGGACTTAAGCCCCTATCTCCAAATAACTTATTATTTATTCTCTCTCAGTTCTACCTAAATTAGGCAGTTTAGAATTTAGACTTAAATCAGCCTCTGAAATTGAGGCAATAATTAATAGCCTATCAACCAAAAAAAATCCAGGACCAGATGGATTCACAGCTAAATTCTACCAGAGGTACAAAGAGGAGCTGGTACCATTCCTTCTGAAACTATTCCAATCAATAGAAAAAGAAGGAATCGCCCCTAACTCATTTTACCAGGCCAACATCATCCTGATACTAAAGTCTGGCAGAGACACAACAAAAAAAGAGAATTTTAGACCAATATCCCTGATGAACATCGATGCAAAAATCCTCAATAAGATACTGGAAAACCGAATCCGGCAGCACATCAAAAAGCTTATCCACCAGGATACAGTCAGCTTCAACCCTGGGATGCAAGGCTGGTTCAACATAAGCAAATCAATAAACGTAATCCATCACACAAACAGAACCAATGACAAAAACCACATGATTATCTCAACAGATGCAGAAAAGGCCTTTGACAAAATTCAACAGCCTTCATGCTAAAAACTCTCAATAAACTAGGTATTGATGGAATGTATCTCAAAATAATAAGAGCTATTTATGACAAACCCACAGCCAATATCATACTGAATGGGCAAAACCTAGAAGCATTCCCTGTGAAAACTGGCACAAGACAAGGATGCCCTCTCTCACCACTCCTATTCAACATAGTGTTGGAAGTTCTGGCCAGGGCAATCAGGCAAGAGAAAGAAATAAAGGGTATTCAATTAGGAAAAAAGGAAGTCAAACTGTCCCCATTTGCAGATGACATGATTGTATATTTAGAAAACCCCATCGTCTCAGCCCAAAATCTCCTTAAGATGATAAGCAACTTCAGCAAAGTCTCAGGATACAAAATCATGTGCAAAAATCACAAGCATTCTTATACACCAATAATAGACAAACAGAGAGCCAAATCATGAGTGAACTCCCATTCACAATGCTACAAAGAGAATAAAATACCTGGGAATCCAACTTACAAGGGATGTGAAGGACCTCTTCATGGAGACCTACAAACCACTGCTCAACGAAATAAAAGAGGACATAAACAAATGGAAGAACATTCCATGCTCATGGATAGGAAGAATCAGTATCGTGAAAATGGCCATACTGCCCAAGGTAATTTATAGATTCAGTGCCATCCCCATCAAGCTACCAATGACTTTCTTCACAGAATTGGAAAAAACTACTTTAAAGTTCATATGGAACCAAAAAAGAGCCCACATTGCCAAGACAATCCTAAGCAAAAAGAACAAAGCTGGAGGCATCACACTACCTGACTTCAAACTATACTACAAGGCTACAGTAACCAAAACAGCATGGTACTGGTACCAAAACAGAGAGATAGACCAATGGAACAGAACAGAAGCCTCAGAAATAACACCACACATCTACAACCATCTGATATTTGATAAACCTGACAAAAACAAGAAATGGGGAAAGGATTCCCTATTTAATAAATGGTGCTGGGAAAACTGGCTAGCCATATGTAGAAAGCTGAAACTGGATCCCTTCCTTATACCTTATACAAAAATTAATTCAAGATGGATTAAAGACTTACATGTTAGACCTAAAACCATAAAAACCCTATAAGAAAACGTAGGCAATACCATTCAAGACATAGGCATGGGCAAGGACTTCATGACTAAAACACCAAAAGCAATGGCAACAAAAGCCAAAATTGATAAATGGGATCTAATTAAACTAAAGAGCTTCTGCACAGCAAAAGAAACTACCATCAGAGTGAACAGGCAACCTACAGAACGGGAGAAAATTTCTGCAATCTACCCATCTGACAAAGGGCTAATATCCAGAATCTACAAAGAACTCAAACAAATTTACAAGGAAAAAACAAACAACCCCATCAAAAAGTGGACAAAGGATATGAACAGACACTTTTCAAAAGAAGATATTTATGCAGCCAACAGACACATGAAAAAATGCTCATTATCACTGGTCATCAGACAAATGCAAATCAAAACCACAATGAGATACCATCTCACACCAGTTAGAATGGCAATCATTAAAAAGTCAGGAAACAACAGGTGCTGGAGAGGATGTGGAGAAACAGAAACACTTTTACACTGTTGGTGGGACTGTAAATTAGTTCAACCATTGTGGAAGACAGTGTGGCAATTCCCCAAGGATCTAGAACTAGAAATGCCATTTGACCCAGCCATCCCATTACTGGGTATATACCCAAAGGATTATAAATCATGCTACTATAAAGACACATGCACACATATGTTTACTGCAGCACTATTCACAATAACAAAGACTTGGAACCAACCCAAATGTCCATCAATGATAGACTGGATTAAGAAAACATGGCATATGTACACCATGGAATACTATGCAGCCATAAAAATGGATGAGTTCATGTCCTTTGTAGGTCATGGATGAAGCTGGACACCATCATTCTCAGCAAACTATCACAAGGATACAAAACCAAACACCATATGTTCTCACTCATAGGTGGGAATTGAACAATGAGATCACCTGGACACAGTGTGGGGAACATCACACACCGGGGCCTATCGGGGGTGTGGGGCTGGGGGAGGGTTAGCATTAGGAGAAATACCTAATGTAAATTACGAGTTGATGGGTTGCAGCAAACCAACGTGGCACATGTATACCTGTGTAACAAACCTGCATGTTGTGCACATGTACCCTAGAACTTGAAGTATAACAAAAAAAAAAAAAGAATTAGGAGTTAAATGAAAATCCTCCACTAAGTAACATCTTAACAATTTTGTTCACTCCTTTGACATAGTGATAATCACCTACATGTAACAGAAAATTCTAAAATATGCCATTTCCAAAAAAACTATTAGTATTACTGACCTTATTTAAAGTTTAACCTTAAAAATTTTTAACAAATCAAGAGGAAAAAGAAAATATAGGGCATAATCTTGCACATTCAAATTAAAAATTTATATACTTTTTTCCAAATGGATTGCTTAAAATGCAAATCTCTTATTAAACTTCACAGATTAAATTTTGTTATAGACAGTACCACTTTCTTTCTTTACCTCAATCTTCACATGCAGGCAATACAATAACCCAATGCTATAGGCTGCTCCCATTCTCTGCTCTTCTTTGAAGATGCATTTAATGATTCTAGCAAGGGTTCAGCATCAACTGAATCTCAATTAACTTAAAAAGTTAAGCATATACCTGAGGCCCTAATTTGAGAAATGTTGTTAGCTTGATCAAATTATAATGAGAAATCCTTCCACAAAATAAGAAAAAAGGCTTTTTGGCCTATGGTTTTCTTGAATAAATGTATACCAAGAATTGTTTACTGAAAGCTTATTACGTGCCTGGTTCTACAAGACACTATGAAAATTTATCCAAGGGCCAAACCCCTAAGAGATTAAATAATATTCTAACACAGAGTTCTCCAAATTACCTTTAACTAAAATTTTATTCTATGAAATGTTGCTTATCATAAAAATTCTTTAACAGCAGAAATAATTTTCTAAGTTCCCAGAATCTCCCCAGAAAAGAGAAAACAGAAAGGCATAGGTAGAAAAACTAAAAACCAATAGATGATAGTTACAACAAAACTAACTAACTGATTATCCCCACAAACTTCAAAATGCCATCAGGTAGAAACAAACCACTACAATGACCACTAGACCTGCCAGAAACAAACCACTACAATGACCACTAGACCTGCCTGATGGCCTGCAACTAATGGGGAGTCCAATGGATCTGAGAAAAAAATACCAAAACATTCAAGAGATATATAAACTGGAAATCACAATGAACCAATCTGAGAAAAGCACAGGAAGTTGAAAAGGATTTTTCCCCAGTCTGATATGGTTTGGTTCTGTCACCACCCAAATCTCATCTTGAATTGTAGCTCCCATAATTCTCAGGCGTTGTGGGAGAGACCCAGTTGGAGATAACTGAATCATGGGGGCGGTTTTCCCCTTACTGTTCTCGTGGTCATAAATATGTCTCACAAGACCTGATGGTTTTATAAGAGGAAACCTCTTTCACTTGGCTCTCATTCTCTATTGTCTGCCGCCATGTGAGACGTGCCTTTCACCTTCTGCCATGATTGTGAGGCCTCCCCAGGCATGTGAAACTGTGAGTCCATTAAAACCTCTTTTTCTTTATAAATTACTCCAGTCTTGGGTATGTCTTTATCAGCAGCATGAAAACAGACTAATACAGTAAACTGGTACCGGGAGTGGGGCACTGCTGTAAAGATACCAAAAATGTGGAAGTGACTTTGGAACTGGGGAACAGGCAGAGGCTGGAACAGTTTGGAGGGCTCAGAAGAAGACAGGAAAATGTGGGAACATTTGGAGCTTCCTAGAGACTTGCTGACTAGCTTTGACCAAAATGCTGATAATGATATGGATGATGAAACCAAGGCTGATGTGGTCTCAGATGGAGATGAGGAACTTGTTGGGAACCGGAGTAAAGGTGACTCTTGCTATGTTTTAGGAAAGAGACTGGCTGCATTTTGCCCCTGCCCTAGAGATTTGTAAATCTTTGAACTTGAAGGAGATGACTTAGGGTATCTGGCAGAAGAAATGCCTAAGCAGCAAAGCATTCAAGAGGTGACTTGGGTGCTGTTAAAACCATTCAATTTTAAAGGGGAAACGGAGCCTAAAAGTTTGGAAAATTTGCAGTCTGATGATGCGATAGGAAAGAAAAACTCATTTTCTGAGGAGAAATTCAACCCGGTTGCAGAAATCTGCGTAAGTAATGAGGAGTCAAATGTTAATTAACAAGACAATGGGGAAAATGTCCTCAGGGCATGTCAGAGACCTTCCTGGCAGCCCCTCCTATCACAGGCTTAGGGGCCTAGAAGGAAGAAATGCTTTTGTGGGCCAGGGCCAGGGCCCCCTGCTGTGTGCAGCCTAGGGACTTGGTACCCTGCATCCCAGCTGCTCCAGCTGCGGCTAAAAGGGGCCAATGTATAGCTCAGACCATGGCTCCAGAGGGTGTAAGCCCCAAGGGTTGGCAGCTTCCCTGTGGTGTTGAGCCTGCAGGTGCACAGAAGTCAAGAATTGACTTTTGGGAACCTCCGCCTAGATTTCAGAGGATATATGGAAATACCTGGATGTCCAAACAGAAGTTTGTTGCAGGGGTGGGGCCCTCATGGAGAACCTCTGCTAGGGCAGCATGGAAAGGAAATGTGTCATGCAAGCCCCCACACAGAGTCCCCACTGGGGCACTGCCTAGTTATCTACGAGAAGAGGGTCACCATCCTCCAGACCTCAGAATGGTAGATCCAGCAACAGCTTGCACCATGTACCTGGAAAAGCCACAGGCACTCAATACCAGCCCATGAAATCAGCCAGGAGGGAGGCTATACCCTGCAAAGACACAGGGGCAAAGCCATAGGGGTGGAGCTGCCCAAGGCCATAGGAACCCACCTCTTGCATCAGTGTGGCCTGCATGTGAGACACAGAGTCAAAGGAGATAATTTTCGAGCTTTAAGATTTGACTGACCTGCTGGATTTCCGACTTGCATGGGGCCTGTGGCTCCTTCATTTTGGCCAATTTCTCCATTTGGAACAGCTGTATTTACCCAATGCCTGTATTCCCACTGTATCTAGGAAGTAACTACCTTGCTTTTGATTTTACAGGCTCATAGGTGGAAGGGACTTGCCTTGTCTTGGATGAGACTTTGGACTATGGACTTTTGAGTTAATGCTGAAATGAGTTAAGACTTTGGGGGCCTGCTGGGAAGGCATGATTGGTTTTGCAAGGTAAGGGCATGAGATTTGGGAGGGGCCAAGGGTGGAATGGTATGGTTTGGCTGTGTCCCCACGCAAATTTCATCTTGAATTGTAGCTCCCATAATTCCCATGTGTTGTGGGAGAGACCCAGTGGGAAATAATTGAATCATGGGGGCGGTTTTCCCCTTACTGTTCTCTTGGTAGTGAGTAAGTCTCATGAGAGTCAATGGTTTTATAAGGGGAAACCCCTTTCACTTAGCTCCCATTCTTGTCTGCTGCAATGTAAGATGTGCCTTTCACCTTCTGCCATGATTTGAGGCCTCCCCAGCCACATGGAACTGTGAGTCCATTAAACCTCTTTTTCTTTAGAAATTACCCAGTCTCAGGTATGTCTTTATTAGCAGTGTGAAAACACACTAATACACAGTCCAATAACAATTAAGTGTGAATGGGCCACAATAAGCTTGGAATGGGGAGAGACAGTCTAGCCCCTACAAACTCTCATATCTGACCATGAAGTTTCTCTTCCAGGATAGGACCCCAAACTGAGAAAAAGAAAAAACCTGGGAATTGACTCAAAATTGAGCAGGACAGGTATAACAGAGATAATACAAAAGGAGATGGTCCAGATAAAAGTGCAAAAAGGGAACAGAACAAGAACATCTCAACAAATGGCCTTGGGTTTTTTTTTTGTTTTTTTTTTTTTGAGATGGAGTCTCCCAAGTAGCTGGGACTACAGGCACATGCCCTATGCCCAGCTAATTTTTCTATTTTCAGTAGAGACGGCATTTTGCCATATTGGCCAGGCTGGTTCGAACTCCTGACCTCAGGTGATCCACCCACCTTGGCCTCCCAAATTGCTGGGATTATAGGCATGAGCCACCGCCTCCAGCCATGGCCTTGTTTTTAAACATTACATGAAAACAACGGAAGAGGGAGGTATGTGAAGTTAAAAAAGCTATCTTGAATAGGACTTCCTCCTAAAAGTAAAGGAAAATTAATATTGCATAAAAATGATCAGCAGAAAGAATCAAGGTAAAATCTCATATAAAGTTAATATTAAAAGGAGTAAGAATAATAGCTCTACAATGAAGACACATCTAGAAAACTTTTCCCAAAAAACAGATTAAAACTGTAACCTACTACTTCAGAACTAGCTAAAAGACATGTATGTGATGAAAAAACATATAAAATTAAAGACATGGAAAAACAGAACAACCAAATTTGAAATTTTAAAATAAGAAATATTCAGAATTAAAATGACAGAATCAAGAAAAAATTGGAAATAAAAGAAAAAACATTTCAGAAATAAACATGAAACAAAATGAACCGTAGACAACAAATAATAGTCTAAGAAAAATGGAAAGGCAGACGGAAAAAAATGTAATTTAAAAAAGTAACAAAAAGGATCCAAAAGCAAATGATAAATATTGCCATTAGGTAATAAAGATCCAACATACAGGTAAGAGGAGTCACTGAAGAAGAAAACTAAAGCAAGAGAATATTAAAAATAAACTGTAGTTCAAAAATAAACTGTAACTCAAAAAACTTCACTGAAACAAAAAAAGATATAAAACTACATACTGAAGAAGCATACCATATGTAGGTATTTTTGGTCTAAAAGAAACTCACTTTATATTTAAATATATAGTTAAACACATAAGCACAGAAGATTTATCAAACACCGAGCAAAGGAAATCTGCAGTGGGTACTAGTGTATGCATAAAAATTGATACATCTATACAACTGCTGTGCAACAAAAGATAAAGTGAGCCAGTTATATCATTTTAAATCTCTATTAGCCTCATTTAAAAAAATTAAAACAGGTAAAATTGATTTTAATTATATATTTTATTTATGTTTCTCTTCTGCAGAACTCACATGGAAAATACTATGCTTATCTCACCTTCATCCACAGACTTAAAAAATAGTGTCATGAAAACTTTTTTGCAATAAACTGATAATCTAATTACTCACCAATATCTAAGACAGCACCCAGGAGGAAGGATCAAAGCAATACATTCTTGGAATCCGCTCTAAGTAAAACAAACTTGCACATCTCATGTAAAATTTAAATTTTGACTGCCTATCAATATTCTAGGTTCTCTCCAGTTCCAGATTTTTATTTTTTAAAGATAGCAGAGGTACCACACAAATATTGTACTTTAATCAACTGTAAGTCATTTTATTTGAAAAATTAATGTCCTTCTAAATAACAAAATTTATTCCAACTTTACTTGAAATAACTATGTCAGAGTGAAAGAGCAGAAAACTTCTTTAATGTACTTAGCCACTTTCATCTCCTCTTATAATCCTAAACATCTCAATTTAACACTGAATATTGGGACAACATGACCACTAACATAAGTAGTGCCTGTAGTTTTAGTTGTTTTTTAAGCTACCGTAAAATATTTATGTTACCTATCAATACTCTTTTGCCTGTTCACTCTGTATTTGGCCTGACTAAGAATTCAAGTTGAGGCCACAGAATACAGCAAAGCTTACTTATGAAGACTGATGAAAACCCCTGATTTTGCCTTCCATAAGAAATTTTTTCTAGGAAAGATCAAAAGTTTAAATTAAGACAAGCAAGTCAATACTATGACATAGGTATTGCTAAGTTAAGTTAAAGACTACCCAGTTAGCTCATAGGTTTTTCTAGGAATAACTAGGTTACAATAGAAACCTGTATCCACTGGTTTTTTTTTTTTTTTCTTAATAGAAAATATAAACAGCAAGTGTGTTCAAAAACATTCCTTCCAGATTCAGAAAAAAAAATCTGTCTTACAGATTTAACCTGAGAATCTTTTCACACTCTTTTGACTTATGTGAGAGTGCCAACATTTTTTATCCTCTGAGGTTGAATTTCACTTTTGGTAAAAGCTGAATCACCATCACTAACCATGATATAATTTTTATGCAAAGACAAGAAATGAAAATGTTTTTGGAACTGCTATGGTAACTAAAGAAGACTGACTATACAACTAAAACATTCTCAAGAATGGAAGAAACTTCAGAGTCATCTAAACTACTCCTCATCTACCTAGTGAATGCTTAAATCCCAGCCACACGATTCCAGGTGGTTGTCCCGCCTCTTTACAAACCATTCCAGTTAAGAGTAAACCAACCTATCTTCCAAGGCAATCGATTTCACTTCTGGACAGTTTTAATTATTGAAAAATACTGCCTTTCTAGTACCTGCATATATTACCGTTGGAATTTTCATATGCTAGCTCAAGTTACCCTCCCTAAGGCTGCTGTATTTTTGGAATTTTAAAGCGAAACAGGAACATGAGGTGAAAAGGACAGAGATCAAGAAACAAAAAGAGACTATATAAAAATACAGGCTAAATGGGGAAGGGGAGTGCATGATTCTTTTTTCTCCATTCCCCATTCATCGCTAAGGATAATAAGCGTTATCTCACAGAATTTAATCAAACCAAAGACTGATTCAGCATGCCATTAAAAAATCAAGTGCATACTGTGTTCCTAGCATAGTGGAAGCCACCACAGCACTACAAAGACACATATGATAAATGTTCTAACTGCTGGAAACTTACAATTTAGTTAGATATAAGCAAAGGTAACAATATATGGTACTTGCCATAGATAATTGAGCACATACTACATACAGAAGAATCTTTTATTAAAGTAGAGATTTAAGCTGGGCTTTAAAGAATAGGAAGGATCTGGTTTGCCACAAGGAATATGCAAAATACATTTCCGGCCAAGCACGGTGGTTCATGCCAGTAATTCCAGCACTTTGGGAGGCCAAGGCAGGTGGATCACCTGAGGTCAGGACGCTGAGACCAGCCGGGCCAACATGACGAAACCCTGTCTCTACTAAAAATACAAAAAAAAATTTAGCCAGGCATGGTGGCTCATGCCTGTAGTCCCAGCTACTTGGGAGGCTGAGGCAGGAGAATCACTTGAACCCAGGAGGTGAAGGTTGCAGTGAGATGAGATTGTGCCACTGCACTCCAGCCTAGGTGACAGAGCAAAATTCCATCACAAAAACAACAAACAAAAAATACATTTCCAACAAGGACAATAGCACAACCAAAACAAAACAAAAGAACACACTATCAGATTGTTTCAGCAGAAAGAACTGTCTGGTACAGCCAAAGCTATTTGTTGTAAAGCATCTGAAGTAAGGTCAAAGACAAATGATGAAGCCAGAAGGCAGAGGAACATGAAGACCAGTTTAATGAAAATAAAAAGTTTTATGAGTCTCACAGAAGAATCAATGCAAATTTCTTAGGATGGAAGTAAAATAACCAAAGCAATGTTCTAGGAAAATTACTCTGAATGCACTGTGTAAAACAAATGGAGATGTGACACTGATGAGAACATCAGAAATAAGGCAAAGCCTTGGACTTGTCGGAGAAATGAAACTAGAAAGCAGCAGAAGCAAGAAAAGAATTAAGAACACAGAAGTAAAAGGGAGAAAGGAGTAAGAACCATAGAATATACAAGTTTTTAAGAGTAACTGGAACAATGACATTAACTTTCTTTCCAAACAGCTCATTATTTCAATTTTAGTTTGTCAAGCTGCAAGTAGAATAAAGACATCTACTAATCTTAATATTTACAAATGCTAAACATTAATAACTATCACTATAGACCAAATTTCCATACTGAAACAATTTCATAAATCCTTGTTTCCTGTATCCATATGGCATATACAGGGATTTGTTTGATACTGCTATAAAACAACAGTTAATTCTGGTATTCCATTCTTTACTCCACCCAAATGTATAATATCTTGGGTGGGGGGAGGGGAAGGAAGCTATAGTATTTATAAAAGTATAAAAAACTTGGTCCTTTCCAAAAATTTGAGAAGTACGTGACAATAAACCCAAGACCAAACACAATTAATCTGACCATGAACCACATTAAAAGAACTTTTAAGACTTTTTTACAGTGAGTAACTTTATTTCTATGTTATTAAAAATCAAAGTAAGTTTTGGGTAACAACTATTTTCTTTTAAAAATAAGCATACAGCAATTCTAACAGCTGTACATGTTGTGCTCTAAAAACTGAAACACATAACATATACATAAATAACAGATAAAAATATGGTACATATAATATCAGTTTATAAGTAACCTTGAGGAAAAACTTAGTATTTACATTTTACAGAATTATACACACACACACACACAAAGAACATTTTTATTTAACAGCTTGACTGGGCTCAAAGATTAAATCATGTTTCCATATTTACTAATAAAAGGTATTTTTAAAAAAATAGAGCTAGCCAAAACAGTATCATCTTTGAAAATTAGAAACACAATTATGAAATGTTGCAGGGAAAGACAAAGGGTATAACTATGTAACTATGTACAGTAAAAGTATTTCTCTTAGTTCCATAAATAAATACCTCCCAAGTACTTCTTTTTTAGGCTGAGTCTCACTCTATAACTCATGGCGGAGTGCAGTGGCAGGATCTTGGCTTACTGCAAGCTCCACCTGCCAGGCTCAAGTGATTCTCCCACCTCACTTTCCAGAGTAGCTGGGACTACGGGTGTGTGTTACCACACCCTGCTAATTTTCGTATTTTTAGTAGAGACGGGGCTTCGTAATGTTGGCCAGGCTGGTCTCAAACTCTCGGATCTGCCCACTTTGGCCACCCAAAGTTCTGGGATTACAGGAGTGAGCCACCGCTCCTGGCCTCAAGCACTTTTTATATCAAAGAAATTATTATAAAATATCATATGAATATGGAACATTATATCACATTGTGATCATCACTTTTGCCCATCTGAATTAAACGTCAAAGTTAATAGGAACAGCCTCCAAAAAGACAGACATTTTAATGTATAGCAAAACTAACCCAATGGGATAGAAATCAGTGTAGTGTATGCCCCTGGGGGACTTGACTGGAAATTGGCATGAAGGAACTTTCTAGTGTGACAGAAATGCTCTATCTTCACTGGGGTATTGGTGACATCATACAGACATTTGCCAAGACTCATAAAACTAAATGAGATCTGTGAACTGTTCTCTCTGTAATTATAAGTCAAGTTTTTTCTTTTTTTGGTTTTATACGTTTATTTTCAGAGTAAAACAATTACACAATTTAAACCCAGGTCTAACAGAATTACTCTGCCAAAGTCAGCAATAATGCCAAAATGCATTCTCACTTCCAGACACTCACCAGTATCATCTGAGTCTTCTCCCAGTGAAGCAAAAGGGTCTGATATTTTATTCATATACATCTCTCTTATCTGCAATATAATCTACAATTTCTTGTGGACATATTAACTTTTCCATATCTATACCAGGAATTTCAAACCCAAATTTATCTTCCATGACCATGCTTACTCTCTACTTGGTCCAAACTGTCCAAGCACAGGTCTTTCATAAAGTAAGAATTCACTGAGAGCTTCTCTGGGTCAATCCTGTCACAGGGTTTCAAGATATAAAGAAGACAGTCTTCGATTCCCTCTAACATCAAAGGGGGCAAGTCACTATACTGACAGCACGACTGTGTAACTTCTACCCAGCACGTGCGCAAGCACCAAAGCCCGCTGTGGAGCCAGCTGCAAAGCCCCAGCCTCATCAGAGTCCCCACAGAGCACAGGCGATGCTGAGCAGCAGGCTGTGGCCAGCACGGGACCCGGTGCATCAGTGTGATGGCCAAGGGCAGGTGGCAGACACAAGCTGCCATGGCTACCCCGACCAGGATTTCCTACCTCAATTTTTTAAAAAGAAACACAGGAGACCGGGTCCAGTGGCTCATGCCTGTAGTCCCAGCACTTTGGGGGGCCAAGGTGGGCAGATCACTTGAGGTCAGGAGTTCGAGACCAGCCTGGCCAACATGGCAAAACCCCACCTCTAATAAAAATACAAAAATTAGCAACACATGGTGGCACGCACCTGTAATCCCAGCTACTTGGGAGGCTGAGGCAGGAGAATCGCTTGAACCCAGGAGACAAACGCTGCAGTGAGCAGACATCACACCACTGCACTCCAGCCTGAGCAATAGCATGAGTGAGACTCCGTCTCAAAAAAAAAAAGATGGGAAGAGCAGGGGAGGGGGGCCAGACAGAGCAATTCCTATCAAGAAGTTGGCAAATGCAATCAAATAATGTTCAAATACAATTTCAAATATTATTATTTAATAACTGTTTTTAAAATCCTTACATTGTAAAAAAAAAAAAATCCAATATATTGCCATGTACTTGTAACCTATGCCAAAGAAAACCAGTGAACTGCAGCCCTCTGATTACAAAATTCTACTCTAAGCTATACAGCTGCCCATCTCAAATAATTTGCTATTCATTTCCTCTCAACAACCTAATTGAGAAAAATATTTCTGAATAACTGAACTGTTGAAGGATCTCGTGTTTTATCCTTAGTTTGAAATAAGCCATTAAAAAAGCAGGATACTTCGGTCGTGAATGCTTTGTACCTCCATAACCCATTACAAACACCAAGTTATACTGTCAAGCTACACCTCACACGTTTCTTGAAAAAGAGTTACAACATCAGCTGGGCATGGTGGTGCATGCCTATAGTCACAGCTACTTGGAAGGCTGACATGGGAGAATCGCTTGAGTCCAAGAGTTTGAGACCAGCCTGGGCAACATAGCAAGACCCTGTCTCAAACAAACAAAAAAAGACTTACAACATCATGACATCTGTTACCATATTCTACAGAGATACTAAGAACACTGCCTTACAGGAAGTGTTTAAAAAGCTCTGCTTCTTTGATATAACTAGTATGTTTTCTCCTCAAGGATCTTGAAAGTACATAAAAGATTGCATTTCCCTTTATGCTCTAGCCAGCGAAAAGCTCAAAAACTAATTTAAGATGGAACCAAATAAATTATGCTTGACTTTATAGCCTGAAGATCTCCATTCTGTTTTTCTACCTTTACTTCACCCCATTCATGTAAACTATTGGGTTAAGATTCTGAGATGTATCACTGAGTCTCAACCACATATATTTATGTATTTAGCACTTCATAGTGACTTAAAAGTAATTTCAAAAGGGCATAAATAAGTGGTGTAACTTCACTGTGAATTACATAATAAGACCAGTAGAAGTACTCATTTTTACAATAGTGGCCAACCTTAAAGATAAAAAGTAAGATTTTGAGAATTTAAGACTGTCACATTGGGAAAATGGCAAACTTTTAAAACTACAAATCTACCTCTAGCAGAGTTAAACCACTCATAAGTAAGTTTAGGTTGGTCATAAGAACATTTGTTCACTGGGTTGTCTTACAACTTCTGGGCCTTGTCTGAAAACTAAGAACACCTCAGAACAGAAAGGAAATTACTCAAGTCCATTTTTAGGCTACAGGTGGTTTTTTATTTTATCTTTACCCAGGCTCCCTCCACTGAAAAAAAAATAAAACAAACTATGGAATTATACTGGCAAATTTTATCAACAAGAGAAATGATACTTTAAAAACACTTTAAAATCAACATTTTAGAAAGTATAGATTAAAAACTGACTTTACTATAGACACAAAATGAAATAAACATCTGTGAACTGAAAATTCAAATATTCCAATTTTATACGTGGCATATGCCATTTCAACATACAAAACTACTTTTCAATGTTAATCCTTAGATGCAAGAAGGGTTAAATATTTTTAAATCATTTTAAATATTTTAAATAATTTCTTGGTAACGTCATGTTTACCTGTATCTGTTCTGCTGTCCATTGGTCTAGGTTGACTGATTTGACCCTGGATATATGAACCCCAAGATTTCTATGAATTCCAGCACATCTGATGCAAATAAACACACCAATATTCCAGGAAGCCCATCGAGGACCTAATTTAGAAGAAGAAACCACAAAAAAAAGCAAATGTTAAAAACAAAAATAAACATAACAGCATATTAGAAGCATTCTCGGTTTTATATAATTATAATGGAAGCTTACAGAAGTCACATGCTCAAATTTTCAAATGGTACTGGCGGCAGTCTGCTAAGAAGACATGTGTCTTGGCAATCTTTAAGAACCTTATTGATTTTACTCATTTTGCTTTCCTAGAAACTTCCCCTCCACTCTAAGATTTTAAAACTAATTTATATAAACAGCTTCTTCACTTAGCATATTTGAATCAGGAATAGTAATAATACCCTACTGTAAAAATAATTTCTTTATTAAATGCATAAGATATGCACAAGATTAACAACAAATAAAAAATCAAAGACATTTCAAAAATTAAATGTAGAAATTAATAAGAAAAAGACAACCAGCCCAATGCGAAATAAGCAAAAAGATATGAATGAATAATTCACAGAAGAAATTTATGGCCAATAAGCATGAAAATATGCACAGTCTCACTGGTAATTAGTGAAAGTGCTCTTTAACTCTACAGTTACTTCCATTTTGCACCCAACATTCTGGAAAAAAAAATTTTTAACTACTAATTGTTGGCAAGAAGGGGAAACAAGGACTGCTTCAAAAAGCGTTGCATCAACATGGCTAAATCTCAAATATAACACTGACATTAAAAAAGGTCACAGATGAATATATACAGTGTGAAACCATTTACATAAATTGAAAAATATGTAAAATAATAGCATACTGCATATTAATTAAATGTATCTACAAATTTCGTGAAACTGAGGCAGGTAACTGGTGGTAAGGAAAGAGGATGTGATCAGGGAAAAGTTCACTGTGGGCTTGGAGAGCAATAGTAGCACTCAATTGCTAAGCTGTATGGCAAGAATATAAACTTTTGTTTCAGTAACATATAATACGCATATATGAACTGAGGTGTGCTACAAAATGTTAGTTCTTCAGTTCATGGTCAAAAAGTTCTGAAAAACACTGCCAAAAAACTCACATATGAATACAAGAATACAAGTCTTAGCTGTACAAGTCTTCATACCTTTGAATATATTCTTTCATAATAATTTTAAAAATTGCTTCAGATTTTTTCACATATTGCTTGTAAAATTAATAAAGTAAAAATGGAAAAATAAAAGCAATATCTGGAAAATATGCCAAATATTCAGAATCATATTACTAACAGACTTCTATAAATTAGTTGATTATGAAAAATGTATGTATATAGTAAGAGATATCAATAAAAATCAAGTAGCTGGACACAGTGGCTCATGCCTGTAATCCCAGCACTTTGGGAGGCCAAGGCAGGCGGATCACTTGAGGTCAGGAGTTTGAGAACAGCCTGGCCAACCTGGTGAAATCCGGTCTCTACTAAAAATACAAAAATTAGCCAGGCATGGTGGCAGGTGCCTGTAATACCAGCTCCTCAGGAGGCTGAGGCAAGAGAATCACTTGAACCTCAGAGGCAGAGATTGCAGTGAGTCGAGATCCCGCCACTGTACTCCAGCCTGGGTGACAGAGAGAGACTCTGTATCAAAAAATTAAAAATTAAAAATAAAGCTTTTTTTAAACATAGCCTTCTGTTTTAAGTACATGCTGTTTATCTAAAGGTGACACTGCTCTACACAACAACATTAAAGCTAGTAAGTACAATATAGTAAAATTAAAAATAATGCCCCCCCAAATTCCTTAATTACACAGGAGGAAGATTATGCACATGCAACTTATCCTCAAATATCCTGCTTTTAAATTTGAGAAATTACATCTATAAACTGGCAAACATACATCTGGGACATCTGTGACAACTCTAGATAGAGCTGCCTCCCCCAGTTACTTTCCACTCTGTCTCATCATTTCTAACACAACAATTTACAACGTTATCTATCTGTTTTGAAGCTTACACATTAAGGTAAATAGTTACAGAGCAATAGCTGGAGGGTTTAATTATTTTTAGCAAGTAAGTCTCAAACTAAGAAAGGTTAAACAGATATGCAGTGGGCCAGAAACAGTGGCTCACACCTATAATCCCTGCACTTGGGAAGCCAAGGTGAGAGGATAACTTGAGGCCAGGAGTTTTGAGACCAGCCTGGGTAACATAGTGAAACCACAGTGGTCTCTAATAAAAATTGAAAACTACACACCACACGTAGTGGTGAGTGCCTGCAGGTCTAACTACTTGGGAGGCTGAGGCAGAAGGATAGCTTGAGCCCAGGAGTTCAAAGGTCCTTTGAGCTATGGTGGTACCACCGCACTCTAGTCAGAAAAAAAAGGAGGGTCAGGGGGAGAAGGGAGAGAGAAGGGAAGCAGAAATGCACAGTGAATTCTAGATCAGTGTCTCTCAAACCCTAATGTGCATGCACATCAACTGGAAATATCATGAAAATGAAGACTCTTAATTCTGTGACCCCCAGAGTAGCTCCTAAGGTTCTGCATTCTAACAAGTTCCCAGTGATGCCCATGCTGCCATCCACAGATGACATTTTGAAGAGCAAGGTTCTAGAGCATTCTCCACAATCTTTAACTCAAGCATTCAACACACTTCCTGATTTGCTTTCACATAACTAACGTAATTAAGGGACTGATAAATGTGGCAGCAGTAAGAATGGAAACGAACAAATATGAAATCACCAGGAAGAACTGACAGGGCTTACTCATAGAAAATACAGTGGCAAAGGAGAAGGTAGAGGCCAAAATGCAAGTTCTGCACCTAGGATATAAAGCATGAGGGTCCTCGTGGAGTCAGAAAACTGCAGGAGATCCATTGAATGCTTTAAATGATAGTGATACACCAAGATGAAAATGTCTGGCAGGCGATTTAGAATATAGGACTAAAGTTCAAACTGGATACATACACACATACACACACACACACACACACACACACACACACACAACCTTCTTTTTTTTTTTTTTTGAGACGGAGTCTCGCTCTGTTGCCCAGGCTGGAGTGCAGTGGCGTGATCTCGGCTCACTGCAAGCTCCACCTCCCAGGTTCATGCCATTCTCCTGCCTCAGCCTCCTGAGTAGCTGGGACTACAGGCGCCCGCCACTTCGCCCAGCTAATTTTTTGTATTTTTAGTAGAGACGGGGTTTCACCATGTTAGCCAGGATGGTCTTGATCTCCTGACCTCGTGATCCGCCCGCCTCGGCCTCCCAAAGTGCTGGGATTACAGGCATGAGCCATCACGCCCAGCCTCACACCTTCTTTTAAGATGAGAGTTGCAGTATCAAGAACAAAAAGAGCAAAAAAGCACAGTACTAAATCTTAGGGAGAAAATGAAAGGCAGTAAAAGTAGAGAATGAGGTCGTTTCAAAGAAAAGCTGTTTTCAAAAACAGGGAAAAAAAAAAGATGTTCAATAGTATCAAATATTCCAAAGAAGTCAAGAGTAATTGGGCTAAGAAAGAACATCTGGATGTGGTAACTGAGGCTGAAAAGTATTAGGTAACCTCAGAGATTAGGCAGAGCAAAAGGGAGGGAGCTCATCCACTCTGAATTCATTATCAGAAGAAGAGGGAGAAAGATAATTCACCCAATCTGAATTCCATTACCAGTTTACACTCTCGCACCATTTCAGTTTCCAACTCCAAACCTTTAACAGTTTCCTGTTTTCCTCTATATTAGATTATAGGAAATATTTATCTCCTGTAAATGTCTACACTCATAACAGCATGTGACACAGAATGTGCCACAATAGGCATCTACTCTTTTTTCATTTGTAATTAGTTCTGTCTCCTAAAGTAGATGGTAAAGTTCTCACTAGGAAGGCTCTTATATAACCTTCTGTATCACCTACAGTAAGGGAATCGACTGTATAATTTTAAAAATCTGCTAGATCTGATGACTCAGTCAAATACTCAAATGTTTTGATTCCTGAACAACTGATCTACTATTTTTAAAAATGGAAATAAATCTGAAAATTATGGCAAAAATCACTATCTTTAATATCAATTTTCCCATTCTTCCTTTAAGTAATAAAGGCTTCTGAATTTTACCTAGAAATGTGGCTGTCCTGATAGGAAGACTACATTTCTCAGCCTCTCCTGTAGAATGTAAACAGAAATGATATATTTTGCCATTAACCACACTGGGCCTGTGTTCCCCTGGCCTCTTCCCCTTTTCCATTTGCTAGGAGACAATAAGGAATGAACCTGCAACCTTGGATCCAATTACAAAAGCCCCATGGTGAAGATGACAGAACTACTCTACCCATACTGGACAGTTCATGTCCAGACCAATGTGAAGGAGAAATAAACTTCTACCCTGTTTAAGCCACTTTTTTTTTTCTTTGAGACAGGGTCTCACTCTATTGCCCAGGCTGGAGTGCAGTGGTGAAGATCTTGGCTCACTGAAATCTCTGCCTCCCAGGCTCAAGTGATCCTCCCACCTCAGCCTCACAAGTAGCTAGAACTACAGGCACATACCACCACGCCCAGCTAATTTTTGTATTTTTTGTAGAGACAGGGTTTCACCATGGTGTCCAGGCTGGTCTCAAACTTCTGGGCTCAAGCATTCCACTTGCCTCAGCCTCTCAAACTGCTGGGATTACAGGTATGAGCCACACTGCACACGGTCAGTGTGAATTACATTTGAATGTTGGTAACAGCAAACAGAACACACAATAGATTTAGCAATCCCTGATTTTAGAGCCCAAATTCTAAGACGGGTTAAAGAATAATAAAAGACTTTTTCATCAAACCTGAGTTTTCTAGATCCAATTTAAATCACCAGTTATCTATTATGTGTTTATTTTGACCGAAGTATTAAACGAAGATGACAAAACACAAATCCTGCCTTCAAGGAGCTTGAACTCTAATAATCATATAATGGTTATAGTAATAAGTACAAATGACACAGGAACATAGAAGAGGTAAAAATTAATGTCAGCCAACAATATTAATGGAGGCTTTGTAGAGACAGTGGCATTTGATGTGATTATTATGTGGGTTGGGCGCAGTGGCTCACGCCTGTAATCCCAGCACTTTGGGAGACTTAGGTGGGCAGATAACTTAAGGCCAGGAATTCAAGACCAGCCTGGCCAACATGGCCAAACTCCATCTCTACTAAAAACACAAAAATTAGCTGGGCGTGTTGGTACGTGCCTGTAGTCCCAGCTACTCAGGAGGCTGAGGTGTGAGAATCGCTTGAACCCTGGAAGGCAGAGGTTGCAGTGAGCCGAGACCCTGCCAATTCACTCCAGCCTGGGTGACAGAGGGAGACGCTGTCTTTAAAAAAAAACAAAAAACAAAAAAAGACCTCAAGTTACACAGCAGGTAAAGTCTGGACAGGGTAAAGAACAAGGTACATTCTTGGTAAAATGAACAGTGCCCCCCCCATCTTGAAGAGTTTCAGCTATACTGTAATATATAGCCAAAAAATATAACATTGCAGTACCTGATGACTGCTAAGCTTTTTATTTAAATGCTAATTTAAATTTCTACACACACACACACACACACACACACACACACACACACACCCCTAAAATTTGTATAATATTACATGACTACTAACTTTCAGATAAAAATGACAGTTTTAAGGTATGGAAATCCTGCAGAAAGTGGAAAAATTAGGTTGACTGATAAATCACTATTAAGTATAAATAGTGTAAAAGACATTACATGTCTAAAAAATGAACAGGAATTTTATTGAGATCTCAATACACTTGCCTTGTAGCTTTCACATGATTTGAGAAATAAGATAAAACTGTGTGCTCTTCTGAGAAGAAATTTCTCTTCAGTTTCTGATTACCATGATGAACTAGCAAAACAGAAAAGCTTTCTTAAATATTTTTTACAAAGAAAATACGATGAGGAACAAAGAATTTAATGCTAACTAATGGTAATTTTAAGACTTATTCTATAAAGCCTTCTCCAATGCCCCAAGAGCACTTTTAAAATAACATTTATCACAATGACTTACAGTTAATTGTTTTATCTGTCTTTTCTGAGAAACAGTGATCTCTTTGAGAACAGGGACTTCATTTTATTGATCTCTGTATGTTCTGTACCCAGCACAATGTCTGGTATAAAAATTTAAGCAGTCTCTAGCTTACAAAGGATAGCTAAGACCTTGAGCCATCTGGGTTACTGCTGCCAAAACTGCTAAGGGAGCATTTTTAGAGGAAACTACCATCTTACTAAATAAGTAAGACATTATTCATCATATTTCCAAATATACTGTCTGGTTTAATCCTAACAAATATGCAAAGTAGGTAATATTACCACTCCATTTTAAAGATTGAGAAATTTAGGCTCAAAACATAAAGAAAAAATGGAGAGCCAGCTGAGACCATGACAGAGGCAAATCTCCAAATGCAACTGTGAATACTGTGTCTCCTACTATGGTAATTCCATCATTCCAAACGAAATTCCCTTATACTGGCTGGGGGATTTTACTCTACTTTGTCAGCTTTTCGAAATGCTAAGTCACTTCCGTTGAGGCTAATGATATAGGTTTAGAGATGCAAATTATCTATTCATCTCTCCAGAACTATCAATCCTTCTAAAATTATTATAAGTTTGCTTTATTTCTTTCCTCATAATACCCAAGATAAAAAGAAGTAAGAATTGGATTTGGTTTGGTTTTATTTGTTGGAGAGGGAAACTGCAAAGGGTAGAGAATTTTGCCCAAGGAGGAACAGAAGAGGAGGGCAAAATCAACTGAGATGTAAACGTTAATTCTTGAGGCAGCATCATAGTAGTGGATGCCCAGGGAAAGAGACACACACCAAACTCAAAGATCTCAAAGAGAAACTACATATGTCAAAATATTATCCAGGATCAGGCAGGAAACAAGGAACAAACCCTTCTCTTTCCATACCACAGGCCCTTTGTTCTTTACGCAAGAGCACTGACTAGCCCTTCACTGCTCATGGTCAGCTATACTATGGGTCGGGTATGTTTGTGAACTACCAGGAAAACCAGGAAACAAGCCATAAAAACAAGTTTTCCCTCACGCCTGTAATCCCAGCACTTAGGGAGGCCGAGGCGGGTAGATCACGAGGTCAGGAGATCAAGACCATCCTGGTTAACACGGTGAAACCCCGTCTCTACTAAAAATACAAAAAATTAGCCGGGTGTGGTAGCAGGCGCCTGTAGTCCCAGCTACTCGGGAGACTGAGGCAGGAGAATAATGTGAACCCGGGAGGCAGAGCTTGCAGTGAGCCGAGATCACGCCACTGCACTCCAGCCTGGGCGACAGAGCGAGACTCCGTCTCAAAAAAAAAAAAAAAAAAAAAAAAAAAAAAAAAAAAAAAAACACTGGTTAATTTAGGATATGGAGTCTGAGCAAATACACAGAAATGCCAGCTAAGAAGCCACTGACTCAGACACTACCATATTTAAAAGATTTCACATTTCAACCCAAAAGTTTAAATAGAAGTTTCATAAATAGTATTTGGACAAAAGTTATTTTACATTTCCAAAAGGTTTCTCCTAGCAAATACACTCAATAGAATGTTTGGGAGTTTCTTAATATTAAACATATTTCATTATATAATATTTTATTAAGAAAAAAGTTCTTTAAAATATTCCTTTTTAAGTAATCTTAAAGCTACTAACATATTTTGCTATGACCTAGTCACCTGTGGTTATCTGTGTCACGTTCATGTTTTCCTGTAAAGAAGCCTCGGCAATGCTAAAAGATGACATGTAGGTATAACATTTTACAACTAGACTTCCTGCAAAACCTTTATAAACTTCAAAAGAGTTTAGAAGAAAGTTTCCACATACTATTGCTGATTAGAAGAAAGTTTCCACATACTATTTAATTAATCATTTCCTAAAATGAAGCATTAATGGAAGGCAAGTGATTGTGATCACTCAAAAAAATAAGTTCACAGAACATTTCCTATCTTGACCGGGTGCAGTGGCTCACGCCTGTAATCCCAGCACTCTGGGAGGCCGAGGCAGGCGGATCACCTGAGGTCAGGAGTTCAAGACCAGCCTGGCCAACATGATGAAACCCCTTCTCTACTAAAAATACAAAAATTAGCTGAGCATGTGGCAGGCGTCTGTAGTCCCAGCTACTTGGGAGGCTGAGGCAGGAGAATTGCTTGAACCCAGGAGGCAAAGGTTGCAGTGAGCCAAGATCACAACACTGCACTCCAGCCTGGGTGACATGATTGAAATTCCATTTCAAAAAAAAAGGAACATTTCCTATCTTAAAAAAAGAAAAAAAACAAAAAAACAACAACAACAACAAAAAAAAAACCTTAAATACCCCAGCAAGTACAAACATTACCCATAAAAATGGACATAGTTAATTCTTCTAAAATTTGTCTGAAACAAGACTGACATTAAATAATAAGAAAACATTTTCATTTTATTAAAAAACAAAAGAATTGATATTTAACTCATTGCAATCTTTTTTTTTCAATATACTTGGTAAGAAAATTGTGTAGAACCAAGCAAACCAATAACATAATAGAAAATAAAACCTTTGAAAGAAAAGTTCTAAAATAAGTTATTTTAAAGCTCCCCTACTCAGAAAGACAGCACCTAAGTTGTAGTATTTAAATAATTCCCTCGGAATTGCTATTTTTTTAGGAAAAAAATAATCTGTCACATTCAAACTCAGAATAGCAGCACATGCATTCACCTCACAAAGATTTACCAAGAGTCTACTACATCAACACACTGTTAAGGGCTCTGGGGATATAGTAGTAAACTAAACAGATAAACTCCAGCCATCATGGAACTTATACTCCTATGGAAGGCAGTATACAATAAGCAAACATGTGAAAGTAATAGTGTATCAGTGTGGTGAATTTTATGGAGAAAATGGATAGGGAGTACAGGTGAGAAAGGGGGAGGGAAAGGTAGTCATCATTTGGTCAGGGAAGTTCTATTTGACCAGTGATCTGAAGGAGTTAGGGGAACAAACCATGCAGCTATCTGGGGAAAGAGTAATCAAGGCAAAGGGAACAATAAGCACAATTAAGGTAAAGGGAACAATAAACACAAAGGCCTTGAAGAACAATATGGCTTCTTCACATTTAAGGTATACATTGAGGGATTCCTTAAGAAATGTTTAATGTATGTTTAAGAAATACCAAGGAAAGCCTGGTGCAATGGCATGTGCCTATAGTCCCAGCTACCTGGGAGGCTGAGGCAGAAGGGATGCTTGAGCCCAGGAATTCAAGGCTGCAGTGCTGGAGCCACTGCACTCCAGCCTGAGCAATATAACAAGACCCAATCTCTAAAAAATAAAAAGAAATACCAAGAAGGGTCCAAACAAACAAACAAAAGAGTCTATAAAGGGCCACTTTTACATCCCTATAAAATATAATAAAAGTTTACTCAGAAATGTTTTTAAGCGGTTGCTGCCCAAACAACCTATTCCCTAAGTATAAAACAGCACAATCGGTACTGCTGGGGATAGGCCCCCAAATCTGGCCATAAACTGGCCCCAAAGCTGGCCATAAACAAAATCTCTGCAGCACTGTGACATGTTCGTGATGGCCATGACGCCCACGCTGAAGGTTGTGGGTTTACCGGAATGAAGGCAAGGAACACCTGGCCCACCCAGCGTGGAAAACCGCTTAAAGGCGTTCTTAAACCACAAAAAATAGCATGAGCGATCTGTGCCTTAAGGACATGTTCCTGCTGTAGATAACTAGCCAGAGTCCATCCCTTTGTTTCCCATAAGGAATACTTTTAGTTAATCTATAATCTATAGAAACAATGGTTATCACTGGCTTGCTGTCAATAAATATGTGGATAAATCTCTGTTTGGGGCTCTCAGCTCTGAAGGCTGTGAGTCCCCTGATTTCCCACTCCACAGGCTATATTTCTGTCTGTGTGTCTTTAATTCCTCTAGCACCACTGGGTTAGGGTCTCCCTGACAGAGCTGGTCTATGCACAGTACATACACATAGTTCTATCATTTTAATTCAGTGCTTAGCACATGCTAGTAAATATGAAAGGAGGACAAGAAAGAAAGGATTAAAGCTAAGTGAGGAAAACAATGCTAGAATTCCTCCAAAGGATGTTCTGGGCATGCGCTACTGTTTCTGGAAAGGGTCAAATGGCAAAAACAAAAATAATTTGCTCTCTACTACTCCCTACTCTCCCTAAAATTCAAAGTCAAATTGTGGGATATAGGGCAGGCAAATATATTAACAGAGGCTGATGGCCATTAATTATCTCAGAAGGCAACCTCTTTACAAATACTCTAATTTCAATCTAACAGTATGCTTTATTTATGTGGCACTGCCCTTCATTAGTACTTGTAGAGCTTGACAAATTTGTTGTCCCTGACATTATTGTGACAATTGATGAAATGTAAGTTCTATAGATATCAATGATAATTTCCTGATTTTAATAAACGTACTGTGATCATGTAAAGTCTTTGTTATTAGGAGATGATATGCTTTGGCTGAGTCCTCATCCAAATCTCAACTTGAATTGTGTCTCCCAGAATTCCCATGTGTTGTGGGAGGGATCCGGGGCAAGGTAATTGAATCATGGGGGCCGGTCTTTCCCATGCTATTTTCGTTATAGTTAATAAGTCTCACGAAATCTGACGGGTTTATCAGGGGTTCCCACTTTTGCTTCTTCCTCATTTTCTTTTGCTGCTGCCATGTAAGAAGTGCCTTTCACTTCCGACCATGATTCCGTGATTCTGAGGCCTCCCCAGCCATGTGGAACTGTAAGTCCAATTAAACCACTTTTTCTTCCCAGGCTCAGTTATGTCTTTATCAGCAGCATGAAAACAGATTAATACAGTAAATTGGTACCAGGAGAGTGGGGCGTTACTGAAAAGATACCCAAAAATGTGGAAGCAACTTTGGAAATGGGGAACAGACAGAGGATGGGACAGTTTGGAAGGCTCAGAAGACAAGAAAATGTGGGAAAGTTTGGAACCTCCTAGAGACTTGTTGAATGGCTTTGCCCAAAATGCTGATAGCGATATAGACAATAAGGTCCAGGCTGTAGTGGTCTCAGATGGAGATGAGGAACTTGTTGGGAACTGGAGTAAGGTGACTCTTGTTATGTTTTAGCATAGAGATTGGCAGCATTTTGCCCCTGCCCTAGAGGTTTGTGGAACTTTGAACTTGAGAAAGACAATTTAGGGTATCTGGCGGAAAAAATTTCTAAGCAGCAAAGCATTCAAGAGGTGATTTGGGTTGTGTTAAAGGCATTCAGTTTTATAAGGGAAGCAGAGCATAAAAGTTTGGAAAAAACTTTGCAGCCTGACTATGCGATAGAAAAGAAAAACCCATTTTCTAGGGAGAAATTCAAGCCGGCTGCAGAAATTTGCATAAGTAGCAAGGAGCCTAATTTGCATAAGTAGCAAGAAGCCTACAAATCATTTTCATAGAACAAGTCCTTTTCTCTCTAACCCCAAACTTTTCTTGCTAATTTCACCTACTACTGTTAAGAGTTCATAAGATATCAAGATATTAATCCCCGTGACCATGGGGAAAATGTCTCCAGGCCATGTCAGAGACCTTCACAGCAGCCCCTCCCATCACAGGTGCGGAGGCCCAGGAGGAAAAAGTGGTTTCATGGGCCGGGCCCAGGGTCCCCATGCTGTGTGCAGCCTAGGGACTTGGTGCCCTGTGTCCCAGCCTCTCCGCTCCAGCCATGGCTGAAAGGAGCCAATGGCTTCAGAGGGTGGAAGCCCCAAACCTTGGCAGCTTCCATGTGGTGTTAAGCCTGCAGGGAAACAGATGTCAAGAACTGAGGTTTGGAAACCTCCTCCTAGATTTTAGAAGATGTATGGAAACGCCTGGATGCCCAGGCACAAGTTTGCTGCAGGGGCAGGGTCCTCATGGAGAACCTCTGCTAGGGCATTGTGGTAGGGAAATGTGGGGTCAGAGCCCCCACACAGAGTCCCTACTGGGGCACCACCTAGTGGAGCTGTGAGAAGAGGGCCACCATCCTCCAGATCCCAGAATGGTAGATCCACTAACAGCCTGCACTATGTGCCCAGAAAAGCCACAGATGCTAAACACCAGCCCATGAAAGCAGCCGGGAAGGAGGCTGTACCCTGCAAAACCACAGGGGCAGAGCCGCCCAAGACCATGGGAACCCACCTCTTGAATCAGCATAACCTCGATGCAAGACCTGCACTCATGGAGATCATTTTGGAGGCTTAAAATTTGACTGCTCTGCTGGATTTTGGACTTGCATGGGCCCTGTAACCCCTTTGTTTTGGCCAATTTCTCCCATCTGGAATGGCTATATTTACCCAATACCTGTACCCCCATTGTATCTGGGAAGTAACTACCTTGCTTTTGATTTTATTTTACATGCTCATAGGCAAAAGGGACTTGCCTTGTCTCAGATGAGAATTTGGACTGTGGACTTTTTGGTTAATGCTGAAATGAGTTACAACTCTGGGGGACTGTTGGGAAGGCATGATTAGTCTTGAAATGTGAGGACATACAATTTGGGAGTGACCAGGGGCAGAATGATATGGTTTGGCTGCATCCCCATCTAAATCTCAACTTGAATTGTATCTGCCAGAATTCCCACATGTTGTAGGAGGGACCCAGAGCAAGATAATTGAACCATGGGGGCTAGTCTTTCCCACGCTATTCTCATTATAGTTAATAAGTCTCATGAGATCTGATGGGTTTATGAGGGGTTTCCACTTTTGCTTCTTCCTCATTTTCTCTTGCTGCCACCATGTAAGAAGTGCCTTTTGCCTCCCACCATGATTCTAAGGCCTCCCCGACCATATGAACTGTAAGTCCAGTTAAACCTCTTTTTCTTCCCAGTCTC
This sequence comes from Homo sapiens, assembly GCF_000001405.40. Taxonomy (NCBI): domain Eukaryota; kingdom Metazoa; phylum Chordata; class Mammalia; order Primates; family Hominidae; genus Homo; species Homo sapiens. Next base: position 70,719,619 of record NC_000006.12, on the reverse strand, counting down.
GGGTACGTCTTTAACAGCAGCGTGAAAACCGACTGATACAGGAGACAAACGCTGAAATATTCAGGGATATAGGAGCATTTTGGCTATAAGTTCAGGGGGGAAATGGGTGTGTTTGTACACATATATAAAGGACAAAGAGAATAAGTGTGGTAAAATGTTACCATTTGAATCTGGATGGGAGATTCAAGGGTGGATGAGAGAACTGTATTAATAATTTCCTTCATTTCATTCTTGCTTCCATTTGTAAAAATGAATAAAAAATGAAAATACTTGTGTATAACCATTCAATGACAATAATAATAAAAAGAATTTTTTAAAAAAGTATCCCTGTATCCACACTATGAAGATCAGTTTCTTCATTTGAAAATACAAATACCACCATCTACTACATTCAGGTAACTGCTATGAATACCAAACGACAAAGTACATATAATGAAAGCACTCTATAACTACAAATCATTTTTCATAGAACAAGTACTTTTCTCTGTATCCCATACTTTTCCTTGCTAATTTCACCTGCTACTGTTAAAGAGTCCATAAGATATCAAACCTTTAACTCCAAAAATCTACATTTCTTTAGTCATGCAATTCCACTGATTATATATGTTATAAAATAGTTTTTAAATGTTTTTATAATAATCTTTTTAAGGTGAAATCACACATTAAAAATACACATTAATTATTAGATACTTGTCAAGATGAGAAAAACAAGAAAGGACTTTTTAAAATAAGAAAATGTGGCATATCTCTAGTCTTCATCCCTTCTCCAAGCAACACTTTTTTTTTTTTTTTTTTTTTTTGAGATGGAGTCTTACACTGTCACCCAGGCTGGAGTGAAGTGGTACAATCTCAGCTCACTGCAACCTCTACTTCCCGGTTCAAGGGATTTTCCTGCCTCAGCCTCCCAAGTAGCTGGGATTACAGGTGCCCGCCACCACGCCCAGCTAATTGTTTGTATTTTTAGCAGAGACGGGATTGGATCATGTTGGCCAGGCTGGTCTCCAACTCCTGACCTTGTGATTCACCCGCCTTGGCCTCCCATAGTGCTGGGATTATAGGTATGAGCCACCATGCTCAGCCCCAAGCATCGCATTCTTATAACCAACTTGGATAATGCCAATTAAATATGTCCAAGATGGAATTCATTTTTCCTTTCAGCCCTTCCCTCTCTCTTCCTCCCTCCAACATTGCTTTTTCACATTCCCCCAACTTAGTTGGTGATGTAAGGGGAGAAATAAAAATGTCATTCTTGCTCCTCTCTTTCTTTCATTATCCTTAACCATTTAATCAAGCAAACATCTTGATTATTTTATCTTCTCTTTTCAAATTCATGACTTTACCCTCATCCCAGCTGGACCTCTGCCCCAGTTCAGGATCTCATTAGCTACAATGTCCTCCTGGTTCCAAACACTGCTTCTCAGATTCATTAACCCATTAGATAAAATTTAATTTAATATGCATACGTACACATGTGTGCATGCCTGGTTGCCAGTAAACAATAAAATTTTTTAAGTCGGAAGGGGAAAAAAAAACACCAAAAAAATTGGAAGGGGAGCTTGTGGAGCTTGTGGGGAGGATGGAATATTAATAAAATAGTCATTTTATTTTAGTCATTGCTTCTATAACAATCTGCTCTGTGAAAACCGGCAAGTGATAATTCATCTAACTTTTTCCTTTCCCAATGAACAACACTAAAATAGATATATAAGATAAACTTCCTGAAATTCAATATATTATTTTCTCATCATCAAGTATTTAATCTTCTAAGAGAATATACCCAGGAAAAAGGAGAACCAATTCTTAAAGATGCCATGCTAGTAAAATGTAATGTTTTTAAAAACACTCCTGGTTCTATTTGAATGGCATAACCAGAAACAAAACCACCTAAAAATGTGATCTGAAAATGTGTTAGCAGTGACATCAGCAAGATGATGGAAAAGGAAGCCCGTAGCTTTACTTCCTCCCACAGAAGTACTGAATAAACATGTATACACAGATCAATTTCCTCTGAGAGAAAGCCAGAAACTGGCCGACAGTCTCCTATACATGGGGCAACTGAGAAAACATCCACATCCAAACAGGTAGAAAAAGTTTAGACACACTTGCACACAAACCCCTCCCTGTGCACTGTGCCAAACAATCAAGAAGGAATCCCCAATACCCAGCTTCTAACTAAGGAGTGAAGGGTTGGACCGTGCGTGTAAGTGACCCAACTTTTGCAGTTCTCTTAGAGGATTTGGCTCCTAAATCACCTAGCCCTAAGAGCAAGAGTGTCTTGGTATTCGTGAGTTTTCCTGAACTGTGGACAACAAAGAGACAGTGCAGCCTAAATAAGTGTGCAGGCATCTGCCACAGATCCTCTCTCCAGCTTAGTGTGGAATGAATGAGAGATAAGCTCTGGCTCTCAGCTTCTCCCTAAAGATAGAATGAACTGCAACACACTTCTAACACACCAATCTTCCCACCTGCATCTCAAGAAACTAGCTTCTAATTCATCTGGCAGAACTTGGCACACCCTAATTACTGGAGACCACTAAGAAAGAACAAAGAGTGTAGTTTGGACAAACAAAAAGATTTTAGAGGTACCTAGAAACTCTGGCTGGCCTAACTGGTAAGAATCATCTCCTACACAACACCAGTCTCACAAGACTAGTAGAGGCAGTAGTCTTATCTAATGCACAGAAGCCAAACCAAGAGTGAGGGCAATAAAGAAACAGAGAAATATGTTCCAGATAAAAGAACCAGGTAAATTTTCAGAAACTGACCCTAAGGAAATGATGATATGCAATTTACCCAACAAGGAATTTTAAAAAATGGTCATAAAGATGATCACTGAGCTCAACAGAGCAATGCATAAACAAACTGAGAACTCAACAAAGTGACAGAACATATTTTGAAAGCACCAAACAGAAATTATACAAATGAAAAATATAATAACTGAACCAAAAAGTCAAAAGATGGGTCCAGTAACAGACTAGATCAAGCAGAAGAAAAGATCAGTGAACTCCAAGACAGGTCACTGGAAATCATCCAATCTGAAAAGCAAAAATAACAAAGAATGAAAAAGAGTAAAGACAGCTTAAGGCAGGAGCCTCCAACCCCCAAGCCACAGACCAATACAGATACTGGTCTGTGGCCTATTAGGAACAAGACCACACAGCAGGAGGTGAGTGGTGGGCAAGTGAGCAAAGCTGAGCTCCACCACCCCTCAGATAGGCAGTGGCATCAGATTCTCATAAAAGCACAAACTCTGTTGTGAACTGCACATGCAAGGGATCCAGGGCACATGCTCCTTATGAGAATCTAATGCCTGTCACTGTCTCCCATCACCCCCAGATGGGACCATATAGCTGCAGGAAAACAAGCTCAGGGCTCCCACTGATTTTACATTATGGTGAGTATATAATAATAATAGAAATAAAGTGCACAATACATGCATGTTTACAGCAGCACAATTCCCAATTGCAAAAATGTGGATCAAATGCCCATCAACAAGTAGATAACTGTGGTATGTATCTGTATGATGGAATACAACTAAGCCATAGAAAGGAATGAATTAATGGCATTCTCAGCAACCTGGATGGGATTGGAGACCATTTTTCTAAGTGAAGTAATTCAGGAATGGAAAACCAAACATCATTATGTTCTCACTCATAAGTGGGAGCTAAGCTATAAAGATTCAAAGGCTTAAGAATGATACAATGGACTTTGGGGACTGGGGGAAAAGGGTGGAAAGCGGGTGAGGGATAAAATACTACAAATTGGGTTTAGTGCTCGAGTGATGACAGCACACCAAAATCTTACAAATCACCACTAAAGAACTTACTCATGTAACCAAATACCACTTGTTCCCCCAAAACCTATGGAAATAAAAAATAAAATAAAATAGAAATAAAGTGCACAATAAATGTAATGCACTTGAATCATCCCAAAACCCTCCACCTCTCCCACCTACCCTACTCCACCATCCCAAGTCCATGGAAAAACTGTCTTCCACAAGACCAGTCGCTGGTGCCAAAAAAGTTGGGGACTGCTGACTTAAGGGACTTAAGTGAAGCCATCACAATATAGGCATTATCAGAGTTGCAGAAGAGAGAAAGAAAGGGACTAAAAACACATTCAAAGACATAATGGCTGAAAACTTCCCATGCCTGGGAAAGAAAATACAAATCCAGATTCAGGTAGCCCAAATGATACCAAATAGGATTAATCCAAAGAAACCCACACAGGCTAGGTGCAGTGGCTCATGCCCATAATCCCAACACTTTGGGAGGCCAAGACAGGTGGACTGAGCCCAGGAGTTTGAGACCAGCCTGGGCAACATGGAAAAACTCTGTCTCCACACAAAATACAAAATTAGCCAGGCATGCTGGCAAGTGCTTGTGGTCCCAGAAACTAGGGGTACTGAGGCAGGAGGTCCTGAGCCTAGGGAGGTCAAGGCTACAGTGAGCCATGATCACACCACTGCACTCCAGCCTGGGCAACACTATAAGACCATGTCTCCAAAAAAAAAAAAGGAAAAAAAAAAAAAAAGAAACCCACACAGAGACAATACATTATCATCAAATTGTCAAAAATTAAAGACAGAGAGGATTTTGAAAGCAGCAAGAAAGAAGCAACTTGCTAAGTACAGGGGACTCTCTATTTCTTATTAGATTTTTCAGCAGAAACCTTGCAGGCTGAAGGGAATAGAATTATATATGCAAAGTGCAGAAAGAAAAAAAAATTGTCAGCCAAGAATACTATACCCAGCAATCCTGTCCTTTAAAGCTGAAGGGGAGATAAAGGTGTTCTCAAACCAATAAAAGCCAAGGTACTTTATCCACTATTCCTGCCTTGCAAGCATGCTAAAGGTAGTTATTCAAGTTGAAATGAAAAGATGCAAAACAACAACATAATGTTTTTTTTGTTTTTTATACCAAAAAAAGTACAAAACTTGTTAGTAAAGTTAAATATACGGGCAAAATAAAAAGAATATTTTATTACTATAACAGTGGTGTGAAGTTAATTATAATCCCAGTACAAAACCTAAAAGATAAAAGTACTAAAAACAACTCTAACGAAATTATCTTAAATACATAATACAATAGATCTAAATTGTAACTCAATAACATATAATTTGAGGGTAAGAAAGGTAAAAATGAGTGCTCCTGCATGGAAAAGAAGTTAAGCTGTTATCAGCTTAACACAGATAATTACAAGATATTTTATATAAGCCTTCTGGTAACTACAAAAAAAACACCTATAGAAGTTACACAAAGAATCACAGCATTACAAAAAGCAACAAGACGACAATAGGAGAGAAAAAGGAGGACAAAACAACTACAAAACAAACAGAAAACAGTTAACAAAACAGCAACGGTAAATCTTTCCTTGTCAATAATTACTTTAAATGTAAATGGACTAAACTCTCCAATAAAAAGATAAAGCAGCTAAATGAATTTAAAAAAAAAAGATCCAACTATACATTGTCTACAAGAAACTAACTTTAGATTCAAGGACACACATACGTGGAAAGTGAAGGAATAGAAAAGAATAGTCCATGCAAATGGTACCCAAAAGAGTGGCCATATTTGCATCGAAGTACACTGTAAGTCAAAAACTGTCTCTAGAGACAAAAAAAGGTCATTACACAATGACAAAAGGATCAATTCAACAAGAAGATATAACAATTGTAAACAAATACACACCCAACATCAGAGCACCCAAGTATATAAAGCAAATACTGACAGAACTGAAAGAAGAAACTGATAGCAATACAGTAATAGTAGGTGACTTCAGTACCCCATTTTCAACAATAGATAGGACATCCAGACAAAAAAATTAATAAAGAAACGGGGCTTGAACAACACTACACACCAAATAAACTTGACAAGCCTATACAGAACGTTCTACTCAACAGAAGAATATACATTCTTTTCAAGTGTACATAAAATATTTTCCAGGACAGATCACATTAGGTCACAAAACAAGTCTAAACAAATTTAAGAAGTTCAAAATAATATCATCAAATACCTTGTCCAACAACAATGGAATTGAACTAGATAACAAGAAGAACATGGAAAATTCACAAATACTAAATAACGCACTATTGAACAACCACTAGGTCAAACAGTAAGTCAAAAGAGAATTTTTTAAATATCTCAGGATAAACAAAAACAAAAAGAGAACAAACCAAAACTTACGTGATACAGCAAAAGCAGTAATAAGAGGAAATTTTGTAGTGATAAATGTCTGCATTAAAAAAAATCTCAAAATAAACAACCTAACTATACACCTCAAGGAGCTAGAATAAGAACAGACTTAACCCAAAGTTAGCAGAAGAAAGAAAGTAAAAAAACACAGATAAATCAAATAAAGCATAGAAAAACCACAGGAAAAAAAATCAACAAAACTAAGAGTTGGTTGTTGAGAAAATAAAACTGACAAACTCCCAGGTAGTCTAAGAGAAAGAGAGAGAAGACTAAAAATCAGAAATGAAAGAGGAAGCATTACAAAGGATGTCTCTGAAATATAAAAAAATCACAGGATGGGTGCAGTGGCTCACACCTGTAATTCCAGCACTTTGGGAGGCCGAGGTGGGTGGATCATTTGAGGTCAGGAGTTCAAGACCAGCCTGACCAACATGGTGAAACCCCATCTCTACTAAAAATACAAAAAATGAGCCAGGTGTGGTGGCACATGCCTGTAATCTCAGCTACTCAGGAGGCTGAGGAAAGAATCACTTGAACCCGGAAGGCAGAGGTTGCAGTGAACCATGATTGTGCCACTGCACTCCAGCCTAGGTGACAGAGTGAGATTCTGTCTCAAAAAAAAAAAAAAGAAAAGAAAAAAAGAAAAAAGAAAAGAAAAGAAAAGCAATAAAAAAAAATAAGGAACTACTTATAAACAACTAGGTGCCAATAAATTGAATAACCTAAAGGAAACAGATAAATTCCTAGGAACATAAAACCTATCAAGACTGAATCAAGAAGAAACAGAATTTCCTCAACAGTCAAATTACAAATAGAGATGAAAGAAGTAATCAATAACCTCTCAACAAAGAAAAATCCAGGACCAGATGGCTTCACAGCTAAATTCTACCAAACACTCAAAGAAGAATTAACACCAATCCTTCTTGAAGTTTTCCAAAAAATAAGTAGAGGGAGTATTTCCAAACTCATAGTATGAAGCCAGTATCACCCTCAGGGTAGTACCAAAGCTGGACAAAGATGCCACAAGGAAAGAAAGCTGTAAGCCAATATCTCTGATGAGCACACATTCAAAAATCTTCAGTAAAATACCAGCAAACCAAATTCAACAACACATTAAAAAGATAATACACTTTGACCAAGTGGGATTTTCCTCTGGGATATAAGGTTGGCTTAACATACACAAATCAATCAAGGTGATTACCCCTCATTAACAGAATGAATGATACAAGCCACATGATCATCTCAATAAATGAACAAAAAAGCATTTGACAAAAGTTCCACATCTTTTCATAATAAAAACTTTCGACAGAATAAGTATAGAAGGAAACTTCCTCAACATAATAAAGGCCATTTATGAAAAACTCAAAGCAAACATAATAATCTGTGGGGGAGAAACTGAAAGCTTTTCTTCCAAGATCTGGTACAAGGAAAGGATATCTATTCTCACCACTTCTATTGAACACAGAATTGGAAATATTAGCAAGAGCAATCCTACAAAAGACATAAACAGCATCCAAATCAGAAAGGAAAAGGTAAAATTATCCTCATTTGCAGATGACGTAATCCTTTATGTAGAAAATACTAATGACTCCATTAAAAATATATACATATTAGGCCAGGTGCGGGTCCCAGCATTTTGAGAGGACGAGGCAGGTGGATCACCTGAGGTCAGGAGTTCGAGACCAGCCTGGCCAACATAGTGAAACCCCATCTCTACTAAAAACACAAAAATTAGCCGGGCATGGTGGCAGGCGCCTGTAATCCCAGATACTCAGGAGGCTAAGGCAGAAGAATCGCTTGAACCTGGGAGGCGGAGGTCACAGTGAGCAGAGATCGCGCCAATGCACTCCAGCCTGGGTGACAAGAGTGAAACTCTGTCTCAAAAAAGAAAAAAAAAAAAAAGAGCTAATAAATTAATTCAGTAAAGTAAAACACAAAATCAACATACAAAAATCAGCTGCATTTATTTATACCAATAGTGATCGATCTGAAAGAGAAAACACAACAAAAGGAATAAAATACAGTCAGGCTCTGCATAATGACCTTTCAATCAATGACAGACCACATTTACAGTAACAGTTCCATGAGATTATTATGGAAATAAAAAATTCCTATTGCCTAGAGACATTGTAATTATTGTGACATCGTAGCACAACAAATTACTAACATGTCTGTGATAATGCTGGTGTAAATAAACCTATTGCACTGCCAGCTGAATAAAAGTATAGCACACACAATTATGTACTTGATAATAAATGACTATGGTACTGGTTTATGTATTTACTATACTTTTTACTGTTATTTTAGAATGTACTCCTTCTACTTATTAAAAAAAGTTAACTGTAAAATAGCCTCAGGTAGGCCCTTCAGGAGGTATTCCAGAAGACAGCATTATTATTATAGGAAATGACAGCTCCATGTGTGTTATTGCCCTTGAAGACCTTCCATGGGATAGGATGTGAAGGTGAAAGAGGGATACTGAAAATCCTGAACCTGTGGAGTCCTAGGCTAATATGGGTGTTCGTGTCTTAGTTTTGAACAAAAAAAGCTTAAAAAGTAAAAAAGCAATAATAATAATAGACAAAAGCTTATAGAATAAGGATATAAAGAAAATGCCTTGTATAGCTGTACAACGTGTGTCTTAAACTGTTATTACAAAAGAGTCAAGAAGTTTAAAAAATTTTTGAAGTTTTTAGATAATAAAAAGTTACAGTAAGCTAAGGTTAATTTATCAAGAAATTTTTAATATCAATTTATTCTAGCCTAAGTGTACAGTGTTTACAAAGCCTACAGTAATGTCTTACACCTTCACATTCATTCACTATTCACTCACTGACTTACCCAGAGCAACTGCCAATTCTGCAAGCTCCAATCATGGTAAGTGCCCTATATGTGTATGCCGTTTACCCTTTTTTTTTTTTTTTTTTTTTTTGAGATGGGAGTCTCGCTCTGTCACCAGGCTGGAGTGTGCAGTGACGCAATCTCGGCTCACTGCAACCTACGCAATCTCGGGTTCAAGCGATTCTCCTGCCTCAGCCTCCCGAGCAGCTGGGACTACGGGTGCATGCCACCATGTCCAGCTAATTTTTGTATTTTTAGTAGAGATGGGGTTTCACCATGTTGGCCAGGATGGTCTCTATCTCTTGACCTCATGATCCGCCCACCTCAGCCTTCCAAAGTGCTGGGATTACAGGCGTGAGCTACCACACCCAGCCTGTTTTTTATCTTTTATAGCAATTTGTACTGTACCTTTTCCAGGTTTAATTGTTTTGATATATAAACACTATGTGCTACAATTGCCTACAGTATTCAGTACAGTAACAGGCTGTACAGGTTTGTCGCCTAGGAGCAATAGGCTATACCATGACAGCCTAGACACAGAGACAGCTAGTTTGTGTAAGTACACTCTATGAGTCTCCCACAATGACGAAATCACCTAATGACTCATATCTCAGAATTTATCCCCATCATTAAGTAATGAAAGACTGAAGTTAGGAATAAATTTAACCAGGGAATGAAAGATCTACACACCGAAAACTATAAAACACTGATTAAAAAAAAAATTGAAGACACAAATGGAAAGATACCTTGTGTTCATGAATTGGAAGAATTATATTATTAAAATGTCCATGCTACCTAAAACAATATACAAACAAATGCAATTCCAATGACATTTTTCACAGAAAAAGAAAAAAACTGTAAAATTTGTATGAAACCACAAAAGGCCCCAAGTAGCCAAAACAATCTTAAGAAAGAAAAATAAGGTTGCAGGCATCACACTTCTTGATTTCAAATCATATTATAGGATGGGTGCAGTGGCTCACACCTATAATCCCAACACTTTGGGAAACTGAGCTAGGAGGATTACTTGTGCCCAGGAGCTTGAAACCAGCCTGGGCAACACAGACCTGTCTCTACAAAAAATTTAAAAATTAACCAGGCACAGTGGCACACACCTGCAGTCGCAGGCTCAGGTGGGAGGATCACTTGAGCAAGGAAGTCAAGGCTACAATGAGCCATGATCGTGCTACTGTATTCTAGCATGGGCAACAGAGCGAGAGCCTGTCTCAAAAGAAAAAAAAAGTATTATAAAGCTATAGTAATCAAAACAATATGGGCATATTGTTTATGGTATGGGCATGAAAATAGACACAGACTAATGAAACAGCATAGAAAGCCAGAAATAAATCCAAGCATATATGGTCAAGTAATTCCTGACAAGCCCGCCAAGAAGACACAATGGCGGAAGTACAGTCTCTTCAACAAATGGGGTTGGGAAAACTAAATATCTAATGCAAAAGAATGAAACTGGACCCTTATACCACACACACACACACACAAAAACCTCCTTAGAAGAAAATATAGGGAAAAGCTCCTTCATACTGGTCTGGACTGATTTTCTAGATATCACAGCGAAAGCTCAAGCCACAAAAGCAAAAATAAACAAGTGGGACTACATCAAACTAAAAAGCTTCTGCAATGCAAAGGAAACAATCAACAAAATGAAAAGGCAGCCTACAGATTGGGGCAAAATATTTGCAAACCATCTCTCTGTTAAGAAATTAATATCTAAATTTTTTTTAAAACTTACTAGCAAAAAACAAAACCAAAAAAACACTTACTTAAAAACGGGCAAAGGACCTGAATAGACATTTTTCCAAAGAAGGCATAAAAATAGCCAATACATATATCAGAAAGTACTCAACATCATTAGTCATCAGATAAATGCAAATCGAAACCACTGTGTAATATCACTTCACACCTGTTAAGAAGGCTATTATCAAGAAGACAAGAGATAACAAGTGTTAGAAAGGTGTAGAGAAAAAGAAACCCTTATATACTATTGGTATGAATGTAAATTGGTACAGCTATTATGGAAAGGAGTATGCAGATTCTTCAAAAATTTAAAAATAAAATTACCATAGGCCAAGCAATTCCTCTGATTTCCCTAAAGGAAATGAAATCAGCACTTCATAGAGACATCTGGACTCCCATGTTCATTGCAGCATTTTTTCCCAATAGTTAAGATGGAAATGACCTAAGTGTTTGTCCATCAACGGATGAATGAACAAAGAAATTATGGTGTATACATACAATGGAATATAATTCGGCCTTGGGGGAAAAAGGGAGAACCCACCACTTGAGACAACAGGGATGAATCTGGGGGACATTATGGTTAGTAAAATAAGCCAGATATAGAAAGAAAAATATTGTATAATCTCACGTATATGTGAAATCTAGGGAGAAAAGTAAACAGAAACAGAGAGTAGAATGATGGTTACCAGGCGCAGGAAAGGAGAGGAAACAGGAAGAGGGAGGTCAAAGGGTACAAATTTACAGCTATGTAAGATTGCTAAGTCTAGAGATATAATGTTCAGCATAAGGACTATAGTTATACACTGCAGTGTTACTACACTGCAATATACTGAAAACTTGCTGAAAGAGTAGGTTTTAGGTACTCCTACCATGCCAAAAATGTTGACTATGGAAAGTGGTGGATATGTTGATTTGTTTGACTGTAGAAATCATTTCACTATATATGTGTATCAAAATGTCATGCTGTACAGCTTAAATACATGCAATAAAAAATAAATTTTAAAGCCTGGCCAACATGTAGACATAGTGAAACCCCATCTCTACTAAAAATATGAAAATTAGCTAGTGTGGTGGCATGCGCCTGTAGTCCCAGCTACTCAGGAGGCTGAGGCAGGAGAATCACTTGAACACAGGAGGTGGAGGTTGCAGTGAGCTAAGATCCCACTACTGCACTCCAGCTTGGGTGACAGAGTGAGACTCTGTCTCAAAAATAAATATAAATAAATAAATAAATGTTTAAAATGTGTTACATTAACAATATTAGGTTTCAGATGTCTATTTTCAAGCTTTTTTAAATGCCAAAATAGTTTGCTTTTGAAAATATGTGTTTAGTTTTCTTTTCGCAAAGGCAACAGTAAAAGACCTTTACTGTTATGTTAATTAACAGATCATGCTCTCAATAGCTTTCAGGCTGACTTTCAACATACATCAATTTTGCCTACCATTCCTTTTAGCTAAAAAAAAAGTTAATGAGGATAATATAAAAGTTTTATTTAGGATTACCAATTTAAGATTAACATCCTTTATTACTGAAATAATAAATCACATTCATGAAAAGAGAAAGAATGGACACAAGTGAATATATTCAGAGATGATGTTTATTTATTTTGTTAAACAAATCAAGCTCAAATGTTCCATGCTTATGTGATCAAAATATGACAAAATCTCATGAATCCAAATTCCAGTACATCATAATTGGAATAAAGTTACTCTAATAGTATAAAACTAACATATAACAAGAGAAACCATTAATGTCAAAAACAGCTGATACATAAAAACTATTGATAAAAATCAAAGAAAAACCCAGAATAAGGAAGGACAAACATATGTGGCAAAATACAAAACAGCTATATTCCTAATCCTAAATTTTATTCTAACATCATTCTAATGACTAATGATTAAATTCCAGAAACTATATTAAACACTGGCTTATTTGATATATCCTGGGGCTATACATTAGCAACTCATTTATTCTACTTCCTCTTTTATTCGTGAATTCTAGATCCCATTATTATTTGACCATACATTCATGCCAAAAATCTAACAATACACATAACACAAAATAATTCAGAAAATGGTGTGGGCATCTTAATTTGGATTAATAGAGAGCGCCATCTGGTGGTACAACGAAAGTTTAATATATTTTTTCATTTGTTTAAAGGCATGTATTAAATACAAATAGGGTTATGCAATTCTTAAAAATTTTTAATTATGCAAACATTTTAAGTGTACAGAAAAGCAGAGAGAAAATCTGCCAATAAAACAACCAAAAATATGAACTCACTTTACCTCTTTAACCTCTGTATAACATGATGGTTTACCAGATCATCCAGAGAGCAGCCAGATAAAAGTATAATATGCCAGTTTACTAAGGTATGTCTGTTCCATATGAAACCATGAAAAAAGACAAGTTCAAAAAATGCATTATTAACAAACACGATCTTCACTAAAAACAAGAAGTTAGTTGACTGGTTTTAACCAGTCAAGATTTTTATCTTAAGATTTTAAGATAGTTGGGGGGAAAGGACTTATTTTTACTGTAAGACTTAATTTTGTTGTTTCTCTTGTATCATATAAAACAAAAACCAGAGCAATAAACCCCAATAATAAATGTTTCTCTAAAAAAATCAAAATAGGATCCACCAACTTCGTTGTCAAAAACCTTGACATATCATGAGGCCAAAATAGGAACAGAATGATAAAGTTTGGTACCTCTCTTTCCCTTTCGGTGTTTCTAATTATCCCATTATCCAAAACTTTCTTCTCTTCCTAACCACCAAGTGCTGTCATTCTGCCCCATTCAAGCCTTCATTTCTTGGTAGAAATGCCAAACTGTCATACCTTACACAATCATAATGGACTCTGAGTTCATGAAGTAGTTACACACTAAAGGCAGTATAACAGCTCTTCTACAAAGAACTTGGGTTTGCTTTATCAATCAGACGCTTATGGCTATGGAACTGTAGACAAATTTTATAGGCCTCTCTAAACCTCAGTTTCCACACTAAAAAATAGGCAAAGTTGATCTATACCTTGTAGGGTTGGGGCCTTTGAAATTAAAGGGCGTGAAATACATAAGTACCTGGCACAATAAGAACGCTATACCTGTCACTCCCCTCCCTTTTACTGACAAGGCCATCCTGCCACTCCTTAAACACTTTAAGTAATAGAATGTTTCCTTCTTGCTGTCTACTCCAACTGTGTGCAGTTATATTTGTTAGAAAATTCTCTCTTAAACTGGCAAGAAAATGCCAAGAGTTCAATGAAAAGATCATAATGGCCCCAGCGTGGCGGCTCATACCTGTAATCCCAACAGTTTGGGAAGCTGAGGCAGAGGATCACCTAAGTCAGGAGTTTGAGACCAGCCTGGCCAACATGATGAAACCCCAGCTCTACTAAAAATACAAAAAATTAGCCAGGCATGGTGGCAGGCGCCTGTAATCCCAACTACTTGGGAGGCTGAGGCAGGAGAATCACTTGAACCCAGGAGGTGGAAGCTGCAGAGACCCAAGATCACACCACTTCACTCCAGTCTGGGCAACAGAGCAAGACTCTGTCTTAAAAAAAAAAAAAAAAATCATAATGAACTGAAATAGTTGGAGAAAATTTCATTCAAAAAACACTTCATAAATGCAGTATAACTTTGAACTAGGCCTGGAAAGATGGATGAGATATGGAAGAAGGGAAAAGACTCAGAAGCTTAATTGTTCATTCACTCATTCATTGACTCACTGTCATCAAAAATGTGGTTAATGCTTACTATATGCCAAGAACTTTCTAGTTACTGGGTATCCTCAGGGAAATAAAACAGATGAGAGTCTGCCATCATGAACTACAAATCCCAAGAAAGCAAGACAGAGAAAAACAAGTTAGATATTTGTCTTTGGATGCCTGCCTGTTCAATTAATAGCCCCTTTCAGCTTGAAGTGGAAAAATTAACTAAAATAATAAATGTCTCCATATATTAGAACTTTTGCTTTTTAAAAGTCTTGATATAAGGAGAAGCAGAAACTGATGGCTAAAATGACACTCTGAATTAGATGCAGAGTCCAACTACTTTCTTGTCTTTCAAGCTCACAAATAATGGATACGGTTGACTAATCCCACTTAATGTCTTTGATATCAGTAACAATGAAAATTGCTATATAAAGATTTTTAACAAATACAACTGTGGAATATATTAGCCTTGTTTGCATTTTAGCAGGAAGAATAAACTCAAAGACTAAGGCAAATTCTGTACCAGTTTGACAACAGCAAACTATAATTACATAAACAGATGTTTTCACCATTCTATGAAATGGAAGGAGACGTTATTTGAAACATGAACAATTTAAATAACTTGCTGCAGAATATAACCATTTTAATTTGACTTGAAAAAAAAATCTGTAATATTAGCAGTCAGCAAAATACAATCAAATTTATATATGAAGAGCACAGCACATCACAGGAGATTTCCTCTATAAGTTGATTCAGACTTCAAAGAATCAGGAGGAGTAATGGATTAACTTGTTTTGTATCATTCACTTAGCAGTATCAAGCTTTCATTGGAACAGAAGAGTACTAGTAACATCAATAGTTTTCATTTTCTCCTGTAATTTGTTAATAGCTCTAAAAATTACATGAGGACAGATGTTATAAATAAACTTAAATGTAACTGTTCTCTTCAATGAGCCTAGGAAAAATATAAGTTTCAATAAAAAGAAACAAGGGGTTTAAAAGTAATTTTCTTTTCATGGCTTTTTCTACTAAAATACCATATTGAGTTGTTTTCTAACCAAAATATGAAGGAACAGACGCTGAAATTTGCCCAATCGACTAAAGCAACTTTAAATCCAAACAAAATATATAACACATTGCTGAAGAAACTGGAAATCAAGAGATGGAAAACAAACTAGGTGAGAGCCTTACAATGAACTCAGCTTACTGTCCAGGGAAAGTGTCTAGGCCATGGCAAAGGGAAGATAAATCCAGGGGCAGCCCAGTGGCCTCCCTAACTCCAGGAAATGGATCTAGGAGTTCACAGAGACTAAGGTGGCTGAATTTCATAAGGCAGCATACAAGAGGAGAGAGATGCACAGAGAGAAAACTCCTTAAACATGCAAAAAGTCATCACTGAATATTTAATTGAGTACTGATTGGTGCACGTGTGTGAGGAAACTACAGAAGGTAGGGAAAACCCCACCCAAAACAATTAGAGGAAACTAACTTGAAAACTTTATTATTAATGGATCATCAGATATGGTATTCGAAGAATTTTTGCCTCACTAATGGAAAAATTAATTCTATAAAGTCCTGTAGTCTCACCTAGTAAAGCTTAAAAGCAAGATCTGAAAAAGTCAGGCTATTTCCAAGTAACTTAACTGCATCCAAGAAAAAAGGTCAAAAATATTTATAAAAATACAAAAATATCAGGAACCGATACAATTCCCATATCTAGCATTCAATTGAAAAATGCTGGCTGAGCGTGGTGGCTCACACCTGTAATCCCACCACTTTGGGAGGCCGAGGTGGGCGGATCACTTGAGATCAGTTCAAGACCAACCTGGCCAACATGGTGAAACCCTGTCTCTACTAAAAATACAAAAATTAGTTGAGCATGGTGGCAGGCATCTGTAATCCCAACTACTTGGGAGGCTGAAGCAGGAGAATCGCTTGAGCCCAGAAGGCAGAGGTTGCAGTCAGCCATATCGTGTCACTGAACTCCAGCCTGGGTGACAGAGCGAGACTCTGTCTCAAAAAAAAAAGTCGTGAAAAAAGGAAAACATAATCTATAAAAAGGAGGAAAGTCAATCAATCGAAACAAACCCTCAAATTACACTTGAATTAGCACGCAAGGCACAAAATCCATTATCATTGACTTCTATATGTTCAAGAAGCTATAAGAAAGACTGAACATGGGGACAGGCACAGTGGCTCATGCCTGTAATCCCAGCACTTTGGAAGGCCAAAGCAGGTGAACTGCTTGCACTCAGGATTTCGAGACCAGCCTGGGCAACAGGGCCAAGACCCTGTCTCTATAACAAACACAAAAATTAACCAGGTGTGGTGGTGCGCACCTGTAGTCCCAGCTACTCAGGAGGCTGAGGTGGGACAATGGCTTGAGCCTGGGAGGTTGCAGTGAGCTGAGATCACACCACTCAACTCCAGCCTGGGTAAAAGAGCTAGACTCTGCCTCAAAAAAAAAAAAAGAAGAAGAAGAAGAAGAAGAAAGAAAGGCTGAACATGTGAAGAAGAGGCATGAGGCATGGAGTGCATGTGTGTGTGGACACAAAAGATCCAAATCAAACTTCTATAAGATGCAAACTATAATGACTGGGATAAGAACTACACTGGATAGAATTAAGAGATGAGACAATCAAGAAGAAAAAACTGCTAAAAGAATGTGAAGACAAAGCAATAGCAACTATCTAAAATGAAACAAATAAACAGACCCCCTCCCCAAAAAAAAAGCATGTAACTGAGCTCTGCAGCAGTTTCAGCAACCTAATTAACTTTTAATTGGAATTCCCAAATTAAGAGGTGGAGTGACAGAAAAAGTAAAATAATTGCAGAATTTTTTCCAAATGCATTGAAAACTATAAACCCATAGAACCAAGAACCTCAAAGGAACCCCCCCCAAAAAAGAAACATGAAGAAAGCTACCAAAAGACAATTCATAATCAAACTGATTAAAACTAAGGATAAACAGAAAAAAATCTTAAAAGAAGCTGGGGGAAAAGGCATTACGGACAAAGGAACATACAATGATGACAGATTTCTCACAAAATCAACGGAAACTCACAAACAGCAAAATATCTTAAAAGTACTGAAAGTAAAATACTGTCAACGTAGAACTTTTTGCCATACTAAAACATCTTTTGAAAACAAAGGTGAAATAAAGGTCAGGAAAGTAATCAATGAAGTAGGAGGCAGAGCAAGATGAACAAACAGAACCAATAATCATCTCCCCTGCAGGAACACCAAATTGAACAATTATCCACACAAGAAATCACCTTCATAAGAACCAAAGTATCTGGTTTTAATATCATATTGAGAAAAGGGGCACTGAAGAGGTTAGGGAAGACAATTTTGAATTGCCTACACTACCCTCCTCAACCCCCTGGACAGCAGCTGTATGACAGAGAGAGAATGTGTGCTTGGGGAAGGGAGAACGCAGTGATTGTGGGACTTGGCATTGAAACTCTGTCCTGCCAATCATGGTGGGAAGCGACACAGGGCAGAAATCAGCTGGGGCCCAAGGAAGGAACTTTTATACCAGCCTTAACCAGAGGAAAATCATCCATCCCAGCAGCGAGAACCTGAGTTCTGGCTAGTCCCACCAGTGCATGCTAAAGCACTCTAGGGTCCTAAATAAACTTGAAAGGCAGTCTTGGCCACAAGGACTGCAATCCCTAGGCAAGTCCCGGTGCTGTGCTGGGCTTGCAGCCAGTGGACTTTGGGTGCACGTGACCTAGTAAGACACCAGGCCAGGCATGGTGGCTCATGCCTGTGATCCAGAGCCGGGTGGATCACTTGAGCTCAGGAGTTCGAGACAAGCTTGGGAAACATGGCAAAACCCATCTCTACCAAAAATACAAAAAAATTAGCCAGGCATGGTGGTGTGTGCCTATAGTCCCAGCTACTAGGAAGGCTGAGGTAGAAGGATTGCTTGAGCCTAGGAGGTGGAGGTAGCAGTGAGCTGAGATACCAGCTGGGGCAGCCAAGGGAGTGCTTGCATCACCACTCCCCCAATCCCAGGTGGCACAGCTCACAGCTCTAGGAGAGACTCCTTCCTTCCGTGTGAGGAGAGAAGAGGGGAGGGTAAAGACGACTTTGCCTTGCAACTTGGATATCAGTTCATCCACAAGAGAATGGAGCACCAGGCAGAGTCCTGAGGCCCCCATTCCAGGACCTAGCTCCCCGATGACAATTCTAGACACACCCTGGGCCAGAAGGGAACCCACTGCCTTGAAGGGAAGGACACAGTTCTGGCAGGATCCATTACCTGCTGACTAAAGAGCCCTTGGGTCTTGAACAAACACCAGCAGGTAATACTTGCCGGTACTTGCTAGTAGCCAAGTAGAACTTGCTGCAGGCCTTGGGTAAGACCCAGTGCCATGCAGGCTTCAAGCATGACCCACCATGTTCACAGCTGTGGTGGCTATGGGGAGAGACTCCTTCTGTATTAGGTCGTTCTTCTGTTACTATACATAAATATCTGAGGCTGGGTAATTTACAAAGAAAAGAAGTTTAGGCTGGGTGCCATGGCTCACACCTGTAATCCCAGCAATTTGGGAGGCCAAGGCAGGTGGATCACTTGAGGCCAGGAGTTTGAGACCTGTCTGGCCAACATGGTGAAACTCCATCTCTACTAAAAACACAAAAATTAGCCAGGCATGGTGGTACATCCTGTAATCGCAGCTACTCTGGAGGCTGAGGCACAAGAATCGCTTGAACCTGGGAAATGGAGGTTGCAGTGAACCGAGATCATGCCACTGCACTTCAGCCTGGGTGACAGTGAGACTGTCTGAAAAGAGAAAAGAGGTTTAATTGGTTCACTGTTCTGCTGGCTGTACAATTATGGCACCAGCATGTGCTTGGCTTCTGCGGAAGCCTCAGGGAGCTTTTACTCACGACAGAAGGTGAAGCAGGTGCTTGCAGGCCATATGGCGAGAGAAGGAGCAAGGGGCAGAGGGAGGTGCCACACACTTTTAAATAATCATATCTCATGAGAACTCACTCACTATCTCAAGAACAGCACGAAGGTACGAGGAATCCATTCCTGTGACCCACAAACCTCCCACCAGGCCCCACCTCCAACACTGGGGAATACAACATCTCAACATGAGATTTGGGTGTGACAAATACCCAAACCATATCACCTTCTGCTTGAGGAAAGGAAAGGGAAGAATAACGGGGACTTTGTCTTACAGTTTGGTTGCCAGCTAAGTCACAGTGGTGTGGAGCACCAAGCAGGCTCCTAGGATCCCAGATTCCAGGCCTTGGCTCCTGGATGGCATTTCTGGACCCACCCTGGGCCAAAGAGGAGCCCACTGCCTTGAAGGGAGAGACCCAGGCCTGGCAACATTTACTACAAACTCACTGAAGAGCCCTCGGACCTTACGTTAACATCAGCAGTGGCGAGGCAGTACTCACCACAGGCCTTGGGCAGTGGTGGTCATGAGGAAAGACTACCACTTGAAGAAAGGAGAGGGAAGAATGTTAAGAACTTTGTCTTGCAGCTTGGATGCCAACTCAGCCACAGCAGAACAGTGCATTAAGTGGAATCCTAAGCTTCCTGACTCCAAGCCCTGGTTCTCAGGCATTTCTGGACCCACCTTGGGCCAGTGGAGAGCTCGCTGTCCTGAAGGGAGGATACAAGCCAGGCCGGATTCACTACCTGCTGACTGAAGAGCTCTTGGGCCTTGAGAGAACATCAGTGGTAGCCAGGCAGTGGTCGCCACAGGTCCCGGGTAAGACTCAGTGCTATGCTGGTTTCAGGTCTAATCCAGCGCAGTCCCAGTGGTGGTGGTCACATGGGTACTTGTTTCATCCCTCCCTCAGCCGCAGGAAGCTCTGCACAGAGAGAGAGACTCCATTTGTTTGCAGGAAAGTAAGGGAAGAAAACAAGAGTCTCTGCCTGGTAATCCAGGGAATTCTCTCAGATCTCACCTAAGACCACCAAAGCAGTACCTCTACCGGTCTGCAAGAGTCAGTGTTACTGGGTCTGGGTCCCCACTAATGCAGATGCAGCTGCAATAAGCAAAGACTTAGATCAGGACACTCAATTCCTTTGCATACTTGGACAGCCTTCCCAAGAAGGATGAGGACAAACAAGCCTAGACAGAAAAGACCACAATAAATACCTAACTCTTCAATGCCCAGACATCAACAAACATCCACAAGCATCAAGACCATCCAAGAAAACATGACCTCCCCAAATGAACTAAATAAGGCACAAATGATCAATCCCAGAGTGACAGAGATATGTGACCTTTCAGGCAGAGAATTCTAAACAGCTGTTTTGACGAAGCTCAACAAAATTCAAGATAACACTGAAAAGGAATTCAGAATTCTATCGGATAAATTTAACAAGAGATTGAAATAACTAAAAATCAAGCAGAAATTCTGAACCTGAAAAATTCAACTGACATACTGAAGAATGCGTCAGAGTCTCTCAACAGCAGAATTGATCAAGCAGAAGAAATAATTCGTAAGCTTGAAGCAGGCTATTTCAAAATACAGTCAGAAGAGACAAAAGAATAAAATGATAAAAAAGAATGAAGCATGCCTACGAAATCTAGAAAACAGTCCTAAAATGGCAAATCTAATAGTCATTAACCTAACAAGGAGGTAGAGAGAGATGGGGTAGAAGGCTGATTCAAAGGGATAATAACAGAGAATTTTCCAAACCTAGACAACAATATCACAATTCAAAAGCACAGAGAGGTTACAGATTTAACCGAAATAAGACTACCTCGAGACATTTAATTACCAAATTCCTAAATGTCAAAGATAAAGGATCCTAAAAGAAGCAAGAGAAAAGAAACAAGTAACATACAAAGGAGCTCTAACACATCTGGCAGCATATGTCTCAGTGGAAACCTTACAGGCCAGGAGAAAGTGATATGACATATTTTAAGTGCTGAAGGAAAAAACTTTTATCCTAGAATAGCATATCAAGTGAAAATATCCTTCAAGTGAAGGAGAAATAAAGACATTGCCAGACAAACAAAAGCTAAGGGATTTCATCAACACCAGACATGTCCTATAAGAAATGCTGAAGGAAGTTCTTCAATCTGAAAGAAAATGATGTTAACGAGCAATAAGAAATCATCTTAAGGTAAAAAGCTCACTGGTAATAGTAAGCACACAAAAAAACGCAGAATATTGTAGCATTGTAATTGTGGTGTATAAACTGTTCATATCTTGAGTAGAAAGGCCAAGAGATGAACCCATCAGAAAATAACTACATCTTTTCAAGACACAATACAATAAGATAGAAATAACCAAAAGTTAAGAAGTGTGGGGGATGAAGTTAAAGTGTAGAGGTTTTATTAGTTTTCTCTTTGCTTGTTTGTTTTGGCAATTAAGTTGTCATCAGTTTAAAATAATGGATTACGTTATTTGCAAGCCTCATGGTAACATCAAGTCAAAAAACCCTACACAAGATACATAAAAAATAAAAAGCAATGAATTAAAACATACCACCAGAGAAAATCATCTTCACAAAAAGACAAGAAGCGGCCAGGCGTGGTGGCTCACGCCTGTAATCCCAGCACTTGGGGAGGCCGAGGCAGGCAAATCACGAGGTCAGAAGTTCAAGACCAGCCTGGCCAACATGGTGAAAACCCGTCTCTACTAAAAATACAAAAAAATTAGCTGGGTGTGGTGGTGGGCACCTGTAATCCCAGCTACTAGGGAGGCTGAGGCAGGAGAATTGCTTGAACCTAGGAGGCGGAGGTTGCAGTGAGCTGAGATTGCACCACTGCACTCCAGCCCCAGCAATGGTGTGAGACTCTTGTCTCAAAAAAAAAAAAAGGAATAAAGGAAGAGAAGACCACAAAACAACCAGAAAACAAATAACAAAATGGCAGTATTAAGTCCTTACATATCAATAACATTGAATATAAATGAATTAAACTCTCCAATCAAAAGACAAAGAGTGGCTAAACGGATAAAAAAGCAACATCCAATGAACTGTTACCTACAAGAAACACACTTCACCTGTAATAACACACAAAGACTGAAAATAAAGGGATGGAAGAAGATACTGCATGCAAATAGAAATCAAAAAAGAGCAGGAGTAGCTTATATTGGACAAAATAGATTTCAAGAGAAAAACTACAGAGATAAAGGTCATTTTATAATGATAAAGGGGTCAACTCAGCAAGATGATATAACAATTGTAAATATATATGCACCCAACACTGTAAAACCCAAATATATAAAGCAAATATTATTAGAGCTAAAGACAAAGATATACCCCAAGTTAATAGCTGGAGATTTCAACACCCCACTTTCAGCATTAGATCATCCAGACAGAAAATTAACAAAGAAACATTGGACTTAATCTGAACTATAGACCAAAACGGACCTAACAGATATCTGCAAAACATTTCATCCAACAGCTGCAGAATACACATTCTTCTCCTCAGCACATGGATCATTTTCAAGGATAGACTATATGCTGGGCCACAAAACAACTCTTAAAATTCAAAAAATTTGAATTCACATCAAATATCTTCTCTGACCATGATGGAATAAAACTAGCAATCAATAACAGGAAGAACTATGGATACTATACAAATATATGGAAATTAAATAGTATTCTCCTGAAAGGCCAAGGCGTCAATGAAGAAATTTAAAAGGAAATTTTAAATGTCTTGAAACAAATAAAAATAAAAACACAACATACCAAAACCTGTAGGATAAGACAAAAGCAGTACTAAGAGGAAAGTTTATAGCAATAAGCACTTACACTAAAAAAGCAGAAGACTTCAAATAAGCAACATAATGATGTAGCTTTAAACACTAGCAAAGCAAAGGCAAACCAAGCCCAAAATTAGAAGAAAAGAAATAATAAATATCAGAGTAGAAATAAATGAAATTGAAATAATACAAAAGATCAATGAAACAAAATGCTGTTTTTTTTGAAAAGATAAGCAAAAGATAAGCCAGACGAAGAAAGAAGACACAAATAAATAAAATCAGAGATGAAAAAGGAGACATTACAACCAATACTGCAGAAATTCAAACCATCATTAGAGGCTACTATGAGAAACTATATGCCAATAAATTGGAAAAGCTAGACGAAATGGATAATTTCCTAGACACATACAATCTACCAAAATTAAACCACAAAGAAATCCAAAATCTAAATAGACCAATAACAAGAAATGAGATTGAAGCTGTAATACAAAGTATCCCAGCAAAGAAAAGTCCAGGACCCAATGGCTTCACTGCTGAATTCTATCAAACATTTAAAGAAGAACTAATACCAATCCTACTCAAACTATTCGGACAAATAGAGGAGGAGGGAATACTTCCAAACTCATTCTACAAGGCTAGTATCACCCTGATACCAAAACCAGACAGACACATCAAAGAAAAGGAAGCCAATATCCTGATGAACACTGGCGCAAAAATCCTCAACAAAATACTAGCAAATCAAATTAAACAACATATTAAAAAGTTCATTCATCATGACCAAGTGGGATTTATCCCAAGGATGCAATGATAGTTCAACATATGCAAATTAACCAATGTGATACATCATATCAACATTGAATGAAGGACAAAAACCAAATAATCATTTCAACTGATACTGAAAAAGATTCTGATAAAATTCAACATCCCTTTATGATAGAAACCCAAAAAAAATTGGGTATGGAAGGAACATACCTCAACACAATAAAAGCCATATATGACACACCCCTAGCTAGTATCATACTGAATGGGGAAAAACTGAAAGCCTTTCCTCAAAGACCTGGAACAAGACAAGGATGCCCACTGTCACTACTGTTATTCAGCATAATAGTCAAACAATGTCTAGCTAGAGCAATCAGACAAGAGAAAGAAAGGGCATCCAATTTGGAAAGGAAAAAGTCAAAGTATACTTGTCTGTAGGTAATATGATCTTATATTTAGAAAAAACTAAAGACCCTACCAAAAAACTACTAGAATAAACAAATTCAGTAAGGTTGCAGGATACACAATCAATATACAAAAATCAGTAGCATTTCTACGTCAAGAGCAAACAATGAGAAAAAGCAATCAAGAAAGTAATCCCATTACGACAGCTACAAATACAATGAGATAAATAAACTTGAAAAGAAATGGAAGATCTCCACAGTGAATAGAACATTGATGCGAGAAACTGAAAAAGACGCACAAAAAAACGGAAATATATTCCATGTTCATGGATTGAAAGATTCAATATTGGATTTTTGTTGTTGTTGTTTAAATTATACCTTTGATCCTAAGACCAAGCAGTTAAATAATTTCAAAAAGTAAACAACAGACATTATCCTCAAGTTATTAAGGTGTTTACAAGGTACCTTTACCCCCAAACCCTATATGGTATACAGCCACACAGGTGAGAACCAAATTCAGGTTTCCAACAAAAATTATAAAATGCTATTCAGCAAAAGCTGCAATTCTCTATGGCAGCTTGTGAGATTACTCTGGATTCTTCTGCAATTGCTGTCAAGACTGTAAGCCTCTCACATTCTACTTGGCTAACAGGCTAGGTCCAAGGAAGTGAGAGCCAACAGTCACTCAACACTTCATTGTGTCGCTTCATATATACTATTATGTCTCCTTGCTTTTCAACAACTTCTTCTAGGTTTCAAATAGTCCTGAATCCAGTCTCTGAGGTAATACTGCTGGGTTAAGTACAGATTTTTCCTTCTTCAAGTACATCAGGATATGGCTTAGCTTTATTAAACTTCCAGATTTTCACTGTGTAAATGAGCAGACACATCAGAAAACAGATCAGCACCAGGGCCAGGATGGCCAGAAGGAGATCAAGATATAATCTGATCTGCTGGGTTCCAGGAAGGAATGCTGCAACACAGTATGAAGAGAATTATTGTGTTGCCAGTGGAGTGTATCATTAACATAAATCTCTTGAGATGCCTTATCCATCAGTAGATCAAGTTATAGCCTCGATTTCTGACTTTGCTGTGGTGATACTGGATGTAGCATTCAAGATGTAAACAGAAAATCCACCACAAAGTAACTTTCCAAAGGATTACAACCATTTGAACTTCAAGAGGGTTGGTATAGTTTCCTGGGCACCTGTCTTCATTTAGATTAGGGTAAGAACAAACCACATCTGTTAAAAATGCTAAAAATAACACAACATGAATAAACAAAAGATTTGTTATGATGACTGTAGGAAAAAGATAGAATCAGGGTCTAAAATGAGCTTCTAGTGAGCAATGTTAAGAGAAGCTGGGTATCCAAAGATGGGTCATCTTCAATACTTTGAGTGATACCCAAGAAACCCCTTAAATTTTTAACCAATTTTGCTTTAAATATATGAGTCTCAAATCAACTTCCAGGTCTCACAGTTTTTCATTTTCTCAACCCCTCCATCCTTCCCCCAATGCCATTTTCCAAAGCTGGAGGCCAAAGCTTTAGCCAACCTGGCCTCTCCACCTGTCAGAATCAATATTGTTACAATGTCCACACTACCCAAAGCAATCTACAGATTCAACGCAATCCCTATTAAAATACAATGATGGCCAGGCACGGTGGCTCATGCCTGTAATCCCAGCACTTTGGGAGGCCGAGGCAGGCGGATCATGAGGTCAAGAGATGGAGACCATCCTGGCCAACAAGGTGAAACCCTGTCTCTACTAAAAATACAAAAATTAGCTGGCTGTAATGGCACACACCTGTAGTCCTAGCTACTCAGGAGGCAGAGGCAGGAGAATCGCTTGAACCTGGAAGGCAGAGGTTGCAGTGAGCAGAGATTGCACCACTGCACTCCAGCCTGGTGACAGAGCAAGACTCTGTCTTAAAAAAAAAAAAAAAAAAAAAAAAGAAGATGACATTCTTCACAGAAATCCTAAAATTTACATGAAACCACAAAAGACCCAGAATAGTCCAGGCAACAAGAACAAAACTGGAGGAATCACATTACCTGACTTCAAATTATACTACAGATCTTCTAAAACAGCCTACCAAAACAAAAACAAATTATAGTACATAGCTATAGTAACCAAAACAGCATGGTACTGGCATAAAAATAGACACATAGGCTGGGCGCAGTGGCTCACGCCTGTAATCCCAGCACTTTGGGAGGCCGAGGTGGGCAGATCATGAAGTCAGGAGATCAAGACCATCCTGGCTAACATGGTGAAACCCTGTCTCTACTAAAAATACAAAAAATTAGCCGGGCATGGTAGTGGGCACCTGTAGTCCCAGCTACTCGGGAGGCTGAGGCAGGAGAACAGCGTGAACCTGGGAGGCGGAGATTGCAGTGAGCCAAGATCACGCCACTGCACTCCAGCCTGGGCAACAGAGCGAGACTCCATCTCAAAAACAACAACAAAAAATAGACACATAGACAAATGGAATCGAATAGAAAACCCAGAAATAAATCCATACATCTAGAGTGAACTCATTTTTGACAAAGGGGCCCAGAACATACATTGGGTAAAAGAGCAGTCTCTCCAGTAAATGGTACTGGGAAAACTGGATATAAATATGCAGAAGAATAAAACTTGACTCGTATCTCTCACCATATTCAAAATTCAAGTCAAAATAGATTAAAGGCTTAAATCTAAGACCTCAAACTATGAAACTACTAAAACATTGGGGACACTCTGCCCAGGCAAAAATTTCTTGAGTAGTACCCCACAAACACAGGCAACCAAAGCAAAAATGGACAAATGGGATCACATCAAGTTATAAAGCTTTGGCACAACAAAGGAAACAACAAAGTGAAGAGACAACCCACAAAATAAGATAAGATATTTACAAACTCTCCATCTGACAAGGGATTAATAACCAGAATATATAATGAGCTCAAACAACTCCATAGGAAAAAATATAATAATCTGATTTTAAAATGGACAAAAGATCTAATCAGACATTTCTCCAAAGAAGACATACAAATGGCAAACAGGTATATGAAAAGGTGCTCAACATCACTGATTATCAGAGAAATGCAAATTAAAATTACAATGAGATATCATCTCACTCCAGTTAAAATGGCTTTTATGCAAAAGACTGAAAATAACAAATGCTGGCATGGATGTGGAGAAAAGGGCAAATTAGTGCAGCCACTATGAAGAACAGTACGGAGATTCCTCAAAAAAACCAAAAATAGACCTACCATACGATCCAGCAATCCCACTGCTAGCTATATACCCAAAAGAAAGGAAATAATTATACTGAAGAGATACCTGCACGGCCATGTTTATTGTGGCACTATTCACAATAGCCAACATTTGGAAGCTACCTAAGTGTCCATCAACAGGGGAATGGATAAAGACAACGTGGTACATATACACATTGGAGTACTATATTCAGCAATAAAAACGAATGAGGTCCTGTCATCTGCAACAACATGGATGGAACTAGAGGATATTATGTTAAGTGAAATGTCAGGCACAGAAAGACAAACTTCTCACATTCTCACTCTTTTATAGGAGCTAAAAATTAAAACAATTGAACTCATGGAGATAGAGAGTAGAATGATGATTACCAGAAACTGGGAAGAGTAGGGGGTTGGTGCAGAGGGCCACAGAATTGAGATGGTTAATGGGTTTAAATATATAGTTAGAATGAGTAAGATCTAGTATTTGATAACACAACAGGGTGATTACAGTCAACAATAATTTATCACACATTTTAAAATAACTAATAGTATAACTGTAATGTTTGTAACATAAAGAAATGATAAATGCTTGAGGTGATGGAAACCTCATTTACCCTGATGTGACTATTATGCTTTGTATGCCCATATCAAAATATCTCATGTACCCCATAAATATATCCACCTACTATTATATGTACCCATAAAAATTTTAAAAAATCAGTGAAGTAGAAAACCAAAAGGCAACAAAAAAGTCAATGAAAATAAAGACTGATTATTTGAAAAACATCAATAAAATAGGTAAATCTCTAGCATGGCTGATGAAGAAAGAGAGAAAATACAAACTACCAATATCAGCAATGATAGAAGAGACATTACTACAGATTCTACAGATACAATAAAGGAATATCATAAACAACTTTATGCTATAAGTGCACCAACTCCTTGAAAGACAGAAATGAGCTCTCTCCAGAAGGAAAAGATAACCTGAATGGCCTAATATCGATTAAATAAACTGAATCTGCTCAGCAAAAAACAAACAAAAACTCAAGGCCCAGATAGCTTTACTGGGGAAATCTACCAAACGATTAAGGAATAGTGTCAGTTCTATACAAACTCCTCCGGAAATTGAGGGGAAAAAAAAACAGTGGGGAAGGGGGGAAGGGGGAGGAGGAGAATACTATCTAATTCATTTGGTGAGCCTAAAATTATTCTGATACCAAACCAGACAAAGATATCACAAGAAATAAAACCTACAGTTCAACACCCTTCATGACAATATGTAAAATCATAGCAAATCAAATTCAAAAATATATATATATATATATATAAAAGATACATCAAGACCAAGTGTAGTTTCTCCCAGGAATGCAGTTTAATGTGTGAAAATCAATGTAGTTCAATATATTAAAGAACTTAAAAACCGGCCGGGTGGCCTGTAATCCCAGCACTTTGGGAGGCCAAGGCGGGCAAATCACCTGAGGTCAGGAGTTCAAGACCAGCCTGACCAACATGGAGAAACCCCATCTCTACTAAAAATACAAAATTAGCTGACCGTGGTGGTGCATGCTTGTAATCCCAGCTACTCAGGAGGCTGAGGCAGGAGAATCATTTGAACCCAGGAGGCGGAGGTTGCAGTGAGCCGAGATCGCACCACTGCACTCCAGCCTGGGCAACAAGAGCGAAAGTCCGTCTCAAAAAACAAAAAAAAAAGATTTTAAAAACTATATGATCATCTCAAAAGATGCAGAAAAGCATTTGATAAAATTCAACATACATTTCTGATGAAAATTCTCAGCAACCTAGCAACAAAGGAAATTTCCTCAACTTGATAAAAGGTATCTGTAAGACTTTTACATAAAAGATAAAGTCTGAACCCTTTCTCCCTTAGTATCAGGAACAAAACAAGCAAGTCCAGTTTCACCACTTCTATTTTTACTAAAGGTTCTAGTCAGTGCAATAAAATAAGAAAAAGGAAATAAAAGGTATTCAAATTGGAAAAAAGCAAAAATTGCCTTTATTCGAGGATGATAATTGTCTAGGTAGGAGACCTAATAGAATCCACGAAAAAAGCTATGAAAACAAATAAATGAGGTTAACTAAGTTGCAAGATGTCCTAAGTATGCAGCAACCTACGGTATTTCTATATACTAGTAATAATCAGAAATTAAAATTTTTAAAGTATCTTTTACAATAGCATTAAAAAATAAAACCTTATGGAAAAATCTAACAAAAAATAAGGAAGGCCCATACACTGAAAACTATAAAATACTGCCAAGCAAAATTAAGTAAGATCTAAATAATTGGAGAGATATATTTTGTTCAGATTGGAAGACTCTATATTAAAAGATGTCAATTCTCTCTCAAATGGATCTACAGACTCAAATGATTCCCCATTGAAATCTGAGATTATTTGTAGAAATTGACAAAGTGATTCTAAAATTCATATGAAAATTCAAGAAACCTAGAATAGGCATAACAACTTCGAAAAAAATAACAAAGTTGGAAGACTTACACTACCTTACTTACTTCCAGGCTTATTAAGAAGCTACAGTAATAAAGACTGTACAACATTGGCATAAAGGCAGACAAACAGATCAATGGAACATAATAAATTTCAGAAGTGCTCCCTCCTGGACATACATGGTCAATTAACTTTTTTAAAAAGGTGCAAAAGGAGAAAGACTAATCTTTTCAAGAAATGGTTCTCAGGCCGGGCACAGTGGCTCACACCTGCAATCCCAGCACTTTGGGATGCTGAGGCGGGTGGATCACCTGAGGTCGGGAGTTCAAGACCAGCCCTGCCAACATAGTGAAACCCCATCTCTACTAAAACTACAAAAATTAGCCAGGCGTGGTGGCGCACACCTGTAATCCCAGCTACTTAGGAGGCTGAGGCATGACATGAGAATCACTTGAAGCAGATTGGGACGTAGGGTATGCAGTGAGCCCAGATCGCACCACTGCATTCCAGCCTGGGTGACAGAGTAAGACTCTGTCTAAATGTTCTCAAAGGATCAAATATCCATATGCAAAAAAAAAAAACTTTGATCCATACCTTGTATCATATATAAAATGCAACTCAAAATGGATCATGGACTTAAATATAAAACATAACACTGTAAAACTTTTAGGAAACAATATATGAGAAAATCTTCAGGATCTAGGGTTAGGCAAATTGTACTTAGACTTGCTAAAAATACAGTCCATAAAAAAAATTAATAAATTGAACCTCTTCAAAACTAACTTTTCTTCTATGCAAGACCATGTGAAGAGGATGTAAAGTTAAGCTACAAAGTAGGAAAAAGTATTTGCACATATCTGACAAACGACTAGTATCTAGAATATATAAAGCACTTTCAAAACTCAACAGTAAAAAACAAAATCTATTTAGAAAATGAAACATGAACAGACATTTCACTGAAGAGGACATACAGATGGAAAACTGGCACATGAAAAGATGTTCAACACCATAAACCACTAGGAGAATCCAAATTGAAGCCAATATCACTGTTACAACACATCTAACATAATTACTAAAATAAAAAACAGTCACAACACCAAATGCTGGCAAAGGACCAACTAAATAGCTCACATCATTAGTAGATGTATAAAATGGTACAACCACTTTTGAAAAGTTTGGCACTTTTTTTATGGATCTAAGCATGCAATCACCATACAACCCAGCAAACTGCACTACTGGGCACTTATCAGAGAAATAAAAACCTACATCCACACAAAAATCTATACAAAAATGTTAACAGCAGCTTTATTTTTAATACTAAAAAACTACAAACAGTCCAGAGGTCCTTCAACAGATGAATGGTTAAACAAACTATGGCACAAACATATCACAAAATTCTATTTAATAAAAAGAAAAGAACTATTAACAGACGCAAAAACTTGGATGTGTCTTGAAAGAATTACACTGAGTAAGGCCGATCCCAGAAGGTTACATATTGCATGATTCTATTTTTATAACATTTTTGAAATGGCAAAATTTTGGAAGTGAAAAACAGATTCATGGATGCTATGGGTTAGGAATGGATGGGTGGGGTGGGACAGAGAAAAGTATGTGTGGTTTTAAGAGGGCAACACAAGAGATTCTTGTGGTATATAACTGTTCCATATCTTGACTGTGGTGGCAGATATATGAATCTTCACTTTTGATAAAATTGAATAAAAATACATGCACACACACACACAAATTACTGTACAAGCAAAACTGCAGAAGTCACAGTAAGATTGGTGGGTTGTATCAACATCAGTATCTTGGTTGTGACATTTGTCTATAATTTTACAAGATGTTACCATTAGGAGAAACTGGGTCAAGTGTCTATGTATTTTTTTAATCATCCAACATATATTCAACTGTGATTCACACATTATAGTTTCTCTATGTATGTTTTGATTCATAGCTTTCCTTCCATCCCAAACATGCACCAAAAGAGTAAAGAAGCTATTATCTCAACTAAATGGCGGCAAAAAAATGACCATTATTCTTAACCTAACTTTACTCTTCAAAACAGAGAAGCAAAATACTAGAAATACTCAATGCCCTACATTGAGAAAAATGTACTATAATCATTCAGCAATAAATATATAAGTTGCAGCAAATTACATGGTACAATAAAATCTTAATAACCTAAAATCCTACTAAATATATTTCCCTTGGTTAATTGGAATTGTTTTTTGAGAAACTGCTGTAATGTGAAAAGAATACATGGCAAAGAAATTCATCACAAATTTAAGAAAATGATTACTTCATGAAAATGATAATCCTCATTTTTTAAAATTTAAAAATTAAAACAGCACTGTCAAACTGTACTTTCCATGATGCTGGAAACATTCTATAATCTGCATTATCCAATACATTAGCTCCTAGCCACAGTGGCTATTAAGCCTAGAAATGAGGCTACTGGAATTAAGAAAGTGAATGTTTAAATTCGGTTAAATAGCCTTATGGCTAGTGACTTCCACACTGGACAGGACAAACCTAGAACTTACAGAAAAACTTAAAAAAAACACAGAGAGACAGCCACAATGTAAAAATCATCATCATCAGTATATTAGGTCAATATTTCTCAAACAGGGCACTACTGGCATTTTGGGCAGAATAATTCATTGTGCAGAACTGTCCCAAAGAGAATGTTCCTTTCAAATGATAAGGGTATTTTTTCCCAAGTTTAGTTTTATGACAACTTTTGAAATTACAGAGTATTATTACATTCAAAGAAATTACTAAAGCTGTTAAATTCACAGCAATAACGCATTTTCACCAGCAGAGGGCAGATATATGTTATAAAACCACCACTTCGTATATACTGTATTCAAATATTTAAGAAGCCCAATTGTACTGAAAAGACACTATTATATTCATTTATACAAAAAGAATTGTACTTCTGTAAGATAAGAAAGCAAATGTGCTAAAAAAGAAATGTGTGTTTTTTCAAAAATACACTGACAAGTCTCCCAGAAACCAATTTTTGTCAACTGTATCAGTTTATTCAAGAGTTAACTATAATTCCTCAAACAAAACAAAGTAACCCTGACAAAAGTTCCATTAAGCCTTATTTCAAGGGCCATTTACACCCATATTAATAACATTCCTTCCGCTGCGAAACAAATTCCAAACAATTTTCTTCACAGACCACATAAGTTGTCAGAATCCCAAGAGAAAATATGTATTTGTTTCAAAAGTAAACTAAACACAGAAAACAAAACAAGCAATGAAATGTGGCAAAGGTGTTAAAAATGGTAAAGGACTGCCTAAGAAAAGCATAAAAATACTAAAGATTCACTTTCTTAAATCTTACTGCACTGCATAGCAGGTAAAAAAAACAGACTCTGAGGCAATTTGGATTCAGCTTCACCACAGAAATTTTCATAAGAGCTTAGAAAATAGTTTTAATGTCTACCAAAAAAATACAAAAATCAAATGGCGTTTTCTAGTTCCTCTGATGGTGGCATACATCTGTAGTCCCAGCTACCTGGGAGGCTGAGGTAAGATCATTTGAGCCCAGGTGTTTGAGGCTGCAGTGAGCCATTGTGGTGCCACTACACTCCAGCCTGGGTGACAGAGTGAGGTTCTGTGTTAAAAAAATAAAATAAAATAATAAAAAAATTAAAAAAACCTCTTCTCCCAAGGCTTCTCTGTTCTGGTTTTCCTTACAGTCTTCCTTCACAAAGAATGGGACGATTCTACTTCATCCCATTGCCTCTCTACAAAATCTTCATCATTGACCCTCTGGTTAGACAAGTGTTGAATGGAGTAATATGGCTTTAGGAAACACTTCTATGCCGATAACTCCCAAATCAACAATTGTCCCTTTGTCTATTTTCTCCCTGACATTTCTGCCCAGTACTTACACCTGTCTTCAGAAAGGTACGTACAAAGCATGTCCACTAAGTATATGCACAAACCTGTTTACCTGGTTATTCCTACATGAAATAACTTTGCCATTCTCCTTTAAGTTTGATTTCACTCTTCCTCAAGAACTACCTCTTTTATTAAAAACCTTCCCCAGCCCCCATTCTTGGTGATTTTTACTTTCTCTGAATTTATTTAACATCTAAAGCTTGCATTACACTTTCCAGAATACACTCTGTGTTTATGGCCTGCCTCTTTAAAGTAAAGGCTCCTCAGGGCAAGGTAGGGTAGGGTTTCTGCTGTGTATCTCTCACTAATGTCTACTCTAGTGAATCAGCAGATAAAAAGTTAAAAAAAAAAAAAAGTATTAACTACTTTATTTTCCTGAGGCTTCCATCAAGTATTTTTGCACTGGTCTAGTCTCAGAATCTCTTCAATTACATTTTTTACCAAACAAAATATAATTCACAAATGCTTCCTGCAAAGTAATAAAGTGAATGAGTGCTCAAAAAAAAAAACTAAGACCTGGCATAATTACCAAACACCTACTCATTTATCAAACCCTTACTTTGTGCCAGACATTACTTCACAAGCTCAGTTAATCCTCACAACCCTGTGACACAGGTATTACCATTCTACATGTAATGACACTGGAGCTCATAAAGTTTAAATACCACACCCCCACCACGAAGAAGGAAGGAGGGAGTGAAAGGAAAGAAAGAAATCAGAGTCAGCAGTGGGAGAGCTGAGCCTTCAAAACAGAGCAGTGAGCTTTCAAAGCCCATGTTTTCCCTATCCTAGTGTGCCTCTAAAAGAGAAGAGAAGAGCAGTGACTACTAACCCACAGACAACTGGAGGAAGAATATTACAGAGGAAATATTACCATATAACTACTTTTTTTTACTTTATCACATAAACTTGGGTAGAAGGAATAAAAATGTAAACAAGTTCAAAATATCATAAGGACACTGAAAAACTTAGAAAGTTCTTTAAGGAACTAATAAAATCTACACATACAGCATTCACTCCCCTGAAATTTTTTAAATGTTAGTTTACTTTGGCAAAGAAGTTGAACTTTGGTGATCATTTAAGGATTTGGTGGTCATTAGAATGTTATAAAATAAAAGGAGAAATGAAAATGAAGCTTAATTTTTAAGAATCCATAATCCTTGCTTCACCTGATGGTCTTAAAGTTTATCCCTTGCCAAATCTATAATTTCTTTCTTTGCCCAGGTGACTTAGGATCCTTAAAAAAATCAGCTTAAAATTTCAAAAGTCTGATCAAGCACAGTAAAGCCCTCTTTATTTTGTTCACCCCTTCACCAATGCTCTAGTGCTTTCCATCTATCTGTACAATCTCTCTCAAACACAAAAATATTTACAAATACCTCTTATTTCCACGCTATTTACAGATTTATATAGAGATAACCATTTGTTCCTAGTTAACACTGCAGATGACAACAAATATCCCAAATTTTGAAAACATGTTTACATTACTGCCAAATTTATGTTTGAATAAATTGGCTAAATAATAGATAATCCTTGCTCACTCTGATAACCAATTATCTTGTTAATATGCTGCCATTACATAGATAACGGTTTGGTTAAGCATAAAAACCCACAATTTACCTCCCTTCTCACTGTGCACAAGGACTGAATTTAAAGAGAATGAAAAGATTAAAAAGTTGGGTGCTATCTTTTGTGAAGGTCAAGGGTAACACATTAATACGTGACCTGACAAAGTAACAGACAGATTTCCAGAAGACCTGGGTTCACTCCCATGTTCTCTCACTGTTCCATTGCTTTTAACAAGTCATTTAACCTCTTTTATCTCTCTAGTATAGCAGACTCGAACAGATACCATACAGGTCTCTTGTATCTCTAAACTTTCAACAATTCCATAATTACTGAAAAATATATAGATATAGATCTGAAACTGAAAATATTTTTCCAAAATGCTCAACCCACTTATTCACGGTCTTATGGGTGGAATATGGAGATGAATGGTGTGGCCCACCAGGATACCCAGAAGAATGAATGCTGTCTGGAATTTTGTGTTCTCTTGGCCCAATGACTGGTCAAGAGAGAAATGTGAAAAGGGTTGCCAATCCCACCCTCCCAAAATGTAGGAGCAAATCCTAACAGAATAGAAATGACCAATGAGCACATTAAAAAATGTTCAATATTCTCAGTGGCTCATGCCTGTAATCCCAACACTTTGAGAGGCCAAGGCGGGTGGATCACAAGGTCAGGAGTTCAAGACCAGCCTGGTCAAGATGATGAAACCCCGTCTACTAAAAATACAAAAAAAAATTAGCCAGGCGTGGTGGCGGGCACCTGTAATCCCAGCTACTCCAAAGGCTGAGGCAGAAAACTGCTTGAACACGGGAGGCGGAGGTTGCAATGAGCTGAGACTGTGCCACTGCACTCCAGCCTGGGCGACAGAGTGAGACGCCGCCTCAAGAAAAAAAAAAAAAAAAAAAAGTTAAATCTTAAGAGTATCAAGAAAATGCAAAATAGTATAACATTTTCACCAACTGTATTAAGGAAGCCTTTTAAAAATATGAATACCCAGTAACAGACTGGGTACAGTAAGTCAGCCACTCTTTTTTTGACATGGAGTCTCACTCTGTCGCCAGGTTGGAGTGC
Source organism: Homo sapiens (assembly GCF_000001405.40). Taxonomy (NCBI): domain Eukaryota; kingdom Metazoa; phylum Chordata; class Mammalia; order Primates; family Hominidae; genus Homo; species Homo sapiens. The sequence goes on along the minus strand of NC_000006.12, from coordinate 70,683,000 downwards.
AGTGGCACGATCTCCTTTCACTGCAACCTCCACCTCCCAGGTTCAAGTGATTCTCCTGCCTCAGCCTCCCAAGTACCTGGGATTACAGGCACGTGTCACCACGCCTGGCTAATTTTTGTATTTTTAGTAGAGACAGGGTTTCGCCACGTTGGCCAGGCTGGTTATGAACTCATGACCTCAAGTGATCGGCCTACCTCGGCCTCCCAAAGTGCTAGGATTACAGGCATGAGCCACAGCACTTGCCTAGCCATTCTTTAGATAGTAGTGGTGGGAAGGTAAACTGGTCCCAACACTTCTGGCAATACAGATCAAACGGGTTTTAATCTGGTATACTCTTTAACATAGACCTTAGATTTTATTCTGAAAAAAAAAGTGCGCACACAAAGCTTTATAGCAGCAGTATATGTAACCACAAAAGTTAGAAAACATACCAATCAGTGGAGAGGGATTATTTTTTACAAACTTTTAAATTATTTTAAAACATTTACTATTAGCCAATATTCTGTGCAGAGGGCCGGGCGTGGTGGCTCACACCTGTAATCCCAGCATTTGGGGAGGCCAAGGCAGGTGGATCACTTGAGGTCAGGAGTTCGAGACCAGCCTGGCCAATATGGCAAAACCCCATCTCTATTAAAAATACAAAAGTTAGCTGGGCGTGGTGGTGGGCGCCTGTAATCCCAGCTACTTGGGAGGCCAAGGCAGGAGAATCGCTTGAACCCAGGAGGCAGAGGTTGCAATAAGCCAAGATAGCCCCACTGCACTTGAGCCTGGGCGACAGAGGGAGACTCTATCTCAAAAAAAAAAAAAAAAAAAAAAAAAAAAAAAAAAAATCTGTGCAGAGAATAACCTTAAATCCCCTATGATGTCCCACTATCCTTATTTTCAGCAAATGACTTCATCAACTAATTGTCCCCTCACATTTCAGACCCATCTTACTCTCTCACAAATTGATCCATATTCTTCCTGATCTTTTTTCTCCTGTCAAAAGCTAACCATTTCATTTGTATTTTAAATTTTCTCAAAACCTTGCATTAATATATTGCCTAGATATGCCACACTTGCTTCTTAGAGAACTTGCTTGCTCTTAGTCATGAAAAAGGAACCCCTACCTGCTATTCCTGCAGCCCTATTAGCACCTAATAGAAAATCCTGCACCTAGAGACATCAAAAAACCTGATGTTCTAAAGATTCCACAAGCAACTTTAGAGCTGTGTATGAATAACACAACTCCTCAAGAAAAACAAAACATTAAACCACTGTTTTCCATAATGTTTTCAAAGTACTCATTAGTATTCTAATTGACTTGGCACACACAAATAAAAAACACACACACATACAAAAGGCACCAAAGGTTTTTCATTCTTTAAACCAGCATCAAGAAGTTTATCACTTCTGCAAAATCTTTACTCAGACCATTAAATTTATTTTCAAGGAAGATGAAAATAACTTTAGGAGTGTATATGTTACAAAAATTCAAATAAAAGAATTGAGAAACTGCTACATAATCTACAGTAACTGTTAACATCAGCGAAAGAAGTAAACAACATATTTGCATGTTTTTTGTTTTTGTTTTTGAGACAGGGTCTTACTCTGTTGCCCAGGTTGGAGTGCAGTGGCACAATCACGGCTCACTGCAGCCTTGACCTCCTCAGGAGATCCTCCTACCCTAGCCTCCCAAATAGCTGGCACCACAGGCACGTGCCACCACACCCAGCTATTTTTTTTTAATTTTATTTTCACTTTTTGTAGAGACAGAGTTTCGTCATTTTGCCAAGGCTGGCCTTGAACTTCTGGGCTCAAGTGAGTCACCTGCGTTGGCCTCCCAAAGTGCTGGGATTAGAGGTGTGAGCCACCATTCCTAGCCTATGCATTGTATTTTTTTTTTTTAAATAAACTCCCTCATCCCGATCCTTAGCAACCACTGACCTGTTTTCTGTCCCTATAAGTTTTATCCTTTTATTTAATAGAAATCCGTGTAATTATGGCCAGGCGCAGTGGCTCACAACCGTAATCCCAGCACTGTGGGAGGCTAAGGCGGGCAGATCACCTGAGTCAGGAGTTCGAGACCAGCCTGGCCAACATGGCAAAACCCCGCCTCTGCTAAAAATACAAAAATTAGCTGGGTGTGGTGGCACGTGCCTGTAATCCCAGCTACTTGAGAGGCTGAGGTAGGAAAATCACTTGAACCCGGGAGGCAGAGGCTGCAGTGAGCCGAGATCATACCACTGCACTCCAGCCTGGGAGACACAGTGAGACTCCAACTCAAAAAAAAAAAAAAAAAAAAAAAACAGGAAATCCATGTAATTGTAATGTATACTCTGTTGTCTTTTGTGTATGGATTCTTTTGTAAATATAATGTTTTTATGACTCATCCACTAGTTCATTGCTTTGTACTGTAAAACATTATTCCACTGTACGGACGCACTATTTTCTTTATCCATTCGTCAACTGATAAAACATTTGAATTGTTTCCAGTGTTTGGCTATTATGAATAATGCTGCTATGAACATTCAAGTGCTTGTTTTACTTTGTCTTATTATTAAGTTGCATTATTTCTTTAGATATTCTGAATAAAGGTCCTTACCAGATAAAATATTTTTCCCAGCCATCTATGATTTTTAAGTGTCTCTTGAAAAGCAAAAGTTTTTAATTTTAATGAAGTTCATTTTCTCAATTTTAACTTTATGGAATATAATTTTGTGTCCTATCCAAGAATCCTCTGCTTAATTCAAGGTCCCAGAGATTTTCCCCCATGTTTTCTTCTAGCAGTTTTATAGTTTTAGCTCTTAAATTTAGTTTTATGATCCATCTCAAATTAGTTTTTGTGAATGGTCTGAGGTAAGGTTCAAGGTATTATACATTCTGTTGTTGTTGTTGTTGTTGTTGTTGTTGTTGTTGAAAAGACTATCCTTTCTCTCCATTGAGTTACCTTGGCACTTCTGTTAAAAACTGACCATAATATGTGAGTCTATTTCTGGACTACGTATTATGTTCCACAGATAACTATAGCTTTTTAATAACTGTTAAAGGCAGGTTGTGTAAGACCTCAAACATTCTTTTTGTTTTTCAATGTTTTGATTTTGGAAGGTCCCTTGCATTTCATTAAAAATTTTAGAATCAGCTTGTCAGTTGCAACAAAAAAAGCCTTCTGGGATTCTGACTGGAATAATGTTGAATTTAGAGACTAATTTGGAGAGAACTGACATCTTAAAAATATTGAGTCTTCTAATCCATGAGCATGATATCTCTGATACCTCTCTCCACTTCTTTAGGTACAGTATTCATTAATTTCTCTCAGCTATCTTCTGTAGTTTTTGGTATACAGGTCTTGCACGTATTTTGTTAAATTTATCCCACAGTTTTCATATTGTTATGCTATTATAAATCATAATTTTTATTTCAACTTCCAATTATTTGTTGCTAGTATATAGAGTTACTTTTTCTATAGTCACTTTATTTCTGTAAACTTAATAAACTCAATTATTCATTCTAATAGCTTTTCTATAAATTTCTTGGGATTTCCTACATAAATGATCCCATTGCAAAGAGATTGTTAAATGACTCTTGCATGCATGTATTTTTAAATAGGTCCTGTGAGAAAGGCTAATTTAAGTAGTACTTCATCATCCCATACCATCTTAAATACACCCAACTCTGTACCACTTATAAAAATCTAGATTCTGGCCAGGCGCGGTGGCTCAAGCCTGTAATCCCAGCACTTTGGGAGGCCAAGGCAGGCGAATCACTCGAGGTCAGGGGTTTGAGACCAGCCTGGCCAACATAGCAAAACTCCGTCTCTACCAAAAATACAAAAATTAGGCGGGTGTGGTGGCACACACCTGTAAGCTACTCCAGAGGCTGAGACAGGAGAATCGCTTGAACCGGGGAGGCAGAGGATGCAGTGAGCCGAGATCATGCCAATGCACTCCAGCTTGGGCGACAGAGTAAGACTCCATCTCAAAAAAACAAAAAAAAAAAAACAAAAAATCTAGATTCCATATATAATTTTTATCACAAATCCACTTTGTTAGGCAGAATAATGGCCCCCAAAGAAGTCCTGTTCTATCCTTGGAATCTCTGTGAATAACTTAAGGACACTGAGATGGCAGTATTGTCCTGTATTACCCAGATAAAGCCAAAAGGTCATAAACATGCCAGAGAAGATGTAATGATGGAAGTGGAGGGCAAGGAGGAGCAGAATCAAGGATGACACACTGCTAGTTTCAAAGATGGAGGAAGGAGCCATGAGCCAAGGAATGCAGGTGGCCTCTCCAAGCTGGAAAAGAAAACAGATTCTCCCCTAGAACCTCCAAAAGGAATGCAAGCCTGCTAACACCTTGCCTTTAGCTCAATAAGACTCTTTTTGGACTCTGACCTGCAAACCTGCTAAAATGATAAATTGGTATTGTTTTAAGCCATTCAGTTTGTAGGATTTTTTAATAGCAGCAACAGGAAATTAATATACTGGTGATGATCATTTCACTTAAACATTCTTCTGTTAATTTTTTTGTCACTGTGCACCATCATCACCCTACACCAAAAGCAACTTCCAAGAGTAGAAATGCATGAACTAAATAACGCCCTAGGCTAAACATAATTTTTATGAATTTTTCCTATAATGGAAGATAAAGCTATCCCAAATATTATTTCCCACAGAATTCCCCTTATTTTCTTAAGTTTAGGCTTGAGCTCATCACTGCTCAATGAAAGGCACGCTTTATAAAAGATCAATAAGAGACATCTGAAGGTCTACCATCAATCACTTGGATCTCTAGTCAAATGGAGACCAAAAATTGCTGGGGTATAGGGGCCACAGAGAATGGAAGATTATTAGAATTACTTTTAATTCTCTTTCCTTCGGACCCTCAAGGTCCTCACATTTATCACTCAAAATATATGTAAACATCAAATTAGCATGTTTCCAAGAGCACTTTATCTAAGCTCTGTTTTAAGTGAAATAATTTTAAAAATCACTTCTATATGATACTGTAACTAAATGCCACTCCAAGTTAAACACAGTTCTACCTAACATCTGAGTAACTAAATGCCACTCCAAGTTAAACACAGTTCTACCTAACATCTGAGGTAGAAATACTGACATTAATAGTAAGAAAGCATTACAGTGAAACAATTTTAAACAAAAGGACTCCTCAACCTGTGGGGAAGAGTTGTATGAGTTGTGTGATATAGCTTGGGATAATTAAAGATAATACTAGGTAAATTTGCTCAGCAAGACCTAAATCATCAGTGAAAAGCTTTAAATAAAAACTATAAAAGTTTGATGACAATCCATATCTCAATAGGACTCAAAAAATAAACTCTCAATAATATAATTTTTTAATAATAATAGTAAACACTGACATAGAAGTCACAAGGTATGCGGCGAAACCCCGTCTCTACTAAAAATACAAAAAATTAGCTGGGCGCGGTGGCGGGCGCCTGTAGTACCAGCTCCTCGGGAGGCTGAGGCAGAAGAATGGCATCAACCCGGCAGGCAGAGTTTGCAATGAGCCGAGATCGAGCCACTGGCACTCCACCTCAAAAAAAAAAAAAAAAAAAAAAAAAAAAGAAGTGACAAGGTATGGGATTCAAGAAAGAACACAGACCATACAAGGTTGAAATAAATCTTTGCAATAAGGATTAAAGAGAACAAGGACAACTGGTCACTAAGCAAGTCAGAGGCAAAGCTTGGACTGAATCCTAGCTTTGCTCAACCAAGCTAGTGTTCTTTCAATTCTATCATGCTGTTTCTATGGTTTAAAAAGCCCAGGTAGATGACCAGTATCTGACCTAAGGATATAGCAAAAAAAAAAAAAAAAATTATATATATATATGAAGACAAAACAAAAAACAAAGAAAAACACTAAAGCACTTATCTGTGGACTCAGTAAGTTTCTAAAATAAAGTTTACGCAAGGTGAGGTGGCTCACACCTCTAATCCTAGCACTTCAGGAGGCCTAGGCAAGAGGATTGCTTGAGGCCATGAGTTTGAAAGCCCAAACAACATAGCAAGGCCCCTCCCCACCACACCCAACAAAAAAATTTTTTTTAAATTAGCCATACATGGTGACAAGCCTGTAGTCCCAGCTACTTGGGAGGCTGTGGCAGGTGGATCACTTGAGCCCAGAAGTTAGAGGCCGCAATGGGCTATGATCACGCCACTGCACCCCAGCCTGGGCAACAGCATGAGACCCTGTCTCTATAACAAGGAAAAAATAAATAAATAAAATAAACTTTAGTGATGAGACAAAAATTCCAATTTGTTTAAACTGGTATTTTGAAGTTATGGTGGTTCTGCTATTAAATGCAAGGAGGGAAACTAAAATGAAGATATTGTCCACATTTGAACACATTTGGCAATAATCTGAGAAAAACCTTAAGTTAGCCGAAGGTGACAGTCTTCCCAACAACAATCTCTTACATCACAAATTTCTACAACAAAAACAGGTGTTTTATCTATCATACCATCAAACATAGTTAACAGCACAGACTATATCTCCCGGGCTCAAATCCTGACTCTACAGTTCAGATTCCCACCCCTATCTCATCTCAATAAAATCACAATTTCCCCAGGTTATAAAAGCCTCTAATGTTCATCCTTGCTCCTCCAGACTGTACCCTTATTAGCAGGCTAGGTTATAGAGCCAGCACAGATATACTGAGGCTCCAACATGTCCTGTATAATATACTGGAAGAAAATATATATTACCAATTATGCTTTGAGTTCCCCAAGACCACCCTCATGTTCAGTAATTTGCTAAGAAGATTCAAAAGATTCAATATACAGTTGTACTCATCGTTATGATTTATTATAGCAAAAAGATACTAAGCACAATCAGCAAAGGAGAAAGGCACAAAAAGTCCAGGGGAAATTAGGAGCAAGCGTCCGGGTGCTCCCTTCCAGTTGAGTTGCAATGAACACACTTAATTCTCCCAGCAGTGAGCTGTGACCACACATGTAAAATGATGCCAACCAGGGATGCTCATCAGAGACTCAGTGCCAAAGGTTATTAGGGAGACTGGTCATGTAGGTAACCCTGGCTGGCACATATGCCAATTCCAGAATCCCAGAAGAAAAGCAGATATTCAACATAAACCATATTTATTATACAAACAACTTAGGCACAATGACAGACTCATCACTTAGGGTGGTGGGACCATCCCCAAGATTCCCCTCAGATGTCAGCCAACCACCGCAAGGCCTGCTTTGTTAACTCTTTTCTCCACACCAATGACTAACAGATCCTTTTGAGCATGAACCTTATCTACCTATCCCCTGCTAATCCCCAGGTCCTAAGAAAGTGCCAGTCACTCCCCTCCAAGTTGTTTTTTTCTTTTTTTTTTTTTTTTGAGATGGAGTCTCGCTCTGTTGCCCAGGCTATAGTGCAATGGCACGATCTTGGCTCACTGTAAGCTCCGCATTCCGGTTTCAAGTGATTCTCCTGTCTCAGCCTCCCCAGTAGCTGGGATTACAGGAGTGCACCACCACACCCAACTAATTTTTGTATTTTTAATAGAGATGGGGTTTCACTATGTTGGGCAGGCTGGTCTCAAACGCCTGACCTCAGGTGATCCACCCACCTCGGCCTCCCAACATGCTGGGATTACAGGTGTACACCACTGCTCCAGGCCTCCTAAAATTTTTTTAATGAAAAAATTTCTGGCTCCACTACTTTAAGTTCTGTGTACCTGGGTAATAATATTACCTACCTCAAAGGTTGTTTTGAAGATTATATGAGTTAGTATATGTAAAGTGTGAAGTACATCATCTCTGGTAAAAAAAAAAAAAAAAAAAAAAAAAACACTATATAATTTGTGAGTATATATGTAATGTTATTATTTGCTTTTTTTTTTTTTTTAACATTCTCCAGGTCACAATGGAGCTACCCTATCTCTAAACTTCTAATGAATCTACCAATGTAAACATAGATTAGAAGTTAACTGGTAATTGTTTCATGTCTACTGAGATCTCTAACTAGCTTGTAGACAACTATATCCAAAACTTTTTGTTTTTGTTTTTTTGAGATGGAGTCCCACTCTGTCGCCCAGGCTGGATGGAGTGCAGTGGCGCCATCTCGGCTCACTGCAACCTCCGCCTCCAGGGTTCAAGCAATTCTCCTGCCTCAGTCTCCCGAGTAGCTGGGACTACAGGCATGTGCCACTGCACCTGGCTAATTTTAGTATTTTTAGTGGAGACAGGGTTTTGCCATGTTGGCCAGGGGTGGCCTCAAACTCCTGGCCTCAGATGATCCACCTGCCTCAGCCTCCCAAAGTGCTGAAATTACAGGCATGAACCACTGCACCCGGCATCCAAAACTTTTTTAACACACACAGTAGTATCTAACGTAGTACTTAATCTTTTTAGTGCCCAGAAAATATTGATTTATCAACAAAATTAAATGTCTGTTAAATCAACTCTTTACAGTGGTAAGAATGTAAGGCGGTCAACTCTTCTGATAATAACTACAAAATGGCCTCCAAGTTTCTTTGATCTTCTTTCATTGAGAAAATTGAGAAACTGAACTAAAATGGCTTAATTCTAATCCGTGAAAAGACGATTAGTAGAAGCGTTTGAAATAAGCAAAAGGGGCTGGGTGTGGTGGCTCACACCTGTAATCACAGCACTTTGGGAGACTGAGGGAGGCAGATCACTCGAACCCAGGAGTTCAAGACTAGCCTGGGCAACATGACGAAACGTGGTCTCTACAAAAAATACAAAAATTAGGTAGGCATGGTCGCACACATCTGTAGCCCCAGCTACTTGAGAGGCTGAGGTGGGAGGATTGCTTGAACCAAGGAGGGAGAGGTTGCAGAGAGCCTACATCGCACTCCAGCCCAGCGACAGAGTGAGACCCTGTACCAAAAAGAAAAAAAAAGAAAAAAAAAATGCCAAAGCACTTTTTTGAGTTTATAAAGTATATCGTTTTAAACATTCTACTTTGCCTTAAAGAGAGCATGGATTCAAGTCTGTTATAGGTTAATAAAGGTGGAGAAAGATATATATATATATCTTGTACAGCAACAATTTAGGAGATGTAAGCCTCCTTAATTAATGAAGTCAAGTACTGAAAGTTTTATCTTAAACAAACAAACAAACAAACAAAAAAGACAAAGAAGAACTGTGAAGAACAAAAGGAGGGGAGACAACATGCAGCCCAAGTTTTAAACTGATGAGTCAGAGACCAATGATTTCCATCTCAGCTCTGATACCAGGGCTCTGCCCAATCAGGAAAAACCTCGAGATCAGCAGAATTACAAGAACAACAGACCCATCAGACTGAAGTTTCACATTTTGAGGAAACTTTTAGATTGGCAAATTTCTTTAGGTGAATTATAATCAGACTTTCACTTATATAAATTTGTCCTATAAGCATCAACATCATAATAAACACCAGTTCCCCAAGGTGAACTTTACTTTTTAGTAAATATTACTACACTTTAAAAGTAACAACTCTAAAATATCAAAGACTTAATGAAAAACATGAACTCTTGGATTGGCTCTTGCAATCAAATGGGCTCTACACGTTTCTACTTTTTGAAAAAGTTAGAAAGCTAAAAGACTCCCTTGAAGGCAAGGTATTGGACATAATTAGGATCTGCCAATTATCTGCACATGGAAAGCACAAGTGGGACAGAGGCCACATTCCTACAGAAAGGGCAACTAACAAAAAACGTCTACAGACACTAAGTGGTTGCAGCTCCATAGGCCTTATGCCCCCATCAGCATACCAGTCTCCTGGGTGAGAAGCAGTTATGACAGTGGGGCAGCGGTAGCAGTGGTGGTATGTGTGGCCTTGAAAGCAGTTCAGCAGTGGCTCCCTGACTTTCCCTCCTCCAGCCCTTCCAATGACTTGGTAAGTACCTGATTCCTGAAAATAGCTACAGTGGATCTCTTTCCTGCTCTATACCCTGACTTATATATTGACATTGTGTGAATTTAGGTCCTCTTGCCCTCTTCTTGGACCACTGTTCAACATCTCCTAACTCAGGATTTGCCTGCAATCCTCACTATCCCAGTTCTTCCTCTGACCTGAGACTACCAAAACTGATCATGCTTAAAGAAAGCTTATCTAGTAAGGGCCGTATGGAAACTTCTTCTGTTCTTTCATACTGGTACATGTGTGTGTGCAGCTGTGTCCTTTAATTCCTTCTCTATCTGATGAAATCCCACTCCACCTTCAGAACCTAGCTCAAATGAAGACTCCTTCTGTGACTGGTCCCAACAGGGTCACTCCACATGCCACTCCCTTTCACAGGTGCACTCCCTTTCACACACCCTGCTGCCTGCCAGGGGCTCTGTGCTCATTCATTCACACATTCATTCATTCAAAAAATATTTGCTAAGTTACATTTGCCTACCACATGTCCTGAAAACTGGGGATACTACCCTAACCAAGATAAACAAGGTCTCCTCTCTTACAGCTATAATCCAGCAGGGATACAGTGTACCCCATAATTACCTAAATAATGTTTAATTACAATTGTGATAAGTGCAATAAAAGATTCAGGGTGTTGTCTTTTATGTATAAACGGAAGCCTAACCTAATCTCAGAGGATCAAGGAGAATTATTTCCCTTGAAAAGACATTTAAGCAGGAATTGAAAGATGAGCAAAAGCTGAGCAGGCAAAAACTTGTTAGAAAGCTTCCCAGGCAGAAGAACAGCACGTGCAAAGGTCTTGAAACAGCATTCTAGGAACTGTAAAGACCACCAATGGGCAAAAGTCAAGGTGCAAGGGGAACAACAGCCCAAAATAAGTATAGAGGTAGTTATTTCTTAAAACCATTATTACAAGCACTTAGCACATCGTTTTAGAATCATTTATTTGCAAAAACACAACCCACACTAAACAAACTCCTTTAGGTCTTACAAATTTTTTTAGCTCTCTTACCTAATACAATATCTAACAGTGTGTCTTCAAGTCAAGATCTGCGGAACAAAGAAACGAGTGTTTGATCTCAGCAATGAGCTTACCCTCTCAATATCAGACAGGCTAAACAAAACAATCTCTAGAGTTAAAAAACCTTATGTTTCTGACTACCCAAAATTGAATGGGCAAGAGACTCACTTTCATACCAATTTAAACATGCTCAAAATCAAACCTAGCAAAAGATGGAAACAGACCAAATGTTCATCAATAGACGGATAAATTGTGGTCTATCCATACAATGGAATATTATTCAGCCATAAAAGGAGTGAGGTACCGACACATGCTACAAAATGAATGAACTTTGAAAACATATGAAGTCAAAGTCAGAAACAAAAGTTCATATGTTGTATTATATTAAATATCCAGAACAGCCAAACCTACAGAGATAGAACATGCAATAGTGTCTGCCAAGGGCTGGGGAGAGGGGATAGTGGGAAGAAACCGCTCAATGTGAATTTTATCTATATGTTTTGTTTTTGTTTTTGTTTTTCCCTGAGACGGAGTCTTGTTCTGTCACCCAGGCTGGAGTACAGTGGCGCGATCTCGGCTCACTGCAACCTCCGCCTCTCCGCCTCCCAGGTTCAAGCAATTCTCTTGCCTCCGCCTCCCACGTAGGGATTACAGGTGCCTGCCACCATGCCTGGCTAATGGTTTTTGTATTTTTAGTGGAGACGGGGTTTCACTATGTTGGCCAGGCTGGTCTTGAATGCACTTTTAAAATCTCAGAAATATACATTAACAAGCATGGGACATGTCAATGTGGTACCTGCCAAGCCCAGCGATGTTTTCTAGGAGCCCTACTCAGCCAAGTTCAGGCTACTCCTGATGTCCAACACAAGATGCCCTATTCAGAGCATGTGAAAGAATAGAGAAGTGAAAAAAAAAAACAAAAATCAAAGCTAGAATTACCTGTAGATAACACTTTAAATACTGAAAACTAAACTTGAAGCTGGCAAGGCATTCCCAGTCCTCACTGCTCCCTAAAGTGCCACCAACTAATAACCAACAAGAGCTGCTTTAAACTCCCACTGAGTCATGAATGCAGCTAGGAGAGAGGAGGAGTAGTTCCATCTGCCTGTTCTTAAATTCTCCAGTTGTTCAACAGATTTGGTAAGAGCAGGATCAAGAGCAGGAAACTGGCGCCTATGCCATCCTTTTCTCCTTCGTTGCTTCCTAAATACTGTCAATCCAGGAAACACAGCTGGTGATTCAGTAAGAAAATGTCAAAACCCAATTGACATACCTCTACCAACTATGATAAGGCAAGATAATACAGGCACCTCAAATCCTAAGCTTTAGTTTTGGTACATATTCTCAAAGATCAGTGGAAGAAGCTTCTTTGAAAGAAAGAAAATTGAGTTAACTAGGAAATAACTTTGAAATACAGTACATGAAAAGTTTGATGCAATTTACTAGACAGTGAAGAAAACATCAATACATACACAGAATGAAACTTCTTAGTAACTGAGCTGTAGAGTAAGACCTTTAACATATCTTTTAAAAGTACTATATTTATTATGTCATCCTAGCATATAGATCCAAAATCATGTAACAAGCCAAGAATTCTACTAAAAAAGCCTCCATAATGTACTTCAACCTTACCAAATACTCAAAAACTGTGAAAATATATTTACATCAATTGCTCTATCATGTCGAATTTTTCAATTATTACAACCATGAAATCAAGTCTAATTAAATCAATAAGTGGCCTTACCTGTGATTTTTTGCCTGAAAGATCAAGATAAAACAATGAAATTATTTACAAGATCATTTTAATATTCTTCTAGATTTAGTAGCAACAAGAAAAAAATAATCCTTGTAAATTATACTGTGGAGTTCATGCCCTTCAAGCTGCACCCTTGTACTCTTGATACCATTCTCTTCTCTCCCACTTCCTTCACTTCTCAAAACAAGTAAACCAACAAAAGGCCAGACAAAACCAAAATACAAAAGACATTCATTCAATATATATCTACTGATTTCCGTGGCAATACAAACACTGAGCAAAACGAATACTTCCTATTCTTCAGGTCCAAAGAAGTAAAACTTTTGATCCTAATTTAAGAAGTACATGATTCTCTTCTCCCCACCTCAAAAGAGTAAATAAAAAAAAAAAAAGTTAACATGGTTAATAATGGCTTTTAAAAATCTGTATTATTTTAGAAAGCATTAGTGAAAATCTGATTTTATAAAGTACTTTTTTGGAGACAGAAATTTGAACAAAAATTAAATTATTTTTAATAAAGTCTGTAGATGAAGGAAGGTTAATTCTGAAACTGTTACTATTCGACTTTTAATGAACAGATTTAATATTTACCAGCATCTCTACTTAACCATGTTATTACTCAAAATGACAAAATGTGTACTATTTAGCTTCAGCTTCTTTCTTCTTCTTGGCCTTTTAAAGGACCATTTTTCAGTGTTTTGCTAGTGCAGTCAATGAGCAAGCAACTGAGCCTAAACACAGTGCAGAACTCCCAAATAACCACACACAATCAAGTTACTAGGAAAACAAGTATTACAAGAACCAGGCACGGACTTTGTAAAAACTCATCACCTGAAAAGGTTACATAGGATAAATATAATCTTGACTCAATCAAGTTACTATATTGAAAAGTGCTTCATAAAAATAATCTAGTTACAGTATTCCCGCATGATTCTTCTAGTAATTCAGTACCTGTTACGACAGTGAAGTAACCTGCTGATGCTGTGTGGCTCAGTCTAGTCAAATATTATCAGCCTACTGAAATGTGACTCATTTATATAGTATTGAGATAGAACAGTAAAGCTTCAGGAAAAGTCTAAGTCAAATAACACAGAAATCTTAAAGGACATTCCCCAAAGAGACTGTCTCCTGCTTTAGAGAACTACCCTATTTCTCACCCAATAACGAAATAAACCAATTAAAAATATACACGATCTTTTCTTAACTACACAAGACATTTCTTTAAAAAAAAAAGAAATATTTCCCTTGAGATTACTTACAAGACATTAAACATAAATCAGATCTCCAAACACAAAACATAGCAGCTAAAAATAGTATATCTGTTTCAAAGGCTGAGGCAGAAGCCCTCCAACCGAAAAAACTAAAATTAGGTTTTTTCCATCTCTAGATCTTTAAAATGAACCTTCAGCATTTATGAGGTACACAAATCAGTGTCCACATATTCTCCCAAACTAGCTGGTCAGAGAAAACCTAATTACTAAAATCTTCAGAAATACAAACCCACCGTCCTCCAAGAGACTCATGTAATGAAATTCCTCTTCATTCTGGCTAATAACCAGACTAAAAAACAATACTACTACTAATAAAGACCTTTCTCCAATTAATTTATTCCGTAAAACTCAAACCCACCGAAAAAGACCACCATACTCTTTTTCAGGAAGCAGAGATAAAAGCCTTGTACAAAAGCTGTCAGGTGGGCAGGCAGGTAGGGCTCCATCTAGGAGACCAAGAATCCGAGCCCGGAGTGGGAGGACGTGGTCACACCGGAGGGTAGAGGAGGGGATCCAGACCTAAGCGCGGCCCCACCCACAGAGATAGCTATGAGCAGAGCTAGGAGGGCAACTCTCTAACCCTAAGCTCTGCCCAGACCCGTGCCCGGTTCCGCGCTCCCAGCCTCGCTCCTACCCCCAGCCCTGTGGAGGGTCCGAGCATCGCTACCCTGGCACCTGCTCAAACCCGTGTCTGGGAGGAGGGGAGGCTGGGGCCACTGACAGGGCCTGCGGGCCTGACCTCGCCGCCGCCTCTGGCGGACTTGAGGGTCGACAGGAGCCCCGCGCCCGCCCGCTCAGCCACCCGCCCTCCAGTCAGGGCAGGAGCCGGCCAGCGAAGCCGAGGCGTCCGCTCGGGCCCCGAGCGCCGCAGCGGCGGGAAGGTCACCGGTCGCAAGAGGCCCCGACCGTGGGCAGCGACGACGTCCAAGCTACCTTTGGCCTCGCAGTCGGCGCAGTACTTGTTGTCCTCCTCCCTCAGAAGCTTGGATAGGATGAGCTGGTGCTGCTCGTTCAGCTTCTGAGCCTTCTCCCGACAGGAGCGCGTCGCCATCTCGGCAGCGGGGCGGGGAGCCTGGGGCAGCTACGGCGGCGGCGGACGCTGGCTGGAGCCGGGCAGAGTGAACGCACCTGGCGCCGCCGGGACCGCGGGCGGACTCAGCCCAGGAAGCGGCAGCGGCAGCTGGAACGGGAGGAGGGGCGGCGGCGGCGGTGGCGGTGGTAGCGCCGACGTGTCCCGCCTCCTTGACCGGCCTGCCGGCACGCACCACCCTAGCCGGCGAGGGGAGGGGGAGGGGGACTGGGTCGCGCCGAGGCTTCCGGGTGGCGCGGAGGAAGGAACCCGGGCGCCGAGCGCGCTGCGCATGCGCCGAACCTACGGGGCCCGGGCTGCCGAGTCTTTTTGCAAAAAGGCCTTCTGCCCAAGGTGATTCCCGAAAGGTAGCTGGCACTGCCTCATACGAGCTTTCCCCCCTTTTGAGATGTGATGGTCCGCAAGGGCCTCTAGTAAAACCCAGTAATGGAAGACCTTTTACAAGAAGCCTACTTTGACTTGCCCATTTGCCTTTGCTCTTGCTGGCACAACATTGGAAATGCAGAAATAACTAGCGACTGGGTGGGTTCATTTACTCATTCGAGGTTTATTCGCCTGCAGTTTAGAAGCTGGAGACACGGATGGAAGAAAAGAGGAAAAACGGTCTCTTACATTTTAAGGGCGAGAAATAATCTAGTAGTGACATGTATTAGGGGATAACATTTCATTGAGTGATTACTCTGTTAAACGAACTGTTAGCTCATTTAACCCTTTCCCCAACCTTATGATATTGTTATCCTCATTACACAGGGGAGGAAAGTGAGGCATAGAGGAGTTAAGTAACCTGACCAGATTACAGAACTACTAGTGGAGGAGTTGAGATTTAAATCCAAAGCAGTCTGGCTCCAGAGTCTGAAAGACCTGGCAGTAAGCCCTTCCATAAGGGGGAAAGTGTGACCAGGAACCCAAGTACTAGGCGGTGATACTTTAACAAGAAGCTGTGTAAATAGTGATCCTTAATGCAAGAGAAAGAGAACTAAAGAAAACACTTTTCATTGGAACCCAGACCCTAATCCAGGCTCATGAAGTTTGAACTCCGGGTGACGCAGTTTCGATGATTTGGCATGTTGTATATTATGAGGAAGTTCTAATATGGGGCTTATGCAAGCCAAATAAACACAGTCCTTGCCTGCGATGAAGCAGATGCTAAGAAAGGCAATGAGCAAGAGTCGGTCTTACACTTCTTAGTAAGGCCAATTTCTAGCCCCTGTCCCTGCATAAAAGTGACCCTCATTGCTACCTAGCCCTGTTCTTGGCACAGGGGCTCAAAAATGTTTCTGGAATTAAATTGAATGGATATGGCAATGAAGATGCTCAGTAATTAAACAAATTAGAGCTTATACTACATAGCTCTGACAAATAACTACTAGGGAGATATTGGTGAGTTCCAATGAACAGAAAAAAACATTATGTGGGAGGTAGAACTTACGAGCCTTGTCCTGAAGATACGCTGGATTTAGATGGGGACTGGGGAGGGAGATATTAAGAAAGAGCAGCTTGCACAAAAGCATGAAGACCTGAAGTACCTTGGAAAACAGACTGGAACAAAAGGTACTACTTTTGAGATAAGGCTGCATAAGTAAACTATGATAGGGTTATGGAAGACTTGGGAAGCCAGACAAAGTAGTCTGGCCTTGATGCAAATTGACAGTAGAAAACCTGTAGATTTTTGCCAGGCACAGTGGCTCACGCCTGTAATCCCAGCACTTTGGGAGGCCGAGGCAGGCGGATCACCTGAGGTGGGGAGTTCGAGACCATCCTGACCAACATGGAGAAACCCTGTCTCTACTGATAATACAAAATTAGCCGGGTGTAGTGGCGCATGCCTGTTTAATCCCAGCTACTCAGGAGACTGAGGCAGGAGAATCGCTTGAACCCGGGAGGCAGAGGTTGCAGTGAGCGGAGATCAGGCCATTGCACTCCAGCCTGGGCAACAAGAGCAAAACTCCTTCCCCACCCACCCCCCCCCCAAAAAAAGAAAAAGAAAACCTGTAGATTCTTCAAGTAGGATAATAGCATAATAAAAAGGATCTTTTGGGAAAGTTAGTCCTGCAGTAACCAGTAAACAAACACCATTTTTTGAGTACCTCTCCTCCCTACAAAAATTCTGTTCAGCACTGTGAGGACTCAGAAAAACAGAATACAGGTTTACCACCAAAAAACAACCTTCAGGATGGATTGAAGGGTCACAGCAATGTCCAGTACAAATACTTGCGTGCCACACGTATAACTTTAAATAATGCAGTAGCCACATTTAAAAACAGAAAAAGAAACATAAAATACATTTTACTAATACATTTGATTTAACTCAATGTATCCAAAATATTTTTGAGATGTAATATAAAACATGGCATATTTTCTTTCCATTCTTGTTTTCATATTCTCTTCAAAATGCTGTATAACACAGCTCATTTCATTTTGGAGTGGCTGAATTTATTTTTTAATAAAGAAATTATCAAAAAATTGAGCCTAGGAGTTCGAGACCCTGCTGGTCCATGGGGTCTCACTATGTGGGCCAGCATGGTCTTGAACTCCTAGCCTCAAGCTATCCTCCCACCTTGGCCTCCCAAAGTGCTGGGATTACAGGTGTGAGGCACTGCGCCCAGCCTGGAGTAGATGAATTTCAAATGTTCAGCAGCCACATGTGACTAGTGGATACATTATTGAATAGTGTGGTTCTAGATGGTCAGCTTAGAGGCTATTAAAATATAAATTTGAGTTGATTGTATTTTAAGACTATAGTAGGAAGAAAGAGACTGGTCCCCAAAACATCCTGGGAAGAAAACAACATTGCATTTATTCACCAGTATTTATCAAACAACTTCTATCTAGTACACTAATAATCAGAAGCTTACAGTCTACTATGAGCTACAAATATGTAAATAGAAAAGGACTACACTGTAAAGTTTATAGCAATTATAAAGTGTTCTCGGAGCAAAAGGAACAGAACATCCAGTAGCCTGGGAAAATCTGGGAAAGTTTCACGGAGGAGGTGATGCTTAAACTTGGCTTTTAACAGATGGGGGAATTTTTCAAGTGAATGGGGGTGGAGCGGAGAGAAAGGAATTGCTTTAAAAAACACGTATGGACTTCTGAAAGTTCAGGGTTATATGCTAGACATAGTGAGGATATGAGGCCCAAGAAACCTAGAATGTGTTTGGAGAACATGAAGGTAGGAAAGGAAACAAGATGGAGAGGTAGATTGCCACCAGAGGGTTAAGAGCTTTGTAGCCAAGCAACAGAGTTTGAACCTCATGGGTTTATAGAACCAATAGAAGCTTTTACACGGAAAAATGGCTTGATAAGCTTTCTTCTCAGTAACTCTCCATACAGTGGCAGTATGGAGAACATGGTGGGGAAAAACTTATCAAGGGAACAGATTACAGGCCTGTCTCAATAATAGTCCAAAGAAGATATGATGAAGGCCTATTTTAAGCAAGTAGCGTAGGGTTTGGGAGAGACAGAATCAAATGATGGTTTAAAATTAGAAGCAGCAAGATTTGGCAGCTGACTGTATGTGGAGGGCAAGAGAAAGAAGGTGAGAATAACATCAAGCTTTCTAAGTTGGGAGAAAGGTAAATGGTAATGCCGTTAACCCAGATCAAGAATAGAAGAGGTAGGCCTCTAGGTCCAGCAGTCACAGGGCTGAGCCAGCAGCACTAATCCTCCCAGTTCTCCATGTGCTCAGCTTCCTGCTCTGCAACCATGACACAACAGGCGATCTCCTTTGCCAAGGACCATCTGGCTGGTGGCATTGCTGCTGCTGTCGCCAAGATAGTTGTGGCCCTGATTGAGCAGGTGAAGCTGCTGTAGCAGATGCAAGGCGCTAGGAAGCAGGTGACAGCTGACAGCAGTGCACAGGAATTGTGGACTACTTTCTTAAGCAAGCCCTCAACATCACATTCAAGGATAAGCAGACACAGCTATTCCTGGGAGTATGGATGAACACACACAGTTCTAGAGCTGTTTTGCCCACAATCTGGCCTCCAACAAGGCGGCCAGAGCCACCTGTCTCTGTTTTGTGTACTTGCTGGGTTTTGCCAGAACCCATCTGGTGGTCAATGTTGGGAAATCGTACACAGAGCTGGGATTCAGGTTCAAAGACCTAGGAGACTGTCTGGTGAAGATAAGTAAGTCTGATGGGATCTGGGGCCTGTACCAGGGCTTCAGCATCTCTGTGCAGGGCATCATCCTTTTCTGGGCAGCCTGAAGGCCTAAGGCATGCTCCCTGACTCCAAGACCACCACATCATGGTGAGCCAGATGATTGCCCAGACTGTGGTGGTGCGGCCAACATGACCTTCTACCCATTGGGCCCTGTGCAGACCCAAAGGAGCCAACATACTGCACATGGGAACCCTCAATTGCTGGAGGAAGATTTTTAAGGAGGAAAAGGGAAAGCCTTCTTCAAGAGTGCATGGTCTAATGTTCTCAGAGATATGGGAGGAGCTTTTAGGCCTGTCCTGTATGTGGAATTGAAGAAGAGTAAGTGTGTTTCCTCACTAGAAATGAAAACCAAGAGAATCATGTAGCATACTTAACTGTTATGGACCACTGACCTTTGAGAAATTTCATTTTCTTGGTCCTGGCCATAGTACCTCTGTAGAGGACTAGAGAAGGCTTTAGAAAAGGGGTTCACCATGATCATATTCAACCATTGGCACCCTGAATCCACGCATTGATTACTGGCGATAATTATGACATCACCATGGGTCAACAAACAAGGCAGCTCCTTCAAACAGACCTGTAGTCCAGGCACTTGTAGAACCCAAGTTGTGTTTAAATATTTATTTATTTATTTTGTATTTATTTATTTTAGTTTTTATTTTTTTGAGATGGAGTTTCACTCTTGTTGCCCAGGCTGGAGTGCAACGGCACAATCTTGGTTTACTGCAACCTCTGCCTCCCAGGTTCGAGCGATTCTCCTGCTTCAGCCTCCCTAGTAGCTGGGATTACAGGCACCTGCCTCCATACCCAGCTAATTTTTTGTATTTTTAGTAGAGATGGGGTTTCACTATGTCGGCCAGGTTGGTCTCGAACTCCTGACCTCAGGTGATCCACCCGCCTCAGCTTCCCAAAGTGCTGGGATTACAGATGTGAGCCACCATGCCTGGCAAATATTTATTTTTTAAAAAGTCATGTCTCCCATTTGTATTTGAGCACTATCTCCTCTTTTGCATAGCCAAATATTTGCAATCATGTTGTATGTTGGGCATTCTTCTGCAAAACAGTAAAAAGAGGACACTGAAAAAACAAGAAAGAACAAAAGAGATAGTCCAGATTTGGGGTCGGGGAGAAGCAGCATTTGCTTGGGGACATGTTAAGTTTAAGATGTGCCTAGGACATCCAGCTTCATGTGTCTAATGAGATATTGTATATTGACTTCTAGAACTCTGGAGAGGAGTTACTGCTGGTAAAAGTCATTTGGGAATTATTTGCATTTAAAGGGTCATAGAAGCTGTAAAGATGGATGACATTCCCCCGGAGAAAGCACATAGACAAAGGAGAGGAGAGACCTAAAGACAAAATTCTGGGGATTGCCTACTAAATGAAGAGTGGACAGAGAAAGGTGAACCATTGAAAACAGTGGAGAACCAGAAGCCAGGGAAGGAACAGTTTTGAAGAAGAAAGGGTGAACACCAACCAATGCCAACTATTCCAGAAAAGTCAATTATTTCCATTTTAGACAGTACATACAGCATGTGGTCATGGGTCTGCACAGTTCATTGTTTTCTTTCATAGCTCAAGAACAAGAGAAGATAAATCATCTGATGAGACTTCCAAAGCCTGTGATTGTCTGGAGGGTTCCATGAAATATTGAGGGAGGGATGGGGACGGTTAGAAGGGAAAAAAGAAAAAAGGTACAAGGATAGGAAGCAGTGCTAGAGTTAACTATTGAGTGTAAAGTAAGGAAAGTGTCCAAAGTGTGTGTGAGAAGTGAAGTAGGAGCAAGCAATGATTATAGGTTTCTTTGAGGCCAGAGGTGATGTGGTATGGTTAGGAAAAGGATGCGGACAGCTAAATGAAGAGAAGTGCCTAGTGACACCTCTCAGAGGGGTGTAGTAACTTGTCCTGATGAACTCCTGGAAGTCAAGGTGTCTATGGATGCTTGCTGGATGGGGAGTGAAGTTGAAGGGTCTGTTTTTGCAGATTCTTAGAGAGATGAGGTCACTTTTGACTCTAATTTTTTGTTTCTGGTCAGACGAAAAAGATGAGAAACAGGTTTAGGGAGTTTGACTACAATGGAACCAGGATTCAACAGAGGATATAAGTAAAGAGGGAAAGTGATGGAGTAGGAAAATGAAGGAAAAAATTTAGGTCAAGTGAAATGGACAAGAATGAGCCAAATATGCGGGTGTAGGTGGAACAACTGGTAAGAGCAGTAGGTATAGACAACTGGGAGGATGAGCATAATAGTAATAAGAACCAGTGTTTTTTAATCTCCCACTGTGGAATAATGTAATCAATCTTATTATACTATTTTTCACATCAGGAAACATCAGCCAGGATGAGGTATTTCATGTTGAGATAACAAATAACTTCAAAATCGTAATGGCTTCAGACAATAGAATTTTCTTCTTGGTCATGCTACATGAGCATTGGGCTCATAGGGATTCTACCCTATGTTGTCGTCACTCTGGTACCAGGCTGATAAAGTCTCTATCACTTTTCAGGGAAAAGGCAGGAAGATGACTTTTAAAGGTCTCTCCCCAGGAATAATACATATCCACTTCCACTTTTAAGCCATTGGCCAAAGCAAATGCATGAACCCTCCTAATGTCAAGGGAACCAGAAGTGCAATCCTACCATTTACCTAGAAGGAGAAACCGAAATATCACTGAACAGCACAGAAACTGTGGCCCAGAGATGTTAAGTACTTGGTTGAAAGTTATCGATATCTTGGTTATCAATCAAGTATCTTGGTTGAAAGCCTAGATATTAAGTAGCAAAACTGGCTTTCGAGGTTATGTCTTGTTGGCACTGAGGCCCTGGTTTTTTATAAGCTATGCTGTCCCTTGAGATGGAAAACAGAGTAGAACAATTTAGACCCATCAATAACAAGAGTTAAAGAGAGATCAAGTGTATTGAGTCAAGAGGAACACATATGTATTGAGGAAAGAGGAACATTTATTATGGAGATAGGTAAACAAACATCATATACACACCCACAAAAAGAGGAAACCCAGGAAAGACCCTAGATTTTTTGTTTGTTTTGCCTTTAAAAGTTACATCAGGGGGCCGGGCGCAGTGACTCACACCTGTAATCCCAGCACTTTGGGAGGCCGAGGTGGGTGGATTATGAGGTCAAGAGATTGAGACAATCCTGGCCAACATGGTGAAACCCCGTCTCGACTAAAAATACAGAAATTAGCCAGGCATGGTGGTGCATACCTGTAGTCTCAGCTACTCAGGAGGCTGAGGGAGGAGAATGGCGTGAACCCGGGAGGTGGAGATTGCAGTGAGCCGAGATCACACCACTGCACTTCAGCCTGGCAACAGAGTGAGACTCCGTCTCAAAAAAAAAAAAAAAAAAAAGTTAACATCAGGGAACCTTAGTGTGTTTGTGATTCCTAAAAACTTAGCCCAACTGGTGTACTCTTTTAATTTATGCTCAGATACCAAGGAACTCTCCTCAGTGTGGGGAGAGGGAGGTCTCTGTTGAAAATTTGCTACTTCCACACAATTCTTCCCCACCTTCCTTTGGAATTATTTCCAAATGTAATTTTTTTTATTTTATTATTATTATACTTTAAGTTTTAGGGTACATGTGCACAATGTGCAGGTTACTTACATATGTATACATGTGCCATGCTGGTGTGTTGCACCCATTAACTCGCCATTTCCAAATGTAATTACACACAACCTCCCACTGCCAGGAAAATATAATTTCCAAAATCCCAATTTCTCAGCTTTTTACCCTCCAGTACAGAGACACTGAAATTTTTTGAGTGCTCATATGGGCAACTAGTATCCCCAGTCGCAAAAAAAAAGCTTGATACAAGGAGTCAGAAGAACATATTCAACCCCTGCAGTCCTGCGAGGGAGAGAGGAAAACCAACTTACACATATATTTGAAGGCAGATGCCTGATGGAACCATTAGAGGGGTATCTAGGCCTCAAGTTTGGCTATGGGAACTCTAACCATTCTTTGAAGCATTTTGTTGAAGCAGAATTAAACAACTCAGAAAATTTTCCTGAACTGCCCTTCTTATTATCCTCCACAGTCCTGACCCCACCAGCCTTTTTTTTTTTTTTTTTTTTTGAGACAGGGTTTCACTCTTGTCGCCCAGGATGGAGTGCAATGACATGATCTCAGCTCACTGCAATCTCTGCCTCCTGGGTTCAACCAATTGTCCTGCCTCAGCCTTTGAGTAGCTGGGATTACAGGTGCGCACCACCATGCCTGCATAATTTCTATATTTTTTAGTAGAGACGGGGTTTCACCAAGTTGGCCATTCTGGTCTCAAACTCCTGACCTCAGGTGATCCACCCACCTTGGCCTCCCAAAGTGCTGGGAATATAGGCGTGAGCCATCACACATGGCCCCCCACCAGTCTTTTGACAGGAAAATTGACGGCTCTCCCTGTTCATCTAGTCATCCATTCAACAATATATTTTTGGCCGGGTGTGGTGGTTCACACCTGTAATCCCAGCACTTTGGGAGGCCAAGGCAGGTGGATCACAAGGTCAGGAGGTTGAGACCATCCTGGCTAACACGGTGAAACCCCGTCTCTACTAAAAAAATGTTTAAAAAATTAGCCAGGCATGGTGGCGGCCGCCTATAGTCCCAGCTACTCAGGAGGCTGAGGCAGGAGAATGGTGTGAACCCAGGAGGCGGAGCTTGCAGTAAGGCGAGATCGCACCACTGCACTCCAGCCTGGGCGACAGAGTGAGACTCTGTCTCAAAAAACAACAACTACAATATATTTTTTAGTTATTTCTATGCTTCGAGCACTGTGATAGGTACTAGGGATAAAACTTAGTAAATAAAACAGTCATACCCTGATCCCTCACTCCTAAAGTAGTTTATTGTCCATATTTTATAGTGAGGATCAGCTTCCCTCACTGTCACCTTAGAGATCTCCAGAGCCTATACCACTAATGCACATGGCAAGCCCTTAATAAATGTTTGCTGAATGAATGAGCAAATGAAGTTCAATATAGGTGCTCGCATGTGAAAACATTTAACTTTGATAAGCAGATTGAAGAAACATAACTTTTTAAGCATTTTTTTTCTAAATTAGAGATAAGGTCTTGCTCTGTCACCCAGGACGGAGTGCAGTGGTACCATCATAACTCACTGCAGCTTCTAACTCCTGGACTTAAGGAATCCTGCTGCCTCAGCCTCCTGAGTAGCTAGGCTATAGGCACATACCACCACACTCAACTAATTTAAAAAAAAAATTTGTAGAGATGGGGGTCTCACTATGTTGGCCAGGCTTGTCTCAAACTCTTGGCTTCAAGGGATCCTCCTGCCTTGACTTCCTGAAGTGCTGGGATTACAGATGTAAGCCACTGAGACTTAAGTGACGTTTTTTAAAAAAAGGGACCCTAATGCACAAAAATCCTGTTTATGTCACTCCCAATTCACTTCCAATCTTGGTCAAGTTATATTTTATTTCATGTTTCTGCCTTTTCCCCACTTAAGATTAGATTTCACAGAGTTTCTGCATCTCAATTTTGAAAGATAAATTCTAAGTAATCAGAAATACACTGTCAACTTCAAGAGCTAAAACAGTAACAACAAAACTGATCTGGGATGAAAGTTAATCAGGTAGACTCGGCTTTCACAAATCTAAACTTGGCAGTAATTTAACTTAAGCCTGGTTATTTGAAGGGAAGATAAGTGAATAAGCAATTTCATCCTACTTAAGATAAAAGACATGAACACAAGTTGGAAGATGTATGTTCTGCCTTTTTAAGGGTATAATAAACATCTATTGTTTTTGTCTGCCCAGAGTCCCTCCTCCCTTCTTCTAGCAGCACTGCCCCAATTTTACTTTGGGGAACTATTCCTCTTCCCTACTGAATACAGTTTCGAGGGCATGACTGTCAACCAAGGTCTCTGTACTAGGCATGTGACCAAATTAGGCCATACAGTGATTAAATTAGGCCATGCAGGTACTTTCCTCTTGCAAGTCGAGTTTAAGGGGATTAACCCAAAGACAGAAACAGTTGGAGATCATTCATCCCTATAGACGTCAGTTCATCTGTTTCATCCTGCTCTCTTGATCTTCACAGCTACTGTAGCTCCTGTTTTTTCTGAAGACTTAACTTTTTAGCTTTCCTTCAGATTCTTTGACTACCACCCATAAGTCTTCCAATGCATTCCTCTTTTGCTTGTTAAATTTTAAAAGTCATAGAACAGATTTATGTAGAGCACCAACATTATTGATAGTGAGCCATGCACCATTTGATGAAAGTAGAGGGGAATGTGCTATGGTCTGAATGTTTGTGTCCCCCTAGATTTTCATGTTGGAACATAACCCCCAATCTGATAGATGTGGAGCCTTTGAAGGTGATTAAGTCATCTGGACAGAGTCCTAATTAATGGTATTAGTGCCCTTCTAAAAGAGGCCCAAGGCCGGGCTCAGTGACTCACTCCTATAATCCCAGCACTTTGGGAGGCTCAGGTGGGTGGATCACCTGAGGTCAGGAGTTCGAGACCAGCCTGGCCAAAATGGTGAAACCCTGTCTCTACTAAAAATACGAAAATTAGCTGGGCATGGTGGTGAGCGCCTGTAATCCCAGCTACTTGGGAGGCTGAGGCAGGAGAATCGCTTGAACCCAGGAAGTGGAGGTTGCAGTGAGCTGAGATCACACCATTGCACTCCAGCTTAGGCAACAAGAGTGAGATTCTGTCTCAAAAAAATAATAAAAAATATAAAAATAAAAGAGGCCCAAGGGAGCTTGTTGAGCCCTTCCACCAACTGAGCAAGCAATAAGAAGGCCTCATCTATGAACCAGGGAATAGCTCCTCACTAGATACCAAATCTGCAGGTGCTTTGGTCTTGGTCTTCCCAGCCTCTAGAACTGTGAGCAATAAATTTTTGCTCTTTGTATGCCACCAAGTCTAAGATAGTTTGTTATAGATGCTCAAATGGACTAAGACAGCATGCTCTTTAAAAAGTTAGCTTCTTTTTCTGGTCTTTAAAGGAACTCATTTCTAGGCCTTTCTTCTAGGCCTTTGCAATTTGGTAACTTTGCTGGAATGAAACATTTTACACATGAAATTTTCCACCATTTTTCATTCTTGACCTTCTTACCAAAATAGTGTATATCATCTCAGTGATTCCAAACTAAAAGTAGCATAATTTTAGGAGCAAGACGGAAAGGAAATAGGCATAGGTTTATTTTAAATTGTTTAAAAATGTTATTTATTCATTTCCACCTTAGAATAGGCAGAGATTTTTTTAGGACACAAGATGCACTGACCATAAAAGAAAAAAAATTGAAATCAGACTTTATTAAAATTTAAAATTTCTGCTCTTCAAAAGACACCATTGAGAAAAAGGCAAAAGTCAGGCTATAGATTTGGAGAAAATATTTGTAATATGTGATAAATACAAAGGACTTATTTAGAGAATATATAAGGAGCACCTGCAAGTCAATAATAAAAAGGCAACCCATTAAAATGGCAAAAGACTTAAAGAGATATCTCAAAAAGATACATGAAGAACCAGTAAGCTCCTGAGACATCATTAGTAATTAGGGAATTGTACAATAAAAACTAATGAAATGCCACTTTATACCTACTAGAATGACTAAAATAAAATGAATGATAATATCAAATGGTAAGTAGGTAGTGAGGCAACTAGTATTCTCATTGCTGTTGGGAGCATAAAATTTTATAACCAGTTTGTCAGTTAAAGTTAAACATATACTTCTCCTGTGACCCAGAAATTCCACTCTGAGAAATGAAAAAAATATATTCATAAAAAGACTTATATAAGAATGTTGATAATAGCTTTAGTCACAGTAGTCAAAACCTGTAAACAACTTAAATGTTCATAAACAAGAGAATGGATAAACAAATAATGATATATTTATGCAATAAAATATTACTTATCAATTAAAAAGACAAACTAGGCCAGGCGCAGTGGCTCACGCCTGTAATCCCAACACTTTGGGAGGCCGAGGCAGGCAGATCACCTGAGGTCGGGAGTTCGAGACCAGCCTGACCAACGTGGAGAAACCCTTTCTCTATTAAAATTACAAAATTAGTTTCTGTATTGGGGAGAGGGGTTGGAAACACATAATATTTATGTTCAAGGAAGTAACAAAAGACTTGTATTGATACTGAGACCACAAAGGGCTGCATGGTACAAGGCCAGGCTGGGGAGGTAAGCAGAGATCAAACCATACAGGGCTTTTCAGTGGTCATAAAAGCCCACCACTCAGCTCTTCTGCCACAGGGGAGCACAGGCAACTGACAGTCTGAGCCACTGCTCTCCTGAATCCGCCACTGTGTTCGCACCAAGGCCATGCTTCCCCTGGGCTGCTCCCAGCCAATAACGAGCATGCACTGGTAGGGAGGGTGAGGGAAGGCAACTGATATAAGACAAGAGACTCCTTTAACAGGCAATGTTGCCTCAAAGACCCCTGCTGACCTGGCCAAAACTTTCTCAGAACTTTGCTGCCTCTTCCTACCCAATCTGAGCCTCTTCCTACCCAAATCCTCCTTCCTGCCCCGTCTCTTCCACAGGTGTTAGACCTGCCTCACAGTCTGAAAGTTCTTCTGCATTCTCTTTCTCCTGTTTATTTTTATAGACATCCCCCCTAATAAACATCTTTCAGGTCTAATCCCATCTTAGCATCTGCTTCTTGGAGAACTTGAATTAACACAGCTTTGTTAAATAAGATAAATTGCAATTAGGGAATTACCTTTATACCAAGAGTAATAGGAAGTTATTGGAGTATTATGAACTCTGACTGACATGATCAGATTTATGTTTTGAGGGAAAAAAAAAAACCTTCTTGGCAGCAGTGTAGGGAAAAGACTGGATGTAGGCAAGAGCAGATGCAGGGAGACCAGTTAAGTGCCTTTGGCAGTGGTCTAGAAGAGATGACAATAGTTGGATTAGGATGGTGGGGTTTTTTTTTATTTTTTATTTTTTTGAGATGGAGTCTCACTCTGTTGCCCAGGCTGGAGTACAGTGGCATGATCTCGGCTCACTGCAGCCTCTGCCTCCCAAGTTCAAGCGATTCTCCTGCCTCAGCCTCCTGAGTAGCTGGGATTACAGGCATGTGCCACCACTCCCAGCTAATTTTTGTATTTTAGTAGAGATGGGGTTTCACCATGTTGAACAGGCTGGTCTTGAACTCCTGACCTCAGGTGATCTGCCCACTTCGGCCTCCCAAAGTGCTGGAATTACAGCCATGAGCCACCTCGCCCAGCCAGGATGGTGGTTATAGAGATAGTAAGAAGTAGGTGAATTTGAGAAATTTAACAAGATAAAATCAACAAGTCTTGGTAATGGACAATAGAGGCAGTAAGGGAGAAGGAGGTATCAAGACTGACTCTGAAGTTTCTGCCTATGCAGCTTAGGTGGATGGTGCCATTCACTGAGCAGGGCAACACCCAGAGGTATGTTCTAGGGTGATCACAAGTCTGAAGTGCCTTTGAAATATACAAATAGAGCCCGACACAGTGGCTCAAGCCTGTAATCTCAGCACTTTGGGAGGCCAAGGCAGGTGGATTGCTTGAGTCCAGGAGTTTGAGACCAGCCTGGCCAATATGGCAAAACCCCATCTCTACTAAAAATACAAAAAATTAGCCGGGTATGGTGGCGTGCACCTATAGTCCCAGCTACTCAGGAGGCTGAGGTAGGAGAATCACCTGAGCCCAGGAAGTCGAGGCTGCAGTGAACCAAGATCGCATCACTGCACTCCAGCGTGGGCAACTGAAGTGAGACCCTGTCTTCAAAAAAAAAAAAAAAAAAAAAGCTGTCAGGCAGACAGTTGGATATCTGAGTCTGGAGCTCAGAGAAGAGGTCTGGGCTGGAAGTATACATTAGTGATTGAAAGTATAAACATGGCTGGGCACGGTGGCTCACACCTGTAATCCTAGTACTTTGGGAGGCCAAGGCGGGCAGATCACCTGAGGTCAGGGGTTCAAGACCAGCCTGGCCAACATGGAGAAACCCTGTCTCTACTAAAAATATAAAAATTAGCCGGGCATGGTGACACGGGCTTGTAATACCAGCTACTCGGGAGGGTGAGGAAGGAGAATCGCTTGAACCTGGGAGGCGGAGGTTGCAGTGAGCCAAGATCACACCATTGCACTCCAGCCTGGGGGACAAGAGCAAGACTTCTTCTCAAAAACAAAAAAAAAGGAAAGAAAGTATAACATGGTAATACATACATATATTTTTTTGAGATGGAGTCTCACTCTGTTACCAGGCCAGGCTGGAGTACAGTGGCGCAATCTTGGCTCCCTACAACCTCCGGCTCCCAGGTTCAAGTGATTTTCCTGCCTTACCCTCCCGAGTAGCTGGGACTATAGGCATGTGCCACCACACCTGGCTAATTTTTGTATTTTTAGTAGAGACGGGGTTTCACTATGTTGCCCAGGATGGTCTCGATCTCTTGACCTCGTGATCTGCCATCCTTGGCCTCCCAAAGTGCTGGGATTACAGGCGTGAGCTACAGCACCTGGCCTAAACATGGTAATATATTATCACACTAAAGAAGCTATGGAA
The DNA here is from genome assembly GCF_000001405.40 of Homo sapiens. Classification (NCBI taxonomy): domain Eukaryota; kingdom Metazoa; phylum Chordata; class Mammalia; order Primates; family Hominidae; genus Homo; species Homo sapiens. Next base: position 70,653,283 of record NC_000006.12, on the reverse strand, counting down.
GTAGAATAAATCACATGAGAAGGAATAACTGAGTAAAAACAGAAGATGGCCTTGGATTGAGCTTTGAGGAGCATCAATATTTATTATTAATATAAGCCAAGCATGATGAACCTGCACAGGTGTCTGAAAAGGAGCCCTCAGAGAGACAGGTGAAAATCTTTCATATTAAAATTTGTATCATTTATTTACTATTACATAACAAACCACTTAGTAGCTTAAAACTACAACTTAGGCCAGGCTTGGGAGGTAAGCAGAGATCAACCTTAGTAGCTTAAAACAATGACTATTTTACTGCTCAGAATTCCATAGGTCAACAATTATGGCTGGTCTTAGCTAGAAATTCGGTTGTCTCACCTGAAGTCACTTATGTGATTTTAATTTTCTGGTGACTCAACTGGGCTGGCTGGTTCCTGATGGCCTCCAAGCCTGGATGATTGGAATGACTGGCACAGCCAGGCCCCTCTCTTCATTTTGTTTTCTCTCTCCCCAAGGAGACTAGCCTAAGCTTGCTCACACAGCAAAAGCACCATTACAAAAGACAAGGCCAGGCTCAGTAGCTCATGCCTGTAATCCCAGCACTTTGGGAGGCTGAGGCAGGTGGATCACCTGAGGTCGGGGGTTTGAGACCAACATGGAGAAACCCCACCTCCACTAAAAATACAAAATTAGCTGGGCATGATGGCACATGCCTGTAATCCTAGCAATTCAGGAGGCTGAGGCAGGAGAATCACTTGAACCTGGAAGGCAGAGGTTGCAGTGAGCCGAGATCACACCTCCATTGCACTCAAGCCTGGGCAACAAGAGCAAAACTCCATCTGAAAAAAAAAAAAAAAAGACAAAGCCCAATGCACTAAAGGTCATATTGGCTAATATCCTATTGACCAAAGCAAGTCACATGTCCAAGCTCAGAGTAAACTTGGGAGGCAATGATATAAAAGCAGGGAGCATGGGACAAGTGATTCCTTGGGAGTCATGAAAAGTAAGAAACCACCATGGCAATTATGAATCTACAATGATTTGTTTCCCATCAAGTCTAATCTAAATTACTTTTCACCATGGAATACTACTCAGTGTTCTATCAAGCTAGTTCTTTCCTTATGCTTCATTCTTGCTGTGACCTCTACTTGAGATTCCTTCTCCATGTCCCAGCCTTCTCCATCTGGTGAATTTTACCCATTTTTTAAAGCTCACCTCATCTTCCACATTTTTGTTCATTTTACTTTGTCATCCTAGAACACCACCCCCTACTCTGCTCCCCAGTCCTAAGGCTATGCCAACATCTGACCGATTCTAATCTCAACTTCCCCATGAAGACTTCTGAAATGGCTCCAGCCTTCATGGATCTGCCTTGTCTATATAATGATCTAATAATTATACCAAACAATTTTGAACTTAATTATGTGTACTTTGTACTTTATGTAATTATGTATATTTTGTATTGTTGGCTTTAAATATACCTCTTTTCTACTAATGGATTGCAAATGTCTTGATGAAAAAAACTGTGTCCAATACTTCTTTAACATAATGGCATATAAAGATGAACAGTGTTCTCAAGAATGTTACTGTCCAACAGGGGAGACCTGCCCCACCCCCAAGTAAACAGGTGATTTTAATAGAGTACAGGTGCTATTTCAAGCATAAGTGCAGGATGCTGTGGGAAAACGGTGAACAGGTTCTAAATTTGTTGCTGTTGCTAGTATCTTTGGAGTTTTTTGGTTTGTTTTTATTTCTTAGTGGGGCAGGATGTGGTCAGGGAAGCTGATCTCTAACCTGAAAGTCCAATGATGGGTTAGCCAAAGGAGGGCGGGGCATGGAGAAGGAGTTTCAGTCTGAGGTTTTACTAAGAATGTAGGTAAAGAGGAAAGAGATATCTCGGTTCTTTAAAAACTGCAAGTACAGGACTTAAAAGCTGGGGAATAGTGAGAGAAGAGCAGTAGTGAGATTGGATGCTAAGGGCTTCAACCCTGGAAACTCCGTCCATGTTTGATATGGTCCGAATTGTCTCTGCAAGACTCATGTTGAAACCTAATCCCCATTGAAGTGATATAGAGTTGGGCCCTTGGGACAGTAATTAAGTCACGAGGGCTCCACCCTTATCAATAGGATAAGGGTAGTAATAAAATTGGCCTAAGGGAGCAGAGAGCCTCTTCGACCATATGAGGACACAGAGAAGGCACCATCTTTGAGGAACAGGCCCTTACTGGACACCGAATCAGCTGATGCCTTGATCTTAGACTTTCCAGCTTCCAGAACTATGAGAAATAAATTTTTATTGTTTATAAATTACCCAGTATAAGGTATTTTTGTTACAGCAGCCCAAATGGAGTAAGACAATGCTTTTTTGTGTTATTCATGATGCTATTTTGGAGGTAAGTATTGGCCCAGTGTCAGTAGGGCATTGAAGGAACCTCCTAATCCAAGGTCGGGATACATGAGAGGGGGTCCTCGTGGTCACGTTTTCTCAACTGCCAGACTCCTGTGCTTTATCCTGTCATTTCTGTACAATACTGAAGGAAAGGCCTGCAGAAAGACTTTAGCTCTAGCCTGTACCTTGAAAAATTAATGAAGACCTCTGTGAAAACAAGAGGTCAGGGTTACTGCTATCTCTTGCCTCAACGTGTAAGATTGTGTGAAATCATGTAGTTGGGTAACAATGATTGCAATAGGCCCAATCTCAGAGAGTGATAAAAAAAAATCCTGGGCCTTGTTCCTACACAGTAGCCACACTATAACACTGTGGTTGGTGAAAAGTAATTTTATAAGCAAGTCACCAAACAAATACTTCTCTCTATGTGATTTTTAAATAAAAATAGCTACGATCCCCAATCAACGTACAATACTAATTAGTCCCTTCTCAAATCTTATAAATGGTTAGTCAACCTCATTTTAGAAAAGGCCAGCTGTTTTGCAAAAAACTCATGAGAAGAAAAAGACAAAAATAAGTTTACTCCACCAAGCTGATTTAATGTGGGCTCCCAGGGAGATGGCAAGCATTTCAGTGATGTATCTAACACAGAATTTTCTTTAGACATTTCTGAAGCTCTAATAAGCCAGATCCTGCTGTGGAAGTAAATTAATCCCAAATACAAGTTAGGCATTTCGCAAAGTGCATTAACTCTTTCAAGTCTCCTGATCACAAAATATCCTGGAATGCCCATTAATAGTGAGATCGAATTGAATAGAGGGCAAGTGAAACATCCCTAGTTACAGTGGTCATTTGGGAAAATCTAAATGTGCTCCCAAACGACCTACTGTGTTTACATTTGAATCATTTGGAGGTGAAAGAAAATAGTTTATTTATCTGTCAGGGATCCTCATTCTGTTTCCAGTCTGAGTTCTCTCTTTCTATTAGTAATTTAGCAAATTATACAATAGCTGAACATTTACCTTGCCTCCCCGCTAAGAAATTATCAGGCATTTTCAACACTGAGGCCATATAACAAAAAATAAATTCATAAAGGTAATTTCCTGTGAGGTTAGCTTTAGTATTTTTTCACCTTTCATGTTCTAATAATAATTTTGTTTATATACAATGGTCGTAGTAACTAAGACTCAAATGGGTCAGTGACTCATCTATGTGTGTTTGTAAAAAAAAAGGGAAAGAGGCAGAAAAGTTGAATATGATTAAGGTTCATTTAATTTCAGTAATATTTCAACTAGAAAGGCGTTCAGTTAGGAATCTGTATGTAGTTATATAAAATCACAAAAAAAGGGCCGGGCGCGGTGGTTCATGCCTGTAATCCCAGCACTTTGGGAGGCTGTGGCGGGTGGATCACCTGAGGTCAGGAGTTTGAGACCAGCCTGGCCAACATGGTGAAACCTCATCTCTACTGAAAATATAAAAATTAGCCGGGCATAGTGGTGCACGCCTGTAATCCCAGCTACTTGGAGGCTGAGGCAGGAGAATTGCTTGAACCTGGGAGGCGGAGGTTGCAGTGGCCAAGATCGCACCACTGCACTCCAGCCTGGGTGACAGAGCGAGACTCTGTCTGAAAAATAAAATAAAATAAAATCACAAAAAAGAAACAACCTAAATGTTCAATAATAGGTAAGAGGAAAAATCACGTATGACAGAGCCCCATAATGGACTATTGTATAAATATTAAAGTGATATTTATGAAGAATTTATATGTCATGTAACTATATGATTACAATTACATTCTAATTAACTGGCAGAGTAAACCTCTGGAAGAAAACATATCAAAATGGTAACAGTAGTAGACTTTGAGAGAAGAACCTTTAATATTTTTCTCTACATAACAAAAATTTCAAAGTTTCAACAAAAAGAATATGGCCAGTTTTATAAATGGAAAAATTCTACTTTTAAAAAAAACACAAAAATCCATCTTAAAAATTTATATTTTACTAAAACCAAACTTAGTGACTGTAGTACCTATAGTGCTTTTACAGTTTACGTGGCACTTTTACATTTGTTCTCTACTGTCTATTGTAATTGAGACCTTAGCACACTACTTATTTCATATCATGTGAAGCTAATTGTATTCCACTTTTCACAACATGATATTAAATCTGGCAAATGTTTTAGTAGACATAGGATAATTCCCAAATGTAATTTTCTTTATGATTGCTCATAAAATACACATTATAGATGTAGTAATAAAAAAGCTTATGGAAATCATTATATTGAAGTATTTTAAAACCCTCAAAGTGCTACATTCCCTCCTCACTGATTCCTCACATAACATTTTAAACCTTTAAAACTCTCCCTCAGGCCAACACACAGAATTCCCCCACTCTCCCACTTGCTCGCCTCCAACTTTCCAGAAAAGGAAAAAAATAAGCTGAGTATATCAGGGCTGGACTCCCTCAACATCCCATCCTCACACTCGGGTTCAACTACATAATTTGCAGGGCTCAATGGAAAATGAAAATTCAGGGCCCCTTGTTTGAAAGAGCAAGAGAAACTGCAGTTGAAAGTAATAAAATACTCCATCTCAAAAAAAAAGTAATAAAATATGAAAATTTTTTTCCCTTAAAAATATTTCATTACATACAAAATAATATTTTGGGTGTCAATTTTATATAATATAATGAATAACAATATTTTATTTTATTTTTTTCTTTCTTTCTTTTTTTTTTTTTGAGACGGGGTCTCGCTCTGTCGCCCAGCTGGAGTGCAGTGGCGCGATCTCGGCTCACTGCAAGCTCCGCCTCCCCAGTCCACGCCCTTCTCCTGCCTCAGCCTCCCGAGTAGCTGGAACTACAGGCGCCTGCCACCACGCCCGGCTAATTTTTTTGTATTTTTAGTAGAGATGGGGTTTCACCATGTTAGCCAGGATGGTCTTGATCTCCTGACCTCATGATCCGCCCGCCTCGGCCTCCCAAAGTGCTGGGATTACAAGCATGAGCCACCGCGCCCGGCCTAACAATATTTTATTAATGTGACATTTTAATCACATGATTTTTCTGGTTCACTTTTCTCCAAATTTATTAGATTGTCAAAGTTTTCATTTTTAGCAATTTCATTTTCAATGCATATAATTGAAAGCAATGTCAATTATTTTTAAATGAAAGATGGCAAGTAATTTTTGATAATTCTTAATTCTGAGAAGAATGTGTTGATGCAATTGTTACTGGTGCTGTTAAGTTAATGTTTTTAAGCTACAACAACATTGAGATACATATCTGATAAATTTTGAAATATAAATTTTAGTACATCTAGAGCTGATGATTCTCAGGGAACAATTTTTCCAAAAAGATTTAACACTTCACATACATCAGTTTTGTGTTAAGTATGATTTTTATTTTAAAAGTAAATTTCTACAATGATAACTTAATGGATATTTGCTTGGCAGTGTTGCAGTAGTTAAAAACCAGAGATTCTGAACTCTGAAAGATTCTAATAAGTCAATGATATGCTTAATTGCAATGCTCATGTCTAACACTTCTATTTTACAACAATTTATTTACAAAGTTTGCCTCTTGAGCCCCAAAATTTCCTCTCCCAGGGTTCATGCTGGAAAGTTAATATTTGTGCAGATGCCACAGAGTTGGGATCCTGGGACAGATATAAAGTGGCCTCCCTCTGCAGATCCTGGGGCTGCCTCATGCTGAGCCCTGACTCTCTCCCAGGGCTGGGGCCATGGCCACAACCACATTGCTTTTGCTGCTCCTCCCACCATCACACCTGCCAATCTGGACCCAACTCTCAGCCCCTAACACCCCTTCAGGGTTCTGTGGCTCCTCAGAATGCTTCAGTTGCATGCATGTATGCCAGGCAGCCAGGCCTAAACTTGAGTGTATGTTCGCTGCTGCCAGTCATATCTTCTTTGCTCATGCATGTGTTCCATTGTCCCCTGGATTTCACTTACAAAACACAAGTTCAGAGACAACGTTATTAAGAATTTCAAAGTGGCCACAGCAGATTAAATCAAGCCTCTTCTGAGAGTGAGCCCTGTGCAACTGCCAAGACTATACTACCAAGAAGCTGGCTGGCCCTGCTCACACCTACACATTTACCTGTCCCCAGCGTTTCTCTTCTCAACTCTTCTTTCTCTTGATGCAATCCCTCCCATTACCTGAAGGAGCTTGCTTATTTCTCTCCAGTCATCCCCTAGTCATCTTCTTTCTCTCTAGCTTTTTTTTGTTTTTTTTTTTTGAGACGGAGTTTCGCTCTTGTTTTCCAGGCTGGAGTGCAATGGCGCCATCTCGGCTCACTGCAACCTCCACCTCCCATATTCAAGTGATTCTTCTGCCTCAGCCTCCCGAGTAGCTGAGATTACAGGCGTCTGCCACCATGTCCGGCTAATTTTTTCTATTTTTAGTAGAGATAGAGTTTCACCAGGTTGGCCAGGCTGGTCTCAAACTCCTGACCTCAGGTGATCCGCCCACCTCAGCCTCCCAAAGTGCTGCGATTATAGGTGTGAACCACCACGCCCGGCCTCTCTCCAGTATTTTTAAATTATCAACTTATTCTTTACTGATACCTTCTAGATAGCTGTGAGATACTCAAATCTCTCCATCTTTAAATAAGTCTATACAGAACTTTCTCCTTCCCTCTGAAGCCAGGTACTGGAATACTAGACTGACATCATTGTTTTGGCTTTCTGACTTTTTCCTTTATCTTCCATCAGACTTCTATACTCAAAACTTCACCAAAATTTGTTTTGAGCAAGGCCACCAAAGGCTTCTTGACTTCCAATCAAAAGGACTCCTTTAATTTTTATTATGGACTAAATGTTTATATTCTCCTCCTCTTATCACCAAATTCATATATTGAAGCCGCAACCCCCAATACGATAGTATTTGGAGATGGAGCCTTTAGGGAAATAATTAGATTTAGATGAGGTTATGGAGCTGGGACCCCATGATAGGATTAGTGTTCTTATAAGAAAAGGAAGAGAGACCAGAGCACTGTTTATTGCTTCCAACCACATGAAAACACAGCAAAACAGGGCTGTTTGCAAGGTGGGAAGATCAGTTCAAGGTACTGAATCAGTAGGCACCTTGATCTAGAACTTCCCAGTCTCCAAAATAAAATAAAAGTGAGAAATAAATGTCTGCTGTTTAAGCAACCCATTCTATGGCATTTTGTTATGGCAGCCTGAGTTGACTAAGCTAATCCTTATCTTACTTGGTAATTCCCCTTTCTTGAAATTCCTCCCTTAAATTCTGAAACACCACCCTCTCTCTGTTCTCATTTTACTTCCAACCATTTTGACTGTTCATGGCTCCTTTTCATCTGTGCATACTTAATGTTATCCTTATATTGTTTTTCTCCTCCCTCAGCATACTGAGAAATCCCAATGCCCAGGCTAGAACAAAGTGATATGTGTTCAAATAACTTCTGAACTCATACCTTCAACCCAAACCTCTCTCTGAGCTTTTGACCCATAAAATTTATAGCTTCCTGGGTGTCTTCACTGTGATATCCCTGGACACCTGGAACTCAGCCTGTCCAAGAGAAACTCATCTCCTCTCTATATTTGTTACACTCATCTTCATTTTTTGAGATGAAGTTTCACTCTTATTGCCCAGGCTGGAGTGCACTGGTGTGATCTTGGCTCACTGCAACCTCTGCCTCGCAGGTTCAAGCAATTCTCCTGCCTCAGCCTCCTGAGTAGCTGGGATTACAGGCACCCGCCACCATGCCTGGCTAATTTTGTATTTTTAGAAAAGACGGGGTTTCTCCATATTGGTCAGGCTGGTCTTGAACTCCCGACCTCAGGTGATCCTCTTGCCTAGGCCTCCCAAAGTGTTGGGATTACAGGTGTGAGCCAAGGCACACGGCCCATTACGCCCATCCTATCTCAGGTGGTGGCACCACCATCCAAGTGCACCCAAGTCAGAGAACAGAGGCATCCTTGACTCCCTTCTTTCCCCATATTCAATGATATACCAAATCTGAGGGATTCTGTATTTTTAAGATTTCTTGGCTTTGTCCCCTCTTTCTCCATCTCCATAGGTCTTCCCTCAGTTCAGGCCTTTGTCATCTTTCTCCACGGCTATCACAATAGTCTTTCTTTTTAACTATTCCCCCTGCTCCAGGGGTGTGCCCTATATAGCTTATCTTCTGCTTTGCTCTAAGAGTGATCTAACACAAATCAGCTTATGTTTTCCTCCACCTAAGGCTTTTCAATGATTCCTCATTGCTGCAAAATAAAGTTCCATGCTGCCTAGTGAATAATAGAAGACCTTCCATATCTGGCCCCTGTGTATTTCTCCAGCTTTTATCTCTTACATCCCTTGCTCTCACTATGTTAAACTACTAGCAGTCCTCCAAATATATCATCTTACTCTTTCTTGCTTTTATTTTCTTTTGCTGAGAAAGCTTCACCTTATTCTCTTACCCTCTTATTCTCCTCTACACACTCAGGGGCTTCTCAAATGGTCTGCCATGGACCACTAGTACATGAGATATAAAAGTACTCAGTCTCTGGAGAAGTCAGAGAAGAGCTGAGGGTGGCCCAATATGGTAAGAAATGGGCAAATTTTCTAACAGTTTGGGTGTGAGACAAAAGAGGAGTCAAGATGACTCCAAGGCTTTTTGGCCTGAACAGTGGGAAGAGTGGAGTTGCCATCAACCTTGAAGGAGGAAGACTGGGTGGTGTAAGTTTGGAAGAGCAGATAAAGTGTCAGTTTGGGATATGGTAGATTTGAGATGCTGACTAGATGGTTATATATAAGCTTAGAGTTCAGGGGACAGATCTGGACCAAAGGCAGAATCTAGGAATCATAAACATACATGCGGCATTCAATGCCATGTGGCTGGATCAGATCACCAAGGGAATGAATGGAGATAGAAAAGAAAAGTCCAAGGTCTGTGCTCTTGGATGTTCAGAAGGAATAGCCAGTGAGATAAAAGGAAAATCAGAAGAAGACTGTGGTGTCCTGGAAGTTAAGTGAAGAAATGGGTTCGAAGATGAAATCCCTGACAGATGGAGTAAAATGAGGACTGAGAATAGATGAGATTTTGCAATATGGAGCTTCAGTGGAGTGGTGGTAAGGAAAGGCTGATTAAAGAGGGTTCAAGAGAAAATGGAAGGAAATTTAAAACAGTGAATATTTTATCAACTCTTTAACAATTTTCTTTCTATAAAGGGAAAGGGAAAGAGAAAGAGGGTAGTAGCTGGTGGAGGGAGCAGGATAAAAAATGGCGTTTTTTAAGATGGGAGAAATTACAACATATATCGTATAACGAAAGAAAAATCAAGAAAAGAGTTTGAAGAAACAGGGGTAGATGGGAGAATTGCTGGAGTGTTGTCCATGGGTGGTGAAAATGGAAGGTTTCGGAGCAAGTGGAGGAGCAAGGAGCACAGTGAGGGCATCACCGGGTCAGCACACAAGTGCACAGACGCTGAGGGTTAGTGATGGGCGCAGACTTAGGGAAGCTCTCTTCTGATTGCTTCTATTCCTCAGCCAAACACACAGAAAAATAGCTAATAGTTAGCTAGGAGTGAAAACCAAGGAGAAGGTAAAGATTTTAGGGGAGATGAGAAGGTACAGTCACCAGGGAAGGTGAGAGAGTAATTTTGATGAGAGAAATATAATACCACTGCTGAGTAGAATTATAGGCATCCCTGAGCTGCTGAGTTTAAATTTAACGTAAAACTAGTTTAGGCTGGGCACAGTGGCTCACGCCTGTAATCCCTGCACTTTGTGGGGGTTGAGGCGGGCGGATCACCTGAGGTCAGGAATTTGAGACCAGCCTGGCCAGCATGATGAAACCCTGTCTCTACTAAAAATACAAAAAATTAGCTGGGCGTGGTGGTGCATGCCTGTAATCCCAGCTACTTGGGAGGCTGAGGCGGGATAATCGCTTGAACCCGGGAGGTGGGGGTTGCAGTGAGTAGAGATTGTGCCACTGCACACCAGCCTGGGCAACAGAGCAAGACTCTGTCTCAAAAAAGAAGAAAGAAAGAAAGAAAGAAAAAAAAAACTAGTTTAGTTGGATGTTTTTCTCCAGCCATATTTGGGACGAAGGGGAACTATATGGAGAGTTCTATTTAAATAACGTTGGGGCTTTGCCAAATGAGCATGAAAAAGAGATGGGGCAAGGAAGTGGAAGCTATATTCAAGGGGATGATTGTGATTGATTAAGAAATTTAAGCTAGATAAGGAGGAGGTTGAAAGAAGAGTGAGAGATATGAGAAGGTGGTAAGCGTGGTGTTAAGAATTGTTGCAATTGAGATACTGGTGTGAATAAACTAGAAATCTGGAATGTGGTGATCAGAAAGTGGAGTGCTTGAAATTGAAATTATTGGAGTGCAGCATCTCATAGATATTCTCTCTTTATCAGCCATAGTGATCTTTTAAACTATGTATAGTTTTTCTGTATATCAATTATACCTCAATGAAGCCATTAATACAGATACACAAAATCATGCTCATTTCCTGTTCAAAACCGTCCAATGACTTCCATCACATTTAGAATAAAATCCAAACACTTCATCATTACTTACAAAACCCTACATGATCTGATCTGAACTTCCTTCCCCCACTCCTCCCTTGAACCTTTTCACCTACCAAAAACTCCCATAAATTCTTAATTACACTTGATTTTAAAGCCAACTCATACTTTGTAGCTGAGTAAACTTAGGCAATCTAGTTATCCTTTTTGGATCTCACTACTGAAGGCAGAGGATATTTTGAAATCTCTCGTAGCTTTAAGAGCTTTAATTAAAAATTTTTCAAAGTAATGTACTTAACCTGATCCAATGATGTTCAAGGAGGGGGCAGTGAGGTGGGTGTTAAAATATTATGTGCCAATTTCTTCTACTTACTTTTTTTTGTATGATACTGGACTATTCTTGTTTATGAATTATAAATTGTAATATTTGCCCTTATGTGGAAGAGGTTTCTTAGGAATTGTTCTGTAAATACATGTGTCAGTTAAAGTATCAGGCATGTTCATCCTGCATTTCTGTTCCACAGAACTACCATGGCAGCCAGTTGTTTGGCTAGGTGCCGGAGATATACAATTGCCCTATCCTTAAAAACTGAGTGAGAGGGAAATGTAAACAGATGGTTAGAATATTTAATAAGAGACATATGTCCAAGATACAGAAGAGGTAAGTGTTGGGATATCAGGAACCGTTTTCTAGGATGTGCACAATGGCTCATGCCTGCAATCCCAACACTTTGGAAGGCTGAGGTAGGAGGATTGCTTGAGGTCAGGAGTTTGAGACTGGCCTGGGCAGCATAGTGAGACCCCCGCCATCTCCATTAAAAAATGAAAAAAATTGGCCGGGCACAGTGGCCCATACCTGTAATCCCAGCACTTTGGGAGGTTGAGGTGGGCAGATCATGAGGTCAGGAGTTTGAGACCAGCCTGGCCAATATGGTGAAACCCTGTCTCTACTAAAAATACAAAAATTAGCTGAGTGTGGTGGCGCACACCTGTAATCCCAGCTACTCAGTAGGCTGCGGCAGGAGAATAACTTGAACCCAGGAGGCAGAGGTTGCAGTGAGCCAAGATCACGCCATTGCACTGTGACAGAACAAGACTCCATCTCAAAAAAAGAAAAAGAAAAAGAAAAAAAATTAGCAGGGCTTGATGGCACATGTGTTTAGTCCCAGCTACTCAAGAGGCTGAGGGAGGAGAATCACTTAAGCTCAGGAATTCAAGGCTGCAGTGAGCTGTGATCACACACACCACTGCACTCCAGCATGGGCAATAGATAAAGATCCTGTCTAAAAAAACATTTTTTTTAAAGGAAAGGTTTTTAGAACAGAAATAACAGCATGTTAATGAAGATAAATAACAGAATACATTGGAGAGGAACATTCATGCAAAGAACACATTTACAAACATGAAATGTTGTATATTCAATGTTTGCATATTTAAGAAAATGAAAGCAATTTTGTATTACTGGAGTTGAGTATAGGCAGTAGAGGGGTAAGGAGGCAGGGTGAGGGGAGACATTAGGAGGTAAGGTTAGAAGAACTCTTAGAAGTGGTTTATTCCAAATTCCAGCCCAATGTGGGGATTTCTTCTAGACTCTATAGCTGCACTCTCCAATATAGTAGCCACTGCTCTATGTAGCTGTTTACATTTCAGTTACAGTTACTTAAGATAATTCAGTTCCTTGGTCATATTCAACTGGTCATGTTTCAAGGGCCTTTTGTAGCATGTGACTAGTGGCTACTGTATTGACAGAACAGAAATGGGACATTTTCGTCACCACACAAAGTTCTAATGGACAGTGCTGCTCTAGAGTATCCCTGACAGGTGTCCATTTATCTTCTGCTCGAATGGTGGGGAAATGGCTACTTTCCAAGATAGTATATGCTAAGATAGTCTATGCCATTTTTATATAGGTCTATTTGCCAGAACATTGTTTTAAATAATTTAACCCATAATGTATTTCATTCCAATTTCTGTGCAACAAGCCTAGCTCTATGGATAAATATAAAACAAGTTCACATTTTCTTTCACTTAATGGCTCTTTGTCTAGTTTGCAAATTTGTCCTGTCTCCCTCTCTTTTGTTTTCTTCCCCAGGTCAGCCCTTCTGTGCTTCCTCTCATGACTGTTTCCAGATTCTGGAAAATTTGATGGCCCTCTTCCATATTTCTCCTAGATTATGTTTTCCTAAACTGAACGCTTTATTTCAGTTGTGGTCTGATCAGCAGAAAACAGAACTACTACCTTCCTGTGCTGCAAGCATTTTATTTCCATATATAGAACCTAAGTTTATTTTGCCTTTTGGTTTTTTTTTTTTTAAAGCATCTGTCATTCTGCTGTGCATATTAAGCTCATTGGCCGCTAATATCTTACTTTATTTTTAACACAAGTCACTGTTCTAGTGAGTCTCTGAGCCTGTATCAGTCAAGCAACAATTTTTTTTTTTTTTAACAAACCTATGTTTAATTTCTTATTGTTCCTGAAAGTCGGTTACATACATCAGGGAAAAAGGATTGGTAAAGGACAGCAAAAGAGGGAAAAATCTCAGGGAGGTAAAAAATAATTCAGAAATAATATGATTTATTAAATCTGTCTCATAAAAATATTAAATTGGATATAGAGGAAAATATAAAATATAGAAGTGATAACCTTTGGCATAAAATGGTAATACAATTACCAACTGAAAATGGGCTGACAATGAAGTGCTCTTTTCCAGAAATGACTTTTAAACCCTCCTTAGGTTAACGCGTGTGCTGAATTATTAAGCAATATTGTATTTCTTTGCCATATTACTACCTCTTTAGTGCATAGGAGTTTTAGCTCATCTTTGGGGATACAGATATATGTGTGACAGTGTGCTCACCAGTTGCGTGGGAATGCATACACAGTGTTCTGTCCCTGCACCTGGAAGGCCCTCAGGAACTGCTCAGGGCTAGCTCTGTTTCACCTTCAGTCTTTACCTTACCAGGAAAAAAACTCCTTTTGTTCCTCTCCTCTGGAACCACATGTGGAAAGGGCATTCCTAACCATTAATAAGAGTTATGAGTTATTAAAATTGCCCTTTGATTAGGACATCTCTTCCTATTCTTCCTGTACCAACCTTTGAAATGACAATTCCCCCAAGCAAGATGGAGTGGTATATTTATCACAGCAACCATGAATCTGTGAGGCCCCAGTAATTTAAGTAACTCAAACCTTATCCTGATATTACTGCATAATCCTAAAATTGCATATTTGACAAACAGCTTCATCTCGGATGTTTCATTAAGGTGCCAGTTTACACACTTTAGTGAGCAGTGTATCCCTAGTATGTTCTAAGCCAGTAGGCCTGTGGTGGCTTCTCAGTTCTATCTCCTCAGAAGATTCTAAAACCTGATAATTGAATATATCTATCTATTGTATCCTTTTTAAGATGTTTTCAATACATAATCTACATATGCTGAATAGGTAATTGATGTTTAGTGAAATGAATAACTCTTTGGACTTGGCAAGCCTCTTCATATCCATTATCTCACTAGATCCTTCCAACCCCTTAGGAGAGAAGTAGAGCAGAAATAATTCCCTCTTTTTATAAGAGGAATTTTAGGTTCAAAGAGATAAAATCATTTTCTCAAGGTCATACAGAAAGTAAGCGGTGAGCCAGGATTCAAACCTCATATGAAGAGCAACATGCTTTCTAGTCTACCATGATGCCTTCAACTTTCTCACTTATTTCAATAAACTGTCCTTTGTAGATGATTCATTTTATCTTAGAAAGAAATAGCCAGACTTGTCCTGTGGTACATTCTATGACATCCAACCCTATGAGATGAAACTAAACACATGGTTTTTACAAAATAGTCAGCAGCACTCAAGTTTCAAAACACATTAATCACCATTTTCTAATGTTTGTACCTCAATTTATAATGGATTCTTGGACATTTTCTTTTGAACAGCTTCACAAAGTATGATGAGAAAATAGAATTTTGAGCCTGGAAGGGACTTTTACCTTTTAAACCTTTTAAAATTAGCTTTTTGTAATTGAAGAGTTTATATGTGCATACAGAGAAGATCCAAATAGGGTTAGAAGGTATATATTTTTTTAAACACACGAAAAAGCCCCTCATCCTAGTTCCTTAATTTTCCTCTCCAGAGGCAATTTATAGATACTCCCAAAATTGTCTAAGCACACACAGAATATAATTGCAAATGGAAGCATGCTGTACACACTATTCTCTATATTGCTTTTTTGTTGTTGTTTAAAAATATTTTTTAGGCCAGGCACGGTGGCTCACGTCTGTAATCCTAGCACTTTGGGAGGCCGAGGAGAGTGGATTGCATGAGCTCAGGAATTCGAGATCAGCCTGGCCAACATGGCAAAAACCCATATCTATTAAAAATACAAAAAATTAGCCAGGCATGGTAGTTTGAGCCTTTAATCCCACCTACTCTGGAGGCTGAGGCAGGATAGTCTTTAGAACCCGGGAGGGGGAGTTTGCAGTGAGCCGAGATTGCCACACTGCACTCCAGCCTGGGCGACAGAGCGAGAATCTAAGACAGGGTGTTTCTTAGCAGTACATTGTTTTCCTTGGCTGTATAGTATTCTATACTACAATTTATTCAACAAGTCTTCTAATGATAGACTTCTTTTTGCTATATTCAGTCTTTTGCTATTATAAACAACACTATAATAACCTTTACATATATCTTAATTGAAAGTGGAACGGTAGGTCAATGTCTATGAATTTTTCTTGTACCTGTTTATCACTCTAAAGTCACTATCGTTGTCTACTTTAATGCTTTTTCCTGTAAATTCAATCTTATCTGTTTTGTTTGTTTGTTTGTTTGTTTTTGAGACGGAGTCTCTCTCTGTCACTCAGGCTGGATTGCAGTGGCGCGATCTCGGCAACACTGCAACCTCCCCCACCGAGGCTTAAGCGATTCTCCTGCCTCAGCCTACCAAGCAGATGGGACCACAGGCATGCACCACCATGCCCTGCTAATTTTTGTGTTTTTAGTAGAGACGGGGTTTCGCCAGGTTGGCTGAGCTGGTCTTCAACTCCTGACCTCAGACGATCCACCCACCTCAGCCTCCGAAAGTGCTGGGATTACAGAAGAGCTACTGTGCCCCGCCAACCTTATCTGATATTAATATTAGGGTCTGTATTTTCATTTTGTGTGATTTTTGGGACACATTTCTTTTTTCTTTTTTTTTTTTTTTGAGATGGAGTCTCGCTCTGTCGTCCAAGCTAGAGTGCAGTGGTGCGATCTCTGCTCGCTGCAACCTCCGCTTCCCAGGTTCAAGCAATTCTCCTGCCTCAGCCTCCCGAGTAGCTGGGACTACAGGTGCCCGCCACCACGCCGGGATAATTTTTTTATTTTTAGTAGAGACGGGGTTTCACCGTGTTAGCCAGGATGCTCTCCATCTCCTGACCTTGTGATCCACCCGCCTCGGCTTCCCAAAGTGTTGGGATTACAGGCGTGAGCCACCGCGTCCGGCCCTTTTTTTTTTTCTTTTTCTTTTCTTTTCTTTTTTTTTTTTTTTTTTTTTTTTTAGTCAGGGTTTTGTTCTGTCACCCAGGCTGGAGGGCAGTGGCACGCCCATAGCTCAGACAGCCTTGAGCTTCCAGGCTCAAGTGATTCCCTCCACCTGGGCCTCCTGAATGCTAGGATTACAGCCATGAGCCGCTGTGCCTGGCCCATCCTTTTACTTTCAAATTGAGTCACTTTGTTTTATATGTGCCTCCCCTTTGGTGCTTATATTTAGGTTTTGTTTTATAGTTCAAACAGATTTTTAATAAGTGAGTTTATCTGTTTTATATTAGCTCTGTTTTCCAATTTTGTTATGTTTTCAGTTTTTAATGCTTCTTTTTACTTAGTTGCTTCTCAAAAGTCTTTTCCTAAAAAGAAACGCAGGAAAGATAACAAGAAATGAATAAAACTGGTCATATACAGGGCTTGGTTAGAAACAAAGTGGAAAGAATAAAGGAAGGAACAACAGTTCTCTGAACTGTTTAATACTGATATTTAAATGTATATGAATATTTCAATATACAAATGTTTAAATATTCAAAAAGTAAAATTAAATCGATAGGATGGAGAAAAAAACCCAAATTGAATATAAACAAAACAAATGAACCTAATTGTGTCTCAAATGAACATTACAACTACAGAGAAAAAAAACTAATCCAAGTAATTTATGAGCAGTATTTCATTATGCTAAGAGTTTATAGATAAAGTACTATTTATCTAAGAGTTTATAAACAGTACTATCTATAAACTCTTAGCATAAAATTTTTTTAAACTGCCAACAAATATTAAAGTCTATAATTGGTTAGGCATTTCAGTTACTTAGTTTTTTACTTCAATTAAACATTTTCTTTTTAAAAATAGCTTATAATATATAATTCATACACAATTCACCCATTCAGTGTATACTATTCAGTGGTGTTTATTATAGTCAGAGTTAAACAACTATCATTACCATTTTTTTTTATTTTTTTATTTTTTTGAAACAGAGTCTCACTCTGTTGCCCAGGCTGGAGTGTAGTGGTGCAATCTTGGCTCACTGCAACCTCCGCCTCTCAGGTTCAAGTGACTCTCCTGCCTCAGCCTCCTGAGTAGCTGGGATTACAGGTGCCCACCACCACACCCGGCTAATTTTTTGTATTTTCAGTAGAGATGGGGTTTCACCATGTTGGCCAGGCTGATCTCAAACTCCTGACCTCAGGTGATCCACCTGCCTCGGCCTCCCAAAGTGCTGAGATTACAGACATGAGACACCGTGCCCAACCTATCATTACAATCAATTTGGAACATTTTCATCACCTCCAAAGAAACCCCATACTGATGAGCACACGTTCCCCATTTCCCCCTAATCTTCCTGCTAGTTCTAGACAACACTAATGTACTTTCTATTTTTACAGATTTACCTATTCTAGACATTTCACACAAATGGAATTATGCAATTTTTGTCATTTATGACTAGTTTCTTTCACTTAGCATAATGTTTTCAGTATCTTGTTTCTCTTCATTTGAATATATAACATATTCCATTTTACATATATATCACATTTTATTTTCAAGTAATCAGTTTGACATTTGGGCTATTCCCTTTTTTTTATTGTTACGAATAATGCTGCTATGACCATTCATGTATAAGTTTTTTTTTTTTTTTTTTTTTTTGAGACGGAGTCTCGCTCTGTCGCCCAGGCCGGACTGCGCGGACTGCGGACTGCAGTGGCGCAATCTCGGCTCACTGCAAGCTCCGCTTCCCGGGTTCACGCCAGTCTCCTGCCTCAGCCTCCCGAGTAGCTGGGACAACAGGCGCCCGCCACCACGCCCGGCTAATTTTTTGTATTTTTAGTAGAGATGGGGTTTCACCTTGTTAGCCAGGATGGTCTCGATCTCCTGACCTCATGATCCACCCGCCTCGGCCTCCCAAAGTGCTGGGATTACAGGCGTGAGCCACCGCGCCCGGCCCATGTATAAGTTTTTATGTGGATGTGTATTCATTTCTCTTGGACATATATTCAGGAGTAGAATTGCTAGGCCATATGGCAACTCTACATTTAACATTTAAAGAAACTACCTAACATTTTCTTAAAGCAGCCACACCAATTTACATTTCCACCAGCAATGTACAAGGATTCCAGTTTCTGCACATCCTCACCAACACTTGTTTTTCTTTATTTTTTATTTTGCTGTTTTATTTTATTTTGAGATAGGGTCTCACTTTGTTGCCCAGGTTGAAGTACAGTGGCACAATCTTAGCTCTCTACAGCCTCAAACTTCCAGGCTTAAGTGATCCTGCCATCTCAACCTCCCAAGTAGCTGAGACTATAGGCATGCACCAACACACCTGGCTTTTTTTTTTTTTTTTTTTTTTTTTTTGAAACGGAGTTTTACTCTTGTTGCCCAGGCTGGAGTGCAATGGTGCAATCTTGGCTCACTGCAACCTCCCCCTCCAGGGTTCAAGCAGTCTCCAGCCTCAGCCTCCCGAGTAGCTGGGATTACAGGTGCGTGCCATCACGCCTGGCTTATTTTTTGTATTTTTAGTAGAGACAGGGTTCCATCATGTTGGCCAGACTGATCTCGAACTCCTGACCTCAGTGATCCACCCACCTTGGCCTCCCAAAGTGCTGGGATTACAGGCATGAGCCAACGCACCTGGCCCACCTGGCTAATTTTTAAAATTTTTTGTAGAGCTGAGGTCTCATTATATTGCCCAGGCTGGTCCTAAACTTCTGTCCTCAAGCAATCCTCCGACCTGGGCCTCCCAAAGTGCTGGAAATTCAGGCATGAGCCACTATGCCTGGCCTGTTTATCTTTTCGATTATAGCCATCATAGTGGGTGTGAAGAGGTATCTCATTGTCATTTTGGTTTGCATTTTCATAATGACTAATATGATGCTCACATCATTTCATGTATTCATTGGCCATTTGCATATCTTCTTTGGAGAAGTGTGTATTTGGATCCTTTGTTTATTTCTATTTTTACTACTGAGTTAAAAGTATTTTTCATATATTCTGGATACAAGCCCTTTGTCAGATAAATGAATTGAAAATATGTTCTCCCATCCTCTGGGATGTCTTACATTTTAAATTTTGATGAAGTCCATTTTATCTTTTGTCACACTTGTGTTTTTGGCATCATATCTAAGAAATCACTCATTATTTGACTCAAGGTCATGAAGATGTACTCCTATGGTTTTAACAGTTTTATAGTTTTAGCTATTCCTTAAAGGTCTATGGCCAATTTTGAGTTTGTTTTTGTATCTAGTGTAAGGAACAGGTACAACTTCATACATTTGTATGTAGCTATCAGTTGTCCCTGCATCACTTGTTGAAAAGATTATTCTTTCTCCACTGCATTGTCTTGTCACCCTGGTCAAAAACCAATCAACCATAATGTGAGGGTTTATTTTGGACTCTCAATTTTTTCCTTTGATCTATATGTCTATTCTTATGCCAGGACCACACTGTCTTGATTACTATAGATTTTAGTAAAATTTGTAATCAGAAAGTATGAGCCCTTTATATTTTGTTCTTTGTGTTATTGTTGTTAATTGTTTTGGCTATTCTGGGTCCCTTGCATTTCCATTTGAATTTTAGAATCCGCTCGTCAATTTATTCAAAAAAGGCAGACGAAGGCCAGGTGCGGTGGCTCACACCTGTAATCCCAGCACTTTGGGAGGCTGAGGCAGGCAGATCACCTGAGGTTGAGACTAGCCTGGTGAAACCCCGTCTCTACTAAAAAAAAAAAAAAAAAAAAAAAAAAAAAATTAGCTGGGCATGGTGGCATGTAGCTAGTAGTCCTAGCTACTCAGGAGGCTGAGGCATGAGAATCAACTGACTCCTGGGAGGCAGAGGTTGCAGTGAGCTCAGATCATGCCACTGCACTGCAACCTGGGCAACAGAGTGAGACTGTCTCAAAAAAAAAAAAAAAAGGCAGATGAGATTTCAATAAGGTTTGTGTTGAATCTATACATCAATCAGGAAGTGGGAAGTATTGCTATCTTTTTTTTTTTTTGAGACAGGGTCTCCCTCTGTCACCCAGGCTACAGTGCTGTGGTAGGATCATAGCTCATTGCAGCCTTTACCTCCTGAGCTCAAGTGATCTTCCCACCTCAGCCTCCTGAGTTGCTAAGACTGTAGGTGTGCACACCATGCCTGGCTAGTTTTTTGTGTATTTTGTAGAGAGGAGGTTTTGCCATGTTGCCCAGGCTGGTCTTGAACTCCTGTACCCAAGTGATTTGCCCACCTCAGCCTCTCAAAGTTCTGGGATTACAGGCATGAGCCACTGCACCCAGGTAAGTATTTCTATCTTAATGATGTTAAGTCTTCTGATCCATGGAAATGGAATGTCCTTGCATTTATTCAGGGCTTTAAATTTTTCTATCAACAAACTCTTGCATTTTCCAAAGTACATGTTTTGCACTTTCTTTAAAAAAACAGTCATAGGCTAGGCACAGCGGCTCACACCTGTAATCCTAGCATTTTGGGAAGTTGAGGTGGGCAGATTGCTTGAGCTCAGGAGTTTGAAACCAACCTGGGCAACATGACGAAACCTCATCTCTACCAAAAATACAAAAATTAGCCAGGCATGGTGGTGCGCACCTGTACTCCCAGCTACTCAGGAGGCTGAGGTGGGAGGATGGCTTGAGCCTGGGAGGCAGAGGTTGCAGTGAGCCAAGATCATTCTACTGCACTCCAGCCTAGGCAACAGAGTCAGACTCTGTCTTTTTTTTTTTTTTTTTTTTTTTTTGAGACGGAGTCTCGCTCTGTCGCCCAGGCTGGAGTGCAGTGGCGGGATCTCGGCTCACTGCAAGCTCCACCTCCTGGGTTCACGCCATTCTCCTGCCTCAGCCTCCCAAGTAGCTGGGACTATAGGCGCCCGCCACTACGCCCGGCTAATTTTTTGTATTTTTAGTAGAGACGGGGTTTCACCGTTTTAGCCGGGATGGTCTCGATCTCCTGACCTCGTGATCCGCCCGCCTCGGCCTCCCAAAGTGCTGGGATTACAGGCGTGAGCCACCGCACCCAGCCCAGACTCTGTCTTAAAAAATATATATATGTATAGTTACATACTTATAAGAATTATATTTGCTTTGATGCTATTGTAAATTAAATTGTTTTCTTAATATCATTTTGATTTATGTATTGATAATGTGAACTATAACTGATTTTTGAATATTGTTGTTGTATCCTTCAACCTCACTGAACTTATTAGTTCTTACAGTTTTTTAGTCAATTCCTTGGGATGTTTTGTATACAAAATCATGTCATCAGCGAGTAGAGATAGTTTTATGCCTTCCTTTCCAATCTGGGTGTATTTTATTTCTTTATTACTTAATTGCCCTGTTCAGAACTTCCAGTGCAACATTGAATAGAAGTGGAAAGAGCAGACATCCTTGTCTTGTTCTTGAGTTCCTAATCTTCAGGAGAAAGCATCCAGATTTTCACTATTAATGTTAGTGGTGAATTTTTCATAGATTCACATTAAAGTATTTAGGGATAAGGGCATCCTGTCTG
The DNA here is from genome assembly GCF_000001405.40 of Homo sapiens. Lineage (NCBI taxonomy): Eukaryota > Metazoa > Chordata > Mammalia > Primates > Hominidae > Homo > Homo sapiens. The sequence goes on along the minus strand of NC_000006.12, from coordinate 70,631,405 downwards.
CAACTTACTCTCTCAAAGGATACAGACAATAATAATGGTGTGTGTGTATGTATATGTTTATGGAGAGAAAGAGAAAGAATGAATGAATGAATACGGTAAGGTTAATGTGGTAAAATGTTAACAACTGGGGAATTTTAGAGAGCCACACTCTTTAGTATGTTTTCCTGAGCCCTTTTTTTTCCAATTGAAAGGATTTACTGAGTGCTGCCTGATCTATCCAGGGGTCTCGCCGTGGGTTTGACAGCCTTATCCTTGGTTTGATCTTTGCTGAAAACTCAGTACCATTCTTATGTTTATCTTTCATTATTTGGAGTTGAGCAGGATTTTCCTCTTCCAATGCTGTAAGTTCTAAATTTCTGTACTCTCGATTTTCTTGTGTTCTTGCTTATAAACCTGCCAGCTATTTCTGAACCCATCTGTCAAACATAGCTAATGTTAACCAATCTCTTTCCTTAAAATTGAAAGTCCAGAGGCACAGCATCTGCCTTCGAAGTTATCACAGGCAATAGTTTTACCATACACTTTGCCACAGCATAACGTGGATCACCATCTATGCTCAAAATGTTCTATTTTTGGCCAGTGGGAGATCTTTGAAGCTGGCTCCTGTATCATTTTGCTTATTATTCTTTGAACGCATTTCACATTTTTTTTTTTTTTTTTGAGATGGAGTTTCGCTCTTGTTGCCCAGGCTGGAGTGCACTGGTGCAATCTCGGCTCACCGCAACCTCCGCCTCCTGGGTTCAAGCGATTCTCCTGCCTCAGTCTCCTGAGTAGCTGGGATTACAGGCATGCGCCACCATGCCCAGGTAATTTTGTATTTTTAGTAGAGACAGGGTTTCTCCATGTTGGTCAGGCTGGTCTTGAATGAACACATTCTTACTTTCTGGCAAAACTAGATATTCCAGGTCCACCTTATACTTTTCCTGCCTACCCCTAATCAGGCATTTATTCAAGAGTCCTAGTTCCTTGAATAAAGACGGTATTTACAAACCAAGATCTTACAGTTTTGTGTACTCATTGCTATAGAAATGTCATTGTTTCTAGACTTTTCACAGAAAAAGGTAAGAAATATATGTTTGTTTATACACACAACTGTCTATCTACCTATCATCTAGTTAGCTAGCTAGCTTGAAAACTGAATGTTTACATTGATACCTCCAATTCCAATTCAATAATCCAGCATGTATTCAAGCTTTCCCCCTTTCATATTTGTACCTCCTTTCTGTAAGTGAAAAGCCTGGCTGCCGTTATCCTCAACATATTTGCTTATCTGCTCAATCTCTCCATATGGAATCAGCCTTCCAAACATTCATGCTGTCTTCTTGCCCCCAGTTCTTCTGGACTCACAGATCACATTGACTAAATTCCTTTCACCCAGGCTCCAATGCTGCTGAGCACTCAAGTCACATCAGCTGAGTGTCCCAGTCCAAACAAAAGGGAAGGGGAAGTATATTAGTCTGTTCTCATACTGCTATGAAGAAATACCTGAGACTTGGTAATTTATAAAGAAAAGAGGTTTAATTGACTCACAGTTCTGCATGGCTGGGGAGGCCTCAGAAAGCTTATAATCATAGCAGAAGGCACCTCTTCAGAAGGTGGCAGGAGAAAGAATGAGTGCCAGCAGGGGAAATGCCAGATGCTTATAAAACCATCAGATCTCATGAGATTCACCCATTATCACGAGAACAGCATGGGGGAAACAACCCCCATGATTCAATTACCTCCACCTGGTCCTGCCCTTGACAGAGGATTATGGGAATTACAATTCAATGTGAGATTTGGGTAGTGACACAGAGCCAAACCATATCAGAAGGGACCAAGTTTTTGAAACAATGGTACTATTAAAGAACTAATAATCCTTGACTGAAAGTGTTTGTGACTGTTGGTATCTTAACAAGACCCTTGGGCCTGCAACCCAAAGGCTATTTGTTACCCCAGCAGACGCTAGTCTATCCTGATGATACAACAAGCAATGAGTGGTGAAAATGGGGTAGGAAAAGAGCTATTCCCTAACAGTAATTTCCTCCTCAACTTTAAGCATGCAGAATTTTTATTCCTAATGTGTATGTTTTATTTTATTTTATTTTATTTTTTGAGATGGAGTTTCACTCTTGTTGCGCAGGCTGGAGTGCAATGGCACAATCTCAGCTCACTGCAACCTCTGCCTCCTGGGTTCAAGTGATTCTCCTGCCTCAGCCTCCTGAGTAGCTAGGATTACAAGCATGCTGTAATCCTAGGATTACAAGCATGCTGTAATCCTAGGATTACCCAGCTGATTTTGTATTTTTAGTAGAGATGGGGTTTCTCCATGTTGGTCAGGCTGGTCTCCATCTCCCGACCTCAGGTGATCTGCCCACCTTGGCCTCCCAAAGTGCTGGGATTACAGGCGTGAGCCACCACGCCTGGCTAATGTGTGTGTATATTATAAATATATGTTCTTCTGCCCTAGATGGCTGAATGTATGCATTATATATTCAAAAATATACGTATTACTAGAAGGGGAAAATTACTAACTGCATTCCATTTTGTAACAAAAGTGGATACAAACCCAGTAAAAGCAGTAGCTTATTTACTTAAAAAATAATGTTATTGTATCTTGTTTTCAATTTGAACACTCACAAATTGAATTTTTTTTTTTTTTTTTTTTTTTTTTTTTTTTTTTTTTTTGAGACGGAGTCTCACTCTGTCGCCCAGGCTGGAGTGCAGTGGCTTGATCGCGGCTCACTGCAAGCTCCGCCTCCCGGGTTCAGGCCATTCTCCTGCCTCAGCCTCCCGAGTAGCTGGGACTACAGGCACCTGCCACCACGCCCCGCTAATTTTTTGTATTTTTAGTAGAGACAGGGTTTCACTGTGTTAGCCAGGATGGACAAATTTAAATTTAACTCTGCTTGGAGTTGATGCATGTGTTGCTTTGGACTGGTATTTTGCTGCTCAAATTTGAGATGATCCTGCCAAATGTTATTAGAGTAATAAATGCTAGTGAAAGCACAGTGTGTTACTCTATTCTCGCGCTGCTGTGAAGAAATACTCGAGAATGGGTAATTTACAAAGAAAAGAGGTTTAATTCACAGTGCTGCATGGCTGGGGAGGCCTCAGAAAACTTACAATCATGGCAGAAGTTGAAAGGGAAGAAAGCATCTTCTTCACAGGCATCAGTGAGAGGTGACAACATGCTAGCAGCCCTCGGTTGCTCTCGGCGCCTCCTTGGCCTCGGCCTCCGCTCTGGCCTCGCTCGAGGAGCCCTTCAGCCCACCTCTGCGCTGTGGGGGCTCCTCTCTGGGGCTGACCAAGGCCGGAGCCGGCTCCCTCTGCTAGCAGGGAGGTATGGAGGGAGAGGCCCCGGCAGGAGCCGGGGCTGCGCACGGCGCTCGGGGGCCACCGCGGGTTTTCAGTGGGTGTGGGCTCGGTGGGCCCTGCACAGGGCGCCGGGCACCTGCTGGGCTTGGTCGGGGGTAGGAGCTCCCTCTGGGCTGCCGGAGTGCCCAGGATAGGTGCCTCAAAATCCCGCTGAGAGCGCCAGCGAGAGGTGAAGCTGACTGGGCTTTTCGGAGGGGTGGGGCTTGGAGAACTTTTCTGTCTAGGCTAAAGGATTGTAAAGACACCAATCAGCACTTGGTGTTTAACTAAAGGTTTTTAAATGCACCAATCAGCACTCTGTCAAAACGGACCAATGAGCACTCTGTAAGATGGACCAATCAGCTCTCTGTAAAATGGACCAATCAGCAGGATGTGGGTGGGGCCAAATAAGTGAATAAAAGCAGGCCACCCGACCCAGCAGCGACAGCGTTGTGCTTTCTCTCTTTGCAGTCAGTTTTGGTGCTGGGCACTCTTTGGGTCCGTGTGACGTTTAAGAGCTGTAAGGCCAGTTTGCAGCTTCATTCGTGAAGCCAGCGAGATCACGAACCCACCAGGAGGAATGAACAACCGTGCTGCCTTTAAGAGCTGTAACACTCACTGTTAGAGTCCATGGCTTCATATTTCAAGTCAGCCAGACCAAGAACCCACCAATTCCGGACATACCGGGAAGGAGAATACGCCCCAAGAACCGAAACTGCCAGACGCTTATAAAACCATCAGATCTTGGCCGGGTGCAGTGGCTTATGCCTGTAATCCCAGCACTTTGGGAGGTTGAGGCGGGTGGATCATTTGAGGTCAGGAGTTCCAGACCAGCCTGACCAACATGGTGAAACCCCGTCTCTACTAGAAAAATACAAAAATTAGCCGGCGTGGTGGTACACGCCTGTAATCCCAGCTACTTGGGAGGCTGAGGCAGGACAATTGCTGGAACCCAGGAGGCGGAGGTTGCAATGAGCCAAGATCGTGCCACTGCACTCTAGGCTAGGCTACAGAGTAAGACTGTGTCTCAAAAAAATAAATAAATGAAACACAAAACAAACCATCAGATCTCATGAGACTCACTCATTATCATGAGAACAGCATGGGGGAAACCGCCCTTATGATCCAGTTACCTTGAGCTGGTCCTGCCCTTGGACACGCGGGGATTACAATTCAAGATGAGATTTTAGGTGGAGACACAGTCGAACCATATCACATCGTTTCCAAACTTGGCAAAAATAGCCATTCTATATAACCACTCAGTTCAGCAAATAAATGTCACTGTTTCATTTGAAAAGAGTTATTTCAAATTATAGGAAGAAATCAGTAGGCCAGAGCTCAATCCAAACTCTGAAAACTTGCTGGGACGTGGCCCAGTCGGGTTTTTGGTGGATAACGCTTCACCACCTCTCAAGGGGTCAGCTGTCTCATCCTGGTGAGGAACACCCTGATGAAGAAAAACTGAATCAAGGAGCACTGCTTTCGTTGGTTTTGTCACTTTAGTCTCACACTGGAGGTTGAGAGACACTCTGTGCGATCATGTGTTTCCCACACTTACCCTCTCTAAGCCTCAGTTTCCTTATCTGTGAAATAACACTAGAAACATTAAATCTCTGGTTTCTTCAGGGTGTCAAGTTCTGTGATTCTTCTACCATTAGGATTATTTATTTTCTTAAGCAAGACCTTCTGCCTTGATCAGAAAAATCCTACCAGCTGAAAAGATTTGATGAAGTAGGATTCTTGACTTACAGAAATTAAAAGGCGAGGCTTGGCACATGGCTCACACCTGTAATCCCAGCACTTTGGGCGGCCAAGGCAGGCAGATCACTTGAGGTCAGGAGTTCAAGACCAGCCCGACCTAACATGGTGAAACCTCGTCTCTACTAAAAGTACAAAAATTATCTGGGCATGGTGGCGGGTGCCTGTAGTCCCAGCTATTCAGGATGCTAAGGCAGGAGAATCGCTTGAACCCAGGAAGCGGAGGTTGCAGTGAGTTGAGATCATACCACTGCACTTCAGCGTGGGCAACTGAGCAAGACTCCATCTTAAAAAAAAAAAGAAAAGAAAAGCAAAAAGAAAGTAAATGGCGAATTCACGTGTAGTGCAGGTTCTTGTTTAGTTAACGGGATTCTCTGGAGCCTCTGAAGCAGTTTCACAAACGGAAGTATAAATATAATGATTTAATACGCTAATGATTCTCCTCTGCTCCGGATCATATTTAGAATTTATAATGCATAGGAGATGCCCAGTCCTAACTTCTGAACAACTTGACAAGAGCTTGTGGTGCCTTTCTCTCCCATTGCTTTTTCTTCTTTCCCAGAGAAACCTGGCTTCTGTTGAGTGAGAATCTGGACCTGATGGTGATGCTACCATCTGTCAGAGGGAGTCAGCTCCTCTGAGATCTCTTTAGCTCTGGAAGCTCTGGTTACCAGAGCCATGGTTCACCTCCCTCCTCCCATCACCCAAAGCTCCAAATGCTCCCCAAATGTAGTAACTCTCTCCAGTAACATCCTCTCCAACAATTTCTTCCAAGCAGAGTAATTCCTCAAAATTGTCTTTGAAACCAGAGCAGGTGGGTTTCATTTCAGTTACTGTATTTTTCACTTCTAGATGCTCTCATTGCTTTTCATATGTGCTCTGGCATGGTTTATATTTTTGCATTCAGCAAATATGTTCAATTTTTCATTTGTTTAAACATATTGAACTTATAGTTAACTTATAATCAATGTCTGGTTGTTCTACTCTCTGAAGTATGTGTAGGTCTGTTTTTGCTTTTGTTGTTTCTTCTGGTTCTTGCTCAAGTTACCTTGTTACCTTGTGGACCTGGTTATCTTCAGTTGCTGGTCATTATCTTTGAAATATTATCTGTAGAATTTCTCTGGGATTGAGGATAAAGGTCTTGTTTTTGTTTGCTTCTGCAGATATATGGTGGAACTAGCAGCTGGGAAACCACATCATACCAAGTTCAAGACTCGAGGTTCCTTGGCTAACCCTGCATTCCCAATCTCTGAGGCTGATCTCTGGCACAATTCCTCAAGAAGAGGGTGTTTTGGGTTTGCTGTGGGTGTGTGCATGTGTGTTCACGTGTGCATGTGTAAACTTTCCTTCGATTTTTTTTCCTGCTTTTCTCAGGCCTAGTCTATATTCCTCTGAGTTTGAAAGAAAAGGATGAATTTAGTTCCACTTCAACCTAACCCTAAGAATATATATATATATATATATATATATTTTTTTTTTTTTTTTTTTGAGACTGTCTCACCCTGTCACCTAGGCTGGAGTGCAATGGTGCAATCTCGGCTCACTGCAACCTCTGCCTCCTAGGTTCAAGCAATTCTCCCGCCTGAGCCTCCCAAGTAGCTGGGATTACAGGCATGCACCACCACACCCAGCTAATTTTGTATTTTTAGTAGAGACTGGGTTTCTCCATGTTGGCTGGGTTGGTCTCAAACTCCTGACCTCAGGTGATCCACCCACCTTGGCCTCCCAAAGTGCTGGGATTACAGGCACGAGCCACCGTGCCTGGCCTAACCCTAAGAATATAGTCTTTTGAAAGGCCTGGCATAATGTAGGGAGGGTCTCTTACAAATTGAGTGACCATACAATCTAGTTTGCTCAGCATAGCCCTAGTTTATACCTGTTGTTCCAATGTAAGTATTAATTATACTCCCTGTATTTGTATATATGTGTGCATATGTATATGTATATGTCAATGTGTGTATGTATATGTGTGTGTGTGTGTGTGTGTGTATATATATATATGTTTATTATTAAATTGGCTCTCACTGTTATGGAGGCTGAGAAATTCCACAATTTCCCATCAGTAAACTGGAGACCCAGGAGAGCTGATGGTATAGCTCCAGTCTGAATTTGAAGGCAGGAGAAGCTGGATGTCCCTGACTGAAGACAAGCAGAGACAGCAAGCTGTCCCTTACTCAGCCTTTTGTTCTAGTCAGGCCTTCAGTGGATTGGATGAGGCAGACCCACCCTGGGGAGTGCAATTGGCTTTATTTAGTCTACAGATTCAAATGTTAATCTTATCCCAGAAATACCTTCACTGACATATCCAGAATAATGTTTAACCAAGTATCTGGGCACCACATGGCCCAGTTAAGTTGACATATTAAATGAACCATCTGACCTCCTTCACACCCAAAAGATCCGATTTGGACAACAAATCATTTAATCACCCTTAAAAGATTCCCCACCTTGGGTAGGTCCTGGGCCTTGACAAATATGTTAGGGCCAAATAGCTTCGCTGCTCTCATAGCCCACTTAGTGCTCTGTCAAGTAATTCCCTACTACCTCAATAGCACTTGGATGCCTTTAGGGTGATCATGTATGTGTGTGTTGGGTGTGTGTGTTTAAGTTTTATCTAGAGTTTGTCATTGCTTTTAGTAGATAGGTTAGTCCAAAAATTAATACCACTCAGCCCATTATTACCATTATAGATAGGTCTACGTACCTGTTAGCTGGAACTTGAAACCAGTTTTTCCATAGGAACTATAATAAGTGAACTTTTAAGTTCTATATGTTAATGAAGCTCATTTACAGGTTAAATAGTCTATTTTTGCCTGGCTACCTATCCTTACTTCTGTTTCAGAGGCAAAACAAATTCCAAGTTCCGAATAGCCAACTTAAAAACAAAATGATTCAGAGGCAGAGATGAACTCTATGTATGTTTCAGATGTTTAAACTTGTTCCATCTCACATTATCTAAAGAAAAACATTTTTAAAATAATGTGACCACCCTTTCAAATCCTGGATGCCCGACAGATGAGGCAGCTCTGACTGAAATGCCTGGGCAAAGTCAGGGCAGCCACCCTGCCCCTTCCCTCCTCCCAGAGCCCGGGCTCTTGCAGACTCCTCCCCACCAGTGTCCACGGAACACTATTTGCAATAAAGGTGAATGGTTAAAAATAAATGAATATAATAAAATAGTGGAATGCAATATATCCAGGTAACAAACCTGCTCAGGTACACTCTGATTCTAAAATAAAAGTTGAAAAAAAAAGTGGGAGAGACAGTAAAAAAATAAAATAGTGTAAAAATGAAGGAGTGAAAGTCTGTGTTATATAACTTCCCTGTATATAATTTTTCTAGTAATTCAGATTTGAATGCCCTCCTCCCAGTATGGAATTTAGTTTGTATCGATACTTTTAAAACCAATAAATAACTGATAAACTCTATGGAAATGATTTGCAACTAGGCAATTAAACTGCCAATGCTTATATTTCTTGGTGTTAGGGTATGATACACAGATGGTCCCCAACTTGCAATGGTTTGAAGTCCTATTTTTAGACTTTACAATGGTGTGAAAGTGATTACACATTCAGCACAAACCATACTTCAAATTCTGAATTTTGGTCTTTTCCTGGGCTGGCAGAGCATGGTATGATACTCTCTCATGATGCTGGGCAGTGGCAGTGAGCCACAGCTCCCAGCTAGCCATGAGATCATGAGGCTAAACAACTCATGCTTGCAGTATACTCTGTTGCCAGCATTTTCTGGATGTTGTGTTTTGTGATTCACATTTCATCATGTCTACACAACGCCCAATTTTGACATGATATTTTCAACCTACAATGGGTTTATTGGGATGTAACTTTATCCTAAATTGAGGAACATCTGGAGTGCTAAATGCCTTTCAGAAGGCAATAATAGATACTGTAGGGAAATGAATTCAATCTGATAGCTTCTAGGGCAAACAAGCAGTTGTAGTACTAAGTTAATAGTGTTAACCCAGGTGCTGGAGGCCAAGATAACATATTCAGGCAAGTATGTATAGAATGTATCATTGACTACATCCCTTTAAGTTCTGTATGGAGTTAGGAAAACAAACGGACTTGAGAATTTTGGGAATGGAGGCTAGCAACTCACTTCTAAAGTTAAAAAGATATTTGCTTGACTATCAGTTTCACCCATGTCATATTATACTTCACAATGGCTAAACACAGAGGAAAATATGACGTTAGTGATCGAACATATATTTCTCAAATAAAAACAAATTCAAACCAGAAACTTTCTTTTCTAAGTTAGAGATATTTTAAATTTAGTATCAAGAGAAGCAATGGTGGATGGGGAGAGTTAAAAGCACCAGCCAAGATATCTAAGCTCTGGCCTTGGAAAAAGCAGCTGCCTAACCTCAGCTAGGTGATGTATTAATACCTGTCTCTGCACCTCTGTTTACTCAGCTGAACACTACTTTCAACATCTAATGCCTATGATCAGAATCTGATAGCTGTGACTCTTAGACAAATATCTTACCCTCATCCTGCGTCCGTCCTCAAATACATAGTCTCATTACTTGAAAGATAAACCTGAGCCAGGTGAGGTGGCTCACGCCTGCAATCCCAACACTTTGGGAGGCCATGGCAGGTGGATTGCTTTGAGCTCAGGAGCTCAGCATGGCCAACGTGGCGAAACCCTGTCTCTACCAAAAAAAAAATATATATATATAGATCTCTCTATATATAGATCTCTCTATATATAGATCTATATATAGAGAGATCTCTATATATATAGATAGATAGATAGATAGATAGATAGATAGATAGATATAGATATAGATATAGATATATATCCGGGCGTGGTGGTGGGCACCTATAATCCCAGCTACTCGGGAGGCTGGGACAGGAGAATGGCTTGAACCCAGGAGGCAGAGTTTGCAGTAAGCCGAGATTGTACCACTGCACTCCAGCCTGGGCGACAGAAGGAGACTCAGTCTCAAAAAAAAAAAAAAAAAAAAAAAAAAAAAAAGGATAAACCTGATCCACTCTGGTTCTACTCTTCAGCAATAGACTGGAGGCACAGCTCTCAGTTCTTAAACAACTGAATCCAGGCATGATTCTATGGTTCCCACCCGCCTCCTGTGCTCTTTTACATTCGTTAAAATAATTAATTGGGAGGCATTAAGCTGAGACAGCTCCAGTGCCTTGGGTTCCTACCTAACTGAAAGCAAACTGAAAACTGAAGCCTAACTCAGCATGAATGGTTATAGCCTAAGAAAAACAAAGCATAACCTTAACCAATTAGAAATGACCAACTAACCTCAACTGAGGACTTTCCATTTAACTAATCAAATATTTTCTTTGTCTTGCTTCTGCAAATGCATTATACAGGCATACCTCAGAGCCCAGAGATATTGTAGGCGCAGTTCCAGACTATCACAATAAAGCAAATATTGTAAAAAAAAAAGTCATATAATTTTTTTTTTGCTTCCTAGTGCATGTAAAAGTTGCCTTTACACTGTACTGTAGTCTGTTAAATGCACAATAACATTAGGTCTAAAAAATGTACATACCTTAAAAATACTTTATTGCTAAAAAATGCTAATGATCATCTGAGCTTTCAGCAAGTGGTACTCTTTTTGCTGGTGGAGAGTCCTTGTTTGATATTGATGGCTGTTGATTGATCAAGCTGTTGGTTGCTGAAAGCTGATGTGGCTATGGCAATTTCTTAAAATAAGACAATGAAGTTTGCTACATCAACTGACTGTTCCTTTCACAAAAATTATTTCTGTAGCATGCAATGCTATTTGATAGCATTTTACCCTCAGTAGAACTTCTTTCAAAATTGGAGTCAATTGGCCAGGCGTGGTGGCTCACCTGAGGACAGGAGTTCGAGACCAGCCTGACCAACATGGTGAAACCCCATCTCTACTGAAAATGCACAAATTAGCCAGGCGTGGTGGCACGCACCTGTAATCCCAGCTACTCGGGAGGCTGAAGCAGGAAAATCTCCTGAACCCAGGTGGCGGAGGTTGCAGTGAGCCAAGATTGCACCATTGCACTGCAGCCTAGGCAACAAGAGTGAAACTCCATCTCAGAAAAAAAAAAAAATTGGAGTTAATTCTCTCAAACCCTGTCACTTCTTTATTAACGAAGTTGATGTAATATTCTAAATCCTTTGTTGTCATCTCACCAACGTTCACAGCATCTTCATCAGCAGTACATTCTATCTCAAGAAACCACTTTCTTTGCTCATTCATAAGAAGCAACTCTTCATTCAAGTTTGATCATGAGATTGCAGCAATTTAGTTCCATCTTAAGGCCCATTTCTAATTGTAGTTTTCTTGCTATTTCTACCATACCTGCAGTTACTTCCTCCACTGAAATCTTGACCCCCTCAAAGTTATCCATGAAAGTTGGAATCAACTTCTTCAAAACTTCTGTTCATGTTGATATTTTGACCTCCACCCATGAATAATGAATGTTCTCACTGCCATCTAGAATGGTCAATCCTTTCCAGAAGCTTTTAAATTTACTTTGCCCAGATCCATCAGAAGAATCACTATCTATGGCAGCTATAGCCTTACAAAATGTATTTTTAAAATAATAAGACTTGAAAGCTGCAGAATGGATGTTGTGTTGTGGGTATTGAAACAACATTAATCTCCTTGTACATCTAAATCAGAGCTCTTGGGTGACTAGGTACATTGTCAGTGAGCAGTAATATTAGGAAAGGAATCTTTTTTTCTGAGCTATATGTCTCAACAGTGGGTTTAAAATATACAAGAGACTGTGCTGTAAACAGATGTGCTGTCATCCAGGCTTTGTTGTTCCACTAATGAAGCACAGGCAGAGTCGATTTAGCATAATTCTTGAGTGCCCTAGTATTGTAGGGAAGGTAAATGACTATTGGCTTCAACTTCAAGGCACCAGCTGCATTAGTTCCTAACAAGAGACTCAGCCTGTTCTTTGAAGCCAGGCATTGACTTCTCCTCTCTACCTTTGAAAGTCCTAGATTGAAAATCTGTTGTTTAGTGTAGACACCTTCATCAGTGATCTTTACTAGGTCTTTTGGATAACTTGCTGCAGCTTTTCCATCAGCACTTTCCACTTCACTTTGACTTTTATGTTCTGGAAACAGCTTCTTTCCTTAAACTGCATGAACCAACATTTGCTAGCTTTGAACCTTTCTTCTGCAGCTTTCTCACCTCTCTCAGCCTTGACAAAATTGAAGCGCAGTGGCTCACACCTGTAATCCCAGCACTTTGGGAGGCCAAGGCAGGTGGATCACTTGAGGCCAGGAGTTGGAGACCAGCCTGGCCAACATGGTGAAACCTTGTCTGTACTAAAAATTAGCTGGGCATGGTGGCACATGCCTGTAGTCCCAACTATTTGGGAGGCTGAGGCAGGAGAATAGCTTGAACCCAGTAGGTGGAGGTTGCAGTGAGCCAAGATTGCACCACTGCACTCCAGCCTGGGTGACAGAGCGAGACCCAATCTCAGAAAAAAAAAAAAAAATGGAAGAGAGTTAGGGCCTTGCTCTGGGTTAGGCTTTGGTTTAAGGGAATGTTGTTGCTGGTTTGTTCTTCTGTCTAGACCACTCCAATTTTCTCCATATCAGCAATACATTGTTTTGCTTTCTAATCTTTTTTTTTTTATTTACTACAGTAGCACTTTTAATTTCCTTTGCATTCACATCTTCGCTAACTCTTTGGCACAAGAGGCCTAGTTTCAGCCTATCTTGGCTTTCATTATTTTATTTTATTTTATTTATTTAGAGACAGAGTCTCACTCTGTCACCCAGGCTGGAGTGCAGTGGCACCATCTTGGCTCACTGCAACCTCTGCCTCCTGGGTTCAAGTGATTCTCCTGCTTCAGCCTCCTGAGCAGCTGGAATTAAGGCACATACCACCACGGCTGGCTAATTTTATATTTTTGTAGAGATGGGGTTTCACCATGTTGGCCAGGCTGGTCTGGAACTCCTGACCTCAAGTAATATGCCTGTCTCGGCCTCCCAAAGTGCTGGGATTACAGGTGTGAGCCATCATGCCTGGCCCCTATCTTGGCTTTCGACATGTCTTTTAATGCATTTAATACGTTAATAAGTTATGGCTAATAAAGGTTTAAGTAAATGAGTCAATTAACCACAGTAATTTTCCCTCAGTTTGCTGTGGATATTTTCAGACATTGGATCACTCAAAGCCCTCAGGGAGGGTGTGGGAATATGTGTGTGTCTGTGTGTGTATACACACACACTTAAACATAAATTGATTTTCTCCTTGTAAACTGATCCTCAATTCAGATTGCTAAAACTGCCTTGATGACTTTCTATTAAAATGGGGATGAAGGTCCATTTCCTACAGCCCCATCATCTCACTGTTTAAAGGGGAATTTAAAAAAAAATTCAATAAGTAAAGTGGTTTAGCAATGTTATTGATAACTTGTTGTATTGTCAAATGTAACTGATATGCATTTATATAATTTATATAGTTTTGTAGATATAGTTTATTTATATAGTTTTATAGTTTACCTTACTTCTTGGATTTTTCCTCTGTGCTAGATGCTCTGATTACAGAACAGTATAGAGAGGTTTCCATTTTGTCTCTGAGTGGGAGGTTGCTATTTATGGTATTTAAAATATTGCAGACAGATTTTAGTTTTAAAACTAAGGAATTATCAGTGATGATATTTCAAATGCATTTGAGCAGAAATGAGGCACTTCTCTGATTTTTATATAACTGGAAGAAAAAAATCTGGACCCCCCCTCCCACCCCATATTCTCAGCTCCTAGGCACTAACCCTACAGAGGAGAGGAAAACATTTTCCTATCCCTTCCCTGCTGCTTATCTGGGCCAGTAAGGCAGTAAGTTCTCTCTACACATTTTATATAGGATGTATTTTTTAAGTGTTAATATAATATTTTGTTACGAAGCATGCTGGCTAGGAGTGTGTAGCACTTTTGACTAGGAAGTAACCTTAGTTTTTTTTTGCCAATGCACATATATTTCATAAATGTTTTGATTGGGAAAATAAAAGGAGAGGAATATGAGGACTGTATTCGTCAGGGTTCTCTAGAGGGACAGAGCTAATAGAATAGGTGTGTATATCAACGGTAGTTTATTAGAAAGTATTGACTCACATGATCACAAAGTGAAGTCCCACTTGAAGTCTGCAAGCTGAGGAGCAAGGAAACCAGTCCAAGCTCCCAAAACCTCAAAAGTAGGGAAGCCAACAGTGCAGCCTTCAGTCTGTGGTCAAAGGTCTAAGAGCCCCGGGCAAACCACTGGCATAAGTCCAAGAGTCCAAAGCTGAAGAACTTGCAGTCTGATGTTTGAGGGCAGGAATCATCCAGCACAGAAGAAAGATGAAGGCCAGAAGACTCAGCCAGTCTAGTAGTCCATGTTCTTCTGCCTGCTTTTATTCTAGCAGTGCTGGCAGCTGATTAGATGTTGTCCACCCAGACTGAGGGTGGGTCTGCCTCTCCCAGTCCACTGGCTCAAATGTTAATCCCCTTCCGCAACACCCTCACAGACACACCCAGGAGCAATACTTTGCATCCTTCAATCCAATCAAGTTGACACTCAATATTAACCATCACAAGGGTAGAACACTAGCAACTGTGAAAAGTAAATAAAAGAATGAGGCACTTGGAAACAAAAAACAGCCAGTGAGAAATGAGTAGAATGCAGATGGTCCAGGGTATGTTATTTGTTGTTGTTTTTTGGGTTTTGTTTTGTGTTGAGATGAAGTCTTGCTTTGTTGCCCAGGCTGGAGTGCAGTGGCATGATTTGGCTCACTGCAACCTCTGCCTCCCAGGTTCAAGCAATTCTCCTGCCTCAGCCTCCAGAGTAGCTGGGACTACAGGTGAGTGCCACCACGCCTGGCTGATTTTTTGTAATTTTAGTAGAGACGGCATTTTACCAAGTTGGCCAGGCTGGCCTCGAACTCCTGAGCTCAGGTGATCTGTCCACCGTGGCCTCCCAAATTGCTGGGATTACAGGTGTGAGCCACCGCACCAGGCTGGCCCAGGGTATGTTAAAAACAGGGATGCCAAGTGTAATCACCTGAGTATGCCCCCATACACGCAGGGGCAGAATCACCAAATCAGTCCCCCCAGAGAATTGCAAGCACAGTCATATTATTTGTGGGGTGGGAGTGGAGTGGGGGTGGCTTCCTTCTCCTCTTCCAGGTTGTATAAGTGTCCCTAGGTGGGCACGGTGGCTCACGCCTGTAATCCCAGCACTTTGGGAGGCCGAGGCGGGTGGATCACCTGAGGTCAGGAGTTCAAGACCAGCCTAGCCAACATGATGAAACCCTATTTCTACTAAAAATACAAAAATTAACTGGATGTAGTGGCATGTGCCTGTAATCCTAGCTACTTGAGAGGCTGAGGCAGGAGAATTACTTGAACCCAGGGGGGCAGAGGTTGCAGTGAGCTAAGATGTCACTTCACTCCAGCCTAGGCAAAAAAGCAAGACTCCGTCTCAAAAAAAAAAAAAAGTCCCTACACAATCTAGAAATTTGGGGGAGGGCTTCTGGTCTACCACTAATCACTGCTGGGCATAGTCATCCAAGCCTGCTTGGCCCATTCAAAGGCGGGTGGCTGCCTTCTCCATACCAGGCTTGGTACAGGGATCTTGTGCTGTGGCTCTTGGTGGGTTGAGTTGTGTATGTCCCCCAAAAAGATATTTTGTGGCACTAAATCCTGGTACCTCAGAATGTGACCTTATTTACTGGAATAGGGTGGGCCCCTAATACAATATGACTGGGGTCCTGTTGCAGTCACTTGCACACAGCCGGTGTGCATGTGAAGACAGACACTCGGGGAGAACACCAGTGACTACAAAGGCAGAGATGGGAGTTGCGCACCTGCAAACCAAGGAATGCCAAAGATTGCTGGCATACCATCAGAAGCTGGGAAGGGGCAAAGGATTGCCTTTCAGGTTTCAGAGGGAGCATGGCTCTGCTGGCATTTTTGGAGTTCTAGCCTCCAGAACTATGAGATGTCACATTTCCGTTGTTTTAAGTCGCGTGGTTTGTGGTAAAGCAGCCCTAGACAACTAATACAGCTTTCAAGGTTGTGGATCTTGGCATTTAGCCCCCAGGAATCCCTACCCTATCCCCTCGAAGGTGATTCTACCAGGGATTCTGCCTGGCAGGAGGTACGAATGGGCCATACTCCCTCTTTAAGCTAAAGTCTGGGTCCTCTTCCCCTCCACTTCAGAGGTGGTCCAGCTTAAAGCCCCCTCAAAGGATGTGAGTCACAATAGCTCTTTACTTCCCTGGTGGAGTAAGAGGAGTAAAAAAAAGAAGTGGGACCTTCAAAACACAATACCGGCCTCTCTTTCTTGGATTGGTTGGAGGGACAGAGAAACTATTCTTTCCTGATGAGGCCACAGTAACTCAAGAAACATCAAGAAATAGCCCACTGGTTTGTTTGTTTGTTTGTTTTCTTAATATCTTAGCCCGTCATGTTACCCAGTGTGCAATTGTTTCCTGTCCTGTGCTGTCTTAAGCACAATCTCAGTCACCCAGACCTTCAGTGAGAGGCTGGCAGGAGAAACTGGGGGCATCAGGAACACAGCAGTACAGGGAGGTGTGGCCTCCTATCACCGTCCTGTAGACCATGGCCAGCGTGGCGACATCAGTATCCCACTGAAGGGACACAGACGGGGCTGTAAGCTGCAGAGGGCAAGGGGGACACATGTGCATCGGCGACTAACCCACACACCGTCCTGCAGCAAACCCCCTTCCCAAACTTGCTAGTGAATGGCGACCCTTAGCAGGAAGAAGAAGGTATCCACTTGGGTTACGGTTACATTTTACAATAGACAGGGAACTCTGAGAGACTGTATGCTGAATAGTTAGTGAGAGATTTGGGCTGGAATGGTGGCTGACACATGTGTGATCCCGGCACTTTGGGAGGCTGAGGTGGGTGGATCACTCCAGGTCAGGAGTTTGAGACCAGCCTGCCCAACATGGCGAAACCCCATCTCTACTAAAAATACAAAAATTAGCCGGGCGTGGTGGGCACCTGTAATTCCAGTTACTTGGGAGGCTTCAGCCCAGAGTGGCTTGAACCTGGGAGGGGAAAGTTGCAGTGAGCCCGAATCACGCCACTGCACTCCAGCCTGGGTGACAGAGCAAGACTCTTTCAAAAAAAGAAAGGAGGAAAAAGAAAAGCTGTGAGAGATATGTTTAAGGAATAAAGCTGTCCTCGAAGAGCCTAATCTCCACTTTTCCAAGAACTGGAAACAAATTACATAATACAAGAGGACTGAACCAATAATAATAATTTTCCTGAATATAAAAGATGATGAAACTTTTGAATGTATTTGCTACAATTCAGCCAGGCACGGTGGCTCGCACCTGTAATCCCAGCACTTTGGGAGGCCGAGGCAGGTGGATCACTTGAGGTCAGGAATTTGAGACCAACCTGGCCAACATGGTGAAACCCAGTCTCTACTAAAAAAATACAAAAATTAGCCAGGCGTGGTGGCGGGCGCTACTTGGGAGGCTAAGGCAGGAGAATCGCTTGAACCCAGCAGACGGAGGTTGCAGTGAGCCGAGATGGCGCCACTGCACTCCAGCCTGGGTGACAAAGCGAGACTCCATCCCAATAAAATAAAATAAAATCCATGAAATCATAGCCCTTGGTCTTTAAAAGGAGTATGCTGTAAAACTGGAGGACTGAGAACCAAGGAGTTACTATCCTGCTTACAACAGGATGTTTGATCTCCATGTAATTATGAGTATTATGAGTCTAAAATAAATACCTTGCAATACATGAATACAAGCACAATCTTCCTAAACTTAAGATGAAACAAAACCTTAAGAGAACAAGATCTTTTTCTTTTTTTTTTTTTTGGTTTGCAGTCAGATCAGTTGTTTCTCAGAAAATATACACTTTAAAAAATTCATTGAACTTTCAGTACTCTATCCCTGGGCCAGTGCCTCCTTCATCTGGCAATACCCCTACTCCCCGCACCCCCACCTACCACCCTCAGCTAGTCAGACTGCCCAGCCAGGGACCCATCTCTGAAATTTGCTTTAATTCCTCTACATCGGGCCAGGTGTGGTGATTCACACCTGTAATCCCAGCACCCTGGGAGGCTGAGGCAGGTGGATCACTTGAGGTCAGCAGTTCGAGACCAGCCTGGCCAACATGGTGAAACCCCATCTCTACTAAACATACAAAACAAAACAAAACAAAACAAAACAAAACAAAACAAAAATAGCTGGTGGTGCATGCCTGCAATCCCAGCTACTCAGGAAGCTGAGGCACGAGAATCATTTGAACCCTGGAAGTGGAGGCTGCAGTGAGCCAAGATCATGCCACTGCACTCCAGCCTGGGCAACAGAGCAAGACTCCATCTCAAAAAAAAAAAAAATTAATCTACATCAAAATTTACACATCCAGTCTGAAATCGTTTGCCTTAAAAAACAATTTGTAAGGTGATAAATTAAACAAAGTGAATAACTGTTGATAAACATTGACAACCATTAAATTTGGGTGATGGGTACATGGGGACACACAGTATACTATTCTACCTTTCTGTATTTTGAAAATTTTATAAGCTTAATTAACAATAAAAAAATGACATTTCTGATCTCTTTCCACAAGAGATTGCTTAAGGCCAAGTGGCAATGAATATGTAAAACACAATTAGCATAGTCTCATAAGATCCACAAATTCACTTGCACCTTAATACCTTAAACTGTGACAGGTGTGCATGTAGAGGGCCAAATGAGCATGCCTCCAATGTGAGGAAAATTGTAAAGTTCAGTGGGGAAAAGCTTGGAGAAAAGAAAGTTTTCTGAGAGGGCTTAAATTAAATCATGATATGTAGGTCTTAAACTGGTTCTGAGTGTGCCCTAAAAATGTATCTAGTAGAAAAATAGGATATGTCTTATGCTTCAATTACTGGAATAGCTATGACATTTCACGCCTAAGCATCTTTCCAGTGACCTGACTCTGGAGTGGTGGCTTGGTTCCCTTGACCGACTGCAGAGGGGGTGGTGTGGAGGTGGGTAGGGGGCTGGATTTGTAGGGAATCAACGGCCCCTCATTTGCCCATCGGTGATCATGCCTGTCAGGCTGCTACACGACAGAAGAGGCAGCTTTGCTTTGGCAGAACATCTGAAAATGTCAGTCTTATTCTTTTCTGAAACTATTTTTGCCTTTTACATTTTAATTATTTTAAATTTTGGCACTGGCTGTACTCATAGATTGATTCGCATTTCTAGTCAATTCTTTTCAGATTTTCTCAATAAAAACTGAATACAAATAATTTGGAGTGTTCTATTAATTGTGAAAAGTTAGTGATGTTGAGCATTTTTTTCATGTTTGTTGGCCATTTGTATATCTTCTTTTGAGAATTGTCTATTCATGTCGTTAGCCCACTTTTTGGTAGGATTGTTTTTTTCTTACCGATTTGCTTGAGTTTGTTGTAGATTCTGGATATTAGTCCTTTGTCAGATTTATAGATTGTGAAGATTTTCTCCCACTCTGTGGGTTGTCTGTTTACTATACTGACTGTTTCTTTTGCCGTGCAAAGACTCTTTAGTTTAATTAGGTCCCAGCTATTTATCTTTGTTTTTATTGCATTTGCTTTTGGGTTCTCGGTCATGAAATCCTTGCCCAAGCCAATGTCTAGAAGGGTTTTTCCAATGTTATCTTCTAGAGTTTTTATAGTTTTAGGTCTTAGGTTTAAGTCCTTAATCCATCTTGAGTTGATTTTTGTATAAGGTGAGAGATGAGGATTCAGTTTCATTCTCCTACATGTGGCTAGCCAGTTATCCCAGCATCATTTGTTGAATAGGGTGCCCTTTCCTCACTTTATGTTTTTGTTTGATTTGTCAAAGATCAGTTGGCTGTAAGTATTTAGGTTTATTTCTGGGTTCTTTATGCTGTTCCATTGGTCTATGTGCCTATTTTTATTCCAGTACCATGCTGTTTTGGTAACTATGGCCTTATAGTATAGTTTGAAATCAGGGCCAGGTGCAGTGGCTCATGCCTGTAATCCCAGCACTTTGGGAGGCCAAGGCGGGTGGATCATGAGGTCAGGAGTTCGAGACCAGCCTGGCCAACATGGTGAAACCCCATCTCTCTAAAAATACAAAAAAAAAAAAAAAAAATAGCCAGGCATTGTGGCAGGTGCCTGTAATCCCAGGCACTCAGGAGGCTGAGGCAGGAGAATCGCTTGAACCTGGGAGGCAGAGGTTGCACCGAGCTGAGACTGCACCACTGCACTCCAGGCTGGGCAACAGAGAGTGAGACACCGTCTCAAAAAATAAAGAAAGAAAGAAAGAGAGAGAGAGAGAGACAGAAAGAAAGAAAGAAAGAAAGAAAGAAAGAAAGAAAGAAAGAAAGAAAGAAAGAAAGAAAGAAAGAAAGAAAGAAAGAAAGAAAGAAATCAGGTAGTGTGATGCCTCCAGATGTGTTATTTTTGCTTAGTCTTGCTTTGGCTGTGTGGGCTCTTTTTTGGTTCCACATAAATTTTAGAATTGTTTTTTCTAATTCTGTGAAGAATGATGGCAGTATTTTGATTGGGGTTGCGTTGAATTTGTAGATTGCTTTGAGCAGTATGGTCATTTTCACAATATTGATTCTGCTCATCCATGAGCATGGGATGTGTTTCCGTCTGTTTGTGTCACCTATGATTTCTTTCAGCAGTGTTTTGTAGTTTTCCTTGTAGAGGTCTTTCAACTCCTTGGTAAGGTATATTCCTAAGTATTTTATTTATTTTTTTATTTTTGCAGCTATTGTGAAAGTTGTTGAGTTCTTGATTTGATTCTCTGCTTGGTCGCTGTTGATGTATAGAAGAGCTATTGATTTGTGTACATTAATTCTGTATCCAGAAATTTTGCTGAATTCTTTTATCAGTTCTAGGAGCTCTCCAGAGGAGTCTTTAGAGTTTTCAAGGTAAATGATCATATTGTCAGCAGTGACAGTTTGACTTCCTCTTTGCCAATTTGGATGCCCTTTATTTCTTTCTCTTGTCTGGTTGCTCTGGCTAGGACTTCCAGTACTATGTCGAAGGGGCTTGGTGAGAGTGGGCATCCTTGTCTTCTTCCAGATCTTAGACAGAATGCTTTCAACTTTTCCCATTCATTATGATGGTGGCTGTGGGTTTGTCATAGATGGCTTTTATTACATTAAAGTATGCCCCTTGTATTCCGATTTTGCTGAAGTTTTAATCATAAAGCGATGCTGGATTTTATCGAATGGTTTTTCTGCATCTATTGAGATGATCATGTGATTTTTGTTTTTAATTCTGTTTGAGTGGTGTATCACATTTATTGACTTGTGTATGTTAAACCATTCCTGCATCCCTGGTATGCAACTCACTTGATCATGGTGGATTATCTTTTCGATATGTTGTTGGATTCAGTTAGCTAGTATTTTGTTAAGGGTTTTAGCATCTATGTTCATCAGCAATATTGGTCTGTAGTTTTCTTTTTTGGTTATGTCCTTCCCTGGTTTTGGTATTAGGTGATGCTGGCTTCATAGGACAAATTAGGGAGGGTTCCTTCTTTCTCTTTCTTGTGGAATAGTGTCAAAAGGATTGGTATTAATTCTTCTTTGAATGTCTGGTAGAATTCTGATGTCAATCTGTCTGGTCCTGGACTTTCTTTTGTTGGTAACTTTTTAATTCCTATTTCAAACTTGCCACTTGTTATTGGTCTGTTTAGGGTATCTAATTCTTCCTGATTTAAGCTAGGAGGGTTGTATTTTTCCAGGAATTTATCCACCTTTTCTAGGTTTTCTATTTATGTGTATAAAGTTACTCATAGTAGCCTTGAATGATCTTTTGTATTTCAGTGGTGTCAGTTGTAATATCTCCTGTTTCATTTCTTAGTGAGGTTATTTGGATTTTCTTTCTTCTTTTCTTGGTTAATCTTGCTAATGGTCGGCACTCCCCACTGGCCGCAGCCTGACACGCCACGCGGCCCCCCAGTCTCCTGCCGCCCCTCCCCCAGGCATGGCACAGGGCCTCGCCTCACTATGGCAGCAGCACGGCACAGCATGCTCGACTTCACGCTCGGCGCCAAAGCTGATGGTGAGACTGTTCTAAAAGGCCTCCAGTCCATTTTCCAGGAGCAGGGGATGGCAGAGTCGGTGCACACCTGGCAGGACCATGGCTATTTAGCAACCTACACAAAAAAGAACGGCAGCTTTGCCAATTTGAGAATTTACCCACATGGATTGGTGTTGCTGGACCTTCAGAGTTATGATGGTGATGTGCAAGGCAAAGAAGAGATCGACAGTATTTTGAACAAAGTAGAAGAAAGAATGAAAGAATTGAGTCAGGACAGTACTGGGCGGGTGAAACGATTACCACCCATAGTGCGAGGAGGAGCCATTGACAGATACTGGCTCACCGCCGATGGGCGCCTGGTTGAATATGACATAGATGAAGTGGTATATGACGAAGATTAATCTTATCAAAATATAAAAATTCTACACTCGAAGCAGTTTGGAAATATTCTCATCGTTAGTGGGGATGTTAATTTGGCAGAGAGTGATTTGGCATATACCCGGGCCATCATGGGCAGTGGCGAAGAAGATTACACTGGCAAAGATGTACTCATTCTGGGAGGTGGAGATGGAGGCATATTGTGTGAAATAGTCAAACTAAAACCAAAGATGGTCACTATGGTAGAGATTGACGAAATGGTGATTGATGGGTGTAAGAAATACATGCAAAAAACGTATGGCGATGTCTTAGACAATCTTAAAGGAGACTGCTATCAGGTTCTAATAGAAGACTGTATTCCGGTACTCAAGAGGTACGCCAAAGAAGGGAGATAATTTGATTATGCGATTAATGATTTGACAGCTGTTCCAATCTCCACTTCTCCAGAAGAAGATTCCACATGGGAGTTTCTCAGACTGATTCTTGAACTCTCAATGAAAGTGTTGAAACAGGATGGGAAATATTTTACACAGGGGAACTGTGTCAGTCTGACCAAAGCACTGTCGCTCTGTGAAGAACAGCTGGGGCGCCTGTATTGTCCTGTGGAATTTTCAAAGGAGATTCTCTGTGTCCCTTCATACTTGGAATCGTGGGTATTTTACACTGTTTGGAAGAAAGCTAAACCCTGACGATCAATAGCCCCTAATCACATGTGCTGCAAATAGCCTTCCTGACCTCCATATGCTGTACATGACATCGAAATGAGTCAGGCAATTGATTGTGAATTCCTTAAAGTTTTCCTTTTTTTAATAATTATTTTTAATTTAAAAAAGCAAATGGAAAATGTATATTTTGATGAGCTTAGGGTGTTATTTTTTTGAAAGTCAGATGAAGGATGGTTAGACAGCACAGCGAAGACTGCTAAATGCACTGATCCCCCCATTAGAATGTGATTTTTATTCCTTTTTATTTCTCTGTGGGCTTTTGTTTTTGTTTTGGTAGACCTTCAATTTGGATATTTGGAGGAGTGAACATCATTGTTTTGCTGGAGGGAAGATCTTGATGGTGTTTCTTTTCCCAAAAATTGACTTAGATATTAAAATTTGGTGCTTATAAGAGAAAGTTAAAAAAATAGGATTACTTCAATTAAAATTACAAAAGAGACCAAAAAAATCTTGCTAATGGTCTATCAATCTTATTTATCTTTTCAAAGAACCTGCTTTTTGTTTCATTTATCTTTTGTATTTTTTTTGTTTCAATTTCATTTAGTTCTGTTCTGATCTTGGTTATTTCCTTTCTTCTGCTGGGGTTGGGTTTGGTTTGTTCTTGTTTCTGTAGGTCCTTGAAGTGTGACCTTAGAATGTCAGTGTGTGCTCTTTCAGTCTTTTTGATATAGGTGTTTAGGGTATGAACTTTCCTCTTAGCACTGCCTTTTCTGTGTCCGAGAGGTTTTGGTATGTTGTGTCATTATTGTCATTCAGTTTGAAGAATTTTTTAATTTCCATTTGATTTCGTTTTTGACCCAATGCTCATTCAAGAGCAAGTTATTTAATTTCCATGTATTTGCATGGTTTTGAAGGCTCCTTTGGATCTCCAGTTTTATTCCACTGTGATCTGAGAGAGTGCTTGATATAATTTGAATTTTCTTAAATTTATTTAGGCTTGTTTTATAGCCTATCACATGGTCTATCTTGGAGAAAGTTCCATGTGCTGTTGAATAGAATGTGTATTCTGCAGTTGTTGGATGGAATGTTCTATATATATCTGTTAAGTCCATTTGTTTCAAGGTATAGTTTAAATCCATTGTTTCTTTGTTGACTTCCTGTCCTGATGATCTGTTTAGTGCTGTCATTGGAGTATTGAATTTCCCCACTATTATTGTGTTGCTATTAGTAATTTTTTTATGAATTTGGGAGCTCCAGTGTTAGGTGTATATATGTTTAGGATTGTGATATTTTCCTGCTGGACAAGGCCTTTTACCATTATATGATGTCCTTCTTTGTCTCTTTTAACTGCTGTTGCTTTAAAGTTTGTTTGTCTGGTATAAGAATAGCTACCCCTGCTTGCTTTTTGTGTCCATTTGCATGCAATGCCTTTTTCCACCCCTTTACTTTAAGTTTATGTGAGTCCTTATGTGTTAGGTGAGTCTCTTGAAGGCAGCAGATGGTTGGTGAGTTCTTATCCATTCTGCAGTTCTGTATCTTTTAAGTGGAGCATTTAGGCCATTTACCTTCAATGTTAGAATTGAAATGTGAGGTACCATTGCATTCATCGTGCTGTTTGTTTCCTGTGTACTTTGTTTTTTTTTGTTTTTTGTTTTTGCTTTTTAACTTGTATTTTTGTTTTATAGGTTCTATGTGATTTATGCTTTACACAGGTTCCATTTTGATGTGTTTCCAGGATTTGTTTCAAAATTTAAGAGTTCCTTTTAGCAGTTCTTGTAGTGGTGGTTTGGTAATGGTGAATTCTCTCAGCATTTGTTTGTCTGAAAAAGACTGTATCTTTCCTTTACATGTGATGCTTAGTTTTGCTGGATACAAAATTCTTTGCTGATAATTGTTTTGCTTGAGGAGGCTGAAGATAGGGCCCTAATCCTTTCTAGCTTATAGGATTTCTGCTGAGAAATCTGCTGTTAATCTGATAGGTTTTCCTTTGTAGGTTACCTGGTGCTTCTGTCTCACAGCTCTTAAGATTATTTCCTTCATCTTAACTTTGAATAACCTGATGACAATGTGCCTAGGCAATGATGATCTTTTTGTGATGAATTTCCCAGGGGTTCTTTGTGCTTCTTGTATTTGGATGTCTGGGTCTCTAGCAAGGCCGGGGAAGTTTTCCTTGATTATTCCCCCAAATATGTTTTCCAAGCTTTTGGAATTCTCTCCTTCCTCAGGAACACCAATTATTCTTAGGTTTGGTTGTTTAACATAATCCCAGAATTCTTGGAGAATTTGTTCATATTTTCTTTTTCTTTTTTCTTTGTCTTTGATGGATTGGGTTAATTTGAATACCTTGTCTTTGAGCTGTGAATTTTTCTTCTATTTCTTCAATTCTATTGCTGAGACTTTCCAGAGCATTTTGCATTTCTAAAATTGTGTCCAAAGTTTCCTGAATTTTTTATTGCTTTTTCTTTAAGCTATCTATTTCCTTGAATATTTCTCCCTTCACTTCTTGTATCGTTTTTTGGATTACCTTGCATTGCACTTCACCTTTCTCTGGTGCCTCCCTGATTAGCTTAATAACTAACCTCCTGAATTCTTTTTCAGGTAAATCGGGTATTTCTCTTGGTTTGAATCCATTGCTGGTGAACTAATGTGATTTTCTGGGGGTGTTAAAGAGCCTTGTTTTGTCATATTACCAGACTTGGTTTTCTGGTTCCTTCTCATTTGGGTAGGCTCTGTCAGAGGGAAGGTCTAGGGCTGAAGGCTGTTCATATTCTTTTGTCCCATGGGGTGTTCCCTTGATGCAGTACTCTCCCCCTTTTCCAAGGGATGTGGCTTCCTGTGAGCTGACCTGCAGTGATTGTTGTCTCTCTTCTGGGTCTAGCCATCCAGTGAGTCTACCCAGCTCCAGGCTGGTACTGGGGGTTGCCTGCACACAGTCCTGTGATGTGAACCGTCTATGGGTCTCTCAGCCATGGATACCAGTGCCTGTTCTGGTGGAGGTGGCAGGGGGGTGCAATGGGCTCCATGAGGGTTAGCTTTGGTTTTTTTTTTTTTTTTTTTTTTTGAGACCCAAGGTGGAGGCAGTGGTGCGATCCCAGCTCACTGCAACCTCTGCCTCTCGGGTTCAAGCGATTGTCCCTGCCTCAGCCTCCTGAGTAGCTGGGATTATAGGTGCCCACTGCCACATCTGGCTAATTTTTGTAGTTTTAGTAGAGATGGGGTTTTGCCATGTTGGCCAGGCTGGTCTCGAACTCCTGACCTCAGGTGATCCACCCATCTTGGTCTCCCAAAGTGCTGAGATTACAGGCATGAGCCACGCACCCAGCTACTTTGGTGGTTTAATGCTCTATTTTTGTGCTGTTTGACCTCCTGCCAGGAGGTGGCACTTTCCAGAAAGCATCAGCTGTGGTAGTATGGAGAGGTACTGGTGGTGGGTAAGGCCCTAGAACTCCCAAGAGTATAAGCCCTTTGTCTTCAGCCACCAGTGTGTGTAGGGAAGAACCATCAGGTGGGGGCAGGGGTAGGCGTGTCTGAGCTCAGACTCTCCTTGGGTGGGTCTTGCTGCTGTTAGGGATGGGGGTGAGATTCCCAGGTCACTGAAGTTGTGTGCCTAGGAGGATTATGGCTGCCTGTGCTGAGTCATGCAGGTTGTCAGGGACATGGGGGAAAGCCAGCAGTTATAGGCCTCACCCAGCAGTTATAGGCCTCACCCAGCTCCCACGCAAATTGAAGAGTCGGTCTCACTCCCACCGTGCCCCACCCAACAGCCCTGAATCTGTTACCAGGTGGTGGTGGCCGAGATGGGCATGAAAACTTGCCCCAGGCTACCCACCTCCCAGCTGTGAAAGAAAAGAGCTTGGTTCTTCCCCACCTGTGGAGTCTGCATACCAGATTTGCGCCTTGCCCCAAGTTCTGGCCAAGAGGCTTCTCACCCCGCTCAAATTGTTACAAAGTTCAGCTAGAGCTTTCCTTCTCCCAGTGGAGTTTTACCCCTTGCTCCTCTGGCCACTCTTCGATGGATCCCTGTGGTGCCAGGTGGGAATGGGCTGCCTGGAGACCCAGCAAGCTCCCAGGACCTTTCTGCTGCTTCCTCTACCCCTGTATTTCACTTGGCTCTCTAAATTGACTCAGCTCCAGGCAAGGTCAGAAACGTCTCCCACAAACAGACCTTCAGCTTCTCCAGTGGGATTGTGTGTTCTGGAGACAAGGGTCTCCCTTTCCCACCTCCACCGTTAGGGCACTCACAGAATATATTTGGGGTGTCTCCTGGGTCCTGCAGGAGCAGCCCGCTTCCTTCAGAGGTCTGTGGGTCCTTTCAGGATTGCTGGTTTGTTCTTGCAGTTGATCTGGAGCTTAAATTCACAATGTGAGCCTCCGCACGCTGCTGTGTCCAGAGCTGCAAACTAGTCTTGCCTCCCATGTACCATGATGATCCTTCTCCCCTGCTACACACTTTTAAACAACCAGGTCCCATGAGAACTCACTCACTATCACAAGAACAGCAAGGGGGAAGTCTACCCGTATGATCCAATTACCTCCTACCAAGCCTCTCTTCCAACATTGGGGATTACAATTCAACATTAGATTTGGGCAGGGACACAAATCCAAACCATATCAATTAGCTTGACCTCTCCCAGCCTCGTCTTCCTCAAACACCTCCCACCTTTGTCAATCATCACTTGCCCTCTGCACTTCAAGGTGGAACTTTTTACTAGCTTTCTTATATTGATATTAGAAATCTTAGGAGAGTCCAAATCTTTTAGTATTTTGAAAAATGGTGCATTTTATCTAATAACTAAAAGAATTTAATACAACACATTTTATAGCAACTTGAAGTTTTAAAGATTCTTCTCATATTTTCTAAATTAAAACAAATAGCAGGCCAGGTGCGGTGGCTCACTCCTGTAATCCCAGCACTTTGGGAGGCTGAGGCGGGTGGATCACCTGAGGTCAGGAGTTCAAGGCCAGCCTGGCCAACATGGTGAAACCCCATCTCTACTAAAAAATACAAAAATTAGCTGGGCACGGTGGCGGGCGCCTGTAATCCCAGCTTCTCAGAAGGCTGAGGCAGGAGAATCACTTGAACCCAGGAGGTGGAGGTTACAGTGAGCCGAGATCGTGCCATTGGACTCCTGCCTGGGTGACAGAGCAAGACCTTGTCTCAAAAAAAATAAAAAAAAAAAGGCATTATAGGTGTTTTTTGAATGACTTTGAATAGGATTAATTATTCTGTATCACTTAAAAGGCCTAATTGGCCTAGTTCTAGTATCCTGAGCCCAATTCCAGAATGCTGAGCTACATAAACTATTATGAGAGGGGGTTGTTTGAGAAGGAAACACAACCACCTTCTGGGTGGTGAGCAAGGATCAGGCTGTATACAGCTGAAGGAAGTTCAGTCTAGCAGGCCTAACATAGTACACATGTATATTACATATTATATTATATTATATTATATACATAAATTATATACATATAAGTTATTGCAGTAAGTAATAGGTGTTAACTCTCACATATGGGGCTCATAGCTCATAGGGAAAGGAGATCCACTGTAAAGTAACAAGAGCAGTGTATTTTATGTAGGCAGACATGGCAAGAAGGAATCCAAGAGCAGTAACTATTTAAACTATTGTTGATCAACAGGAAGTTGGCATATGGAAGAATGTCTGTAGGTAGTAGGGCTTCATTTCTCTTGAGAGAGACAATGGCAAGAGTTTAGGAGAGCAAATCTTAGAGGGATTTTGTGTATAAATAATCAAAATAAGGATCCAGTTACCCAAATTACAAGAAAGGGGAGGACAAGGTCTTAAAGCCTGCCCAGTCATTGCTCTGGAGGTCAATGTCCCAGTAATAGCAATTTGAATACTGTAACACTTTTCTATTGTTGTCTAAGAAATTACCACAAACGTAGTGGCTTAGCACAGCACACATTTATTAGTTCACAGTTTCTTTTCCACAGGTCAGAAGACTGGGAATCAGTTAGTAGGGTCTTCTGCTCAGGGTCTCACTAGGCTGAAATCAAAGTGTTGGGCAGGGCTGGGACCTCACCTGAGGTTTGGAGTCCTCTGTGTTGAACCTCATTTAGTTGGCTGGCAGAATTCACAGTCTTAAGGGGGTAGGAATGAGGTCCTTGTTTTCTTGTTGGCTGTCAGCTACAGATCATTTTCAGCTCCTACAGGCCACCCTCAGGTCTCAGCCAATGGTGCTTTCACAAGATGGCAGTTTACCTCTTCAAAGCCAGCAGGAGAATCTGCCTCCAGTAGGCTACAGCAGAGTCTTATAAAAGGTAATACGATCCCTGGAGTGACTATCCCATCACCTTTGCCATGTAATGTAGCCTAATCAAGGAAATGACGGTCCTCACAAGACTAGTAACTACAGAGTGGAGTGCTGCTGCAGACAAATTCACGGTCTCCACAACTGTATCAGCCAGCGAGAAAAACCAGCAGTGGGAAGGTAGCCTTCCCTCACATTCCCTTTCAAATCACAATAAGTGCATCTAATTGGCAGAACTTAATTTGCATGCATAACTCACTAGAAATGTAATTTGTGGCATTCTAACCCCTTCAGAATGAAAATGCTCCCCAAAAGGTTAGAATGGAGAACAAAGCCAGATGTGTAGAAGGGAAGTGTTCTGCATGCCAGCCATGACATCTACATAAGGGATAAAGGGTTGCTGCAGTGACAGGATGACCAGACATGGTCATTGTATTACGGTGCTCCAGAGAAACAGAACCAATAGGATATATAGAATCTATAAGAGATGCTTTGTTATAGGAATTGGCTCACAAGATTATAGAAGCCAAGAAGTACCACATATGCCATTTGTAAGCTGGAGAACTGGAGAAACTGGTGATGTAATTCTTTCTGAGTTTGAAGGCCTGAAAAGCGGGGAGGCCACTGGCGCAAGTCCCAGAGTCTAGAGGCCTGAGGACCTAGAGCTCTGATGTCTGAGGGCAGGAGAAGATGGATGTCCCAGCTCCAGAAGAGGCAGCAAATTCATTCTTTTTCTCCCTTTTTGTTCTTTCCAGGCCCTCGACAGTTGGATGATACATGCCCACAACAGTGAGGGCAATCTTCTTAACTCAGCCTAGTGATTCAAATGCTAATTGCTTCAGGAAACACCCTCATAGACACAGCCAGAAGTAATGTTTTACCCACTGTCTGGGCAATCCTTAACTCAGTCAAGTTGATACCTAAAATTAACCATCACAGCCAGGATTAATTAGCTGGAACAGCATTAAATGTATGACACGAGTCATACTTTTTTTTCTTTTTTAAAGTAGAGAAAGGCACTTTATGTATCTAATTTATACCTATCCTTATTCCAGAAAGGACTGAAAGAGGAGAGAAGAGCTATGTGTTGGTAGAGAAAGAAAGGGGGCATTCTAGTCAGCATTAGTCTATATAAAACTGGGCAATAAAAATATTTGGATTGTTTTGCCTAGGTGAAACATTTAGTATGTAGGTATGGAGGATGATAGAAGGCTGTGACTCATATAATCAAGGGCTCAGGTTTGATATGAGACAATCTACTCAGAAATCCTGACATTTCTGAGCAGCAGAATTAAAATGAGGGATAACTATCAAAACAAAATCTCATGTAAGCACTTTTAAAAATAAGGAATCTAGCCGAGTCACTGACTTCAGGATGAGACAAAATATGAAAGTCTTCTGACAAAGAATCCAAATTTTATATCCCATTAAAGTTTCAGATGCCAGTTTGAATACAGTGACCTCTTGTGCTAAGGAAAATACAATGTTTTAAGATAATGGTTACAGGCCACAGTCTATAACATCTCAGTTTATAAATCCAGATTTTTCCAAAGGAGCTATGAAAAGACAAGTCCTGCAAAAACACATTCCTAGTTTCTTCCTTGTGCATGTTTTCAACTTCCAATATTATAAGCTGCTTCTAAAAGCTCTTTTGTTTTTCATCCCTTGTCACACCTGCATCAATAACAAACTCCATTCTCAATCTGTCCACGATTCCTTTTTACAAGCAAGAGCTAATTAGGAGTATTTGTGGCTTCTAGGCATCAGACAAGATTCTATTTGGTAAAACTTAGTTAGAAATACACGGCCTAAATATATATAAACCTTATTCCAAAATAATATAGGATGTTACAGAATTTTAAGTAATGTTCATAAGTTATTGAGTAACCTTCATATTCATTAACCAATGCTATGTAAGGCACTAATAAATTATAGGCTCAAATCCTAATCTCTATGGAGGTATTCTTCAAAGGAAGAGGAGTGGATATTGAAGATGCTTTAGGGATTATTTAAATCTTTTTTTTTTTTTTTTTTTTTTTGAGACGGAGTCTAGCTCTGTCACCCAGGCTAAAGTGCAGTGGGGCGATTTCGGCTCACTGCAACCACCACCTCCTGGGTTTAAGGATTCTCCTGCTTCAACCTCCTGAGTAGCTGGGATTACAGGCACACGCCACTATGCCTGGCTAATTTTTGTATTTTTAGTAGAGATGGGGTTTCACCATGTTGATCAGGCTGGTCTCGAACTTCTGACTTCATGATCCGCCCGCCTCAGCCTCCCAAAGTGCTGGGATTACAGGCATGAGCCACCGCACCCGGCCTGGGATTATTTAAATCTTATTTTTACATTTTTGCAACACATTTTATATATTTTACACATCTATATTGTATGCCCCAATGAAACTGATTCTCAACTAGATGATAGTAGTGGACAAGCAACATTTGTATCTGTCTAAAATCTTTTGAACACCATCTCTATATCTGACACTTCCTCTGTGTGAAGTCTGCCTTACCCACAGAGTTCAGTAAAACCACACCTCCCGGCCTCCACTGGAGTGCAAGCATGTGACTTCAGTGTTCATCACACGGATTTATCAGTGTGATATATCCGCACAAGACAGTCATTCAGAAATGGGTTAAACGTGGTGAAAAGGATGTCACTGGGACACAGGAGTTCTGGGGCCCCTGTGGTGGTGGTTGCACACACAACCACACACTATATAGGTTCCTGCCTATAGAGGTAAAACTAGCTCACATTATAGGCAACAGCTACCTTCTTCTCCAGCCAGTGCTGTAGTGGGGTGTGGTTCTGCTAGCTGTTCCAAAGATTCTTATTTAGTATCACCATTCCTACTTAAATCAGCTCAGCAGTTCTTGGAAATGTGGTTGGAGGACCCTCAGCTCTACCAAACTCTTCCAGTGGATCTGTGAGATCTTCCCTTTTCCAAGTACATAACTATGTGAAGCCAGCTTTTCTTCATCATACCTCAGTCAAAATACCACAGCAGATCGAATGCAGAAGACGCTATGAGAACACAGCTGCCTTCTATTAAGTTAGACCTTGAAGAGAATAAAACAATGCCACTCTTTGCAATTTCTTTTTTTTTGTTTTGGAGAAGTCATGATTCAAAACATTTCATTTTATGTTAACATGTAATAGGTTTGCTACCGGCTTATTTTTAATGAGTTAAGTATGTTAAATATTACTTAGCTTTAATTCCTAATACAGTAAGTGTGGATAGATATCGTACATAAAACAATGTTCTTTGGGGTCCTAAACAATTTAGGGACTTCAAAAGCTTCTAAGAGTAAAGGGTCCCAAAACCAAAAAGTTTAATCACCACCACAATAGATTATGTCGTCTTCATCTAAAAACCTTGCATAGAAACAGCTACATTTTTCTTTAATTTGCCACCTAGACTTGGCTGATTATAAGACAGAAGTTGCTTTAGAGACAATAGATATTTCCTCCATAAAGAGAAGAAGGGGGAGAGGGAGAAGCAGAAAGCAATATATGTTACTTTAGAACCAATGGTCAATAGGAGTATCGTGGAGAGGTATCTGTTTCTACAAATAAAAGATATTTTATTTTT
This sequence comes from Homo sapiens, assembly GCF_000001405.40. Taxonomy (NCBI): domain Eukaryota; kingdom Metazoa; phylum Chordata; class Mammalia; order Primates; family Hominidae; genus Homo; species Homo sapiens. The sequence continues at coordinate 70,598,397 of NC_000006.12, read as the reverse complement.
CCTTTATTTTTATTTTTTTCAGACAGAGTCTCACTGTGTTGCCCACGCTGGAGTGCAGTGGCTCCACCTCAGCTCACTGCAACCTCTGCCTCCTGGGTTCAAGCAATTCTCCTGCTTCGGCCTCCCAAGTAGTTGGGGTTACAGGTGCCCGCCAGCATGCCTGGCTACTTTTTTTGTAGTTTTAGTAGAACAGGGTTTCACCATATTAGCCAGGCTGGTCTCAAACTCCTGACTTCAAGGGATCCACCCACCTCGGCCTTCCAAAATGCTGGGATTACAGTTATGAGCCACGACATCCGGCCTGCAAATGAAAGATCTTAAAGAAGACAGAACAAAGTGCCCACAGGACAATGAATTAATATTGAATACTTGTTAATCATAAATATTTCTTAATTTCACACATGCCCTCATATTCATTGTTAGTTCGATAATCTTTTGTAATTCATTTATAGCAACCAGTCTTCGGGAAGTTGACAGCAGCTTAGTTCCAGAGGTTGTGGCCACCAAAAATGCTCTTCTTGGACCAGGAAGGGCTTAAAAATTTTTATATAACCAGGAATCTTAGTTTTATCACTCTGCTCACTCCATATCTTCTTGATCAATGTCCATGGAGGCTTATATATGGCAAAGTCAGAACACATTTGATTATAAAATGAATATTTAATTAATAAATATCCCACAGAGCCTGTTTAGATTTTAAAAGCTGAAAATCCAGGTCTCTGAAGAGTCATCTAGTACCAAAAGTTCAGAAAGTGATAGTCTCATTAAACTTAGGAAGTTCCCTTTGGTTTGTTTGGCGTGAAGTATAGTCACCTGCCATCCTTTATAAAGTCTTCAGTCAGTTGTCTTCTGGAACTGTTTGCATGCACACATCAAAACACATCAGACTTTATGCTAAGATGGCAGGGGATCTGTTTCATTAATCACCAAATAGAAAGAGCCTAGCAGTGGCCTGATGCGGTGCCTCATGCCTGTAATCCCAGCATTTTGGGAGGCTGAAGCAGGCAGATCACTGGAGGTCAGACATTTGAGACCAGCCTGGCCAACATGGTGAAACCCTGTCTCTACTAAAAATACAAAAAAAAAAAAAAAAAAAAATTAGCCAGGCGTGGTGGCAGGTGCCTGTAATCTCAACTATTTGGGAGGCTGAGGCAGGAGAATCTTTTGAAACCAGAGGCAGAGGTTGCAGTGAGCCGAGATCACACTACTGCACTTCAGCCTGGGTGACAGAGCGAGGCTCACTCTCAAAAAACAAACAAACAAAAAACACCAAAACAGAGCCTCGCAGAATATCCAGCACGTAGTAGGCAATCACCACTGATTAAATAAATGAATCAATTCAGTGAATGAATGAACTCATTAGGCACTCTTCATTTTACTTTCCCTTCTAATTGATCAATCAGCACTCATTAATATCTCACTGCCATTCTTATCTTTTATTTAGAAAAATTACTGTCCTGTTCTGAAATTATCAAATTACTAATATACTATCATTAACAATTGCTATGACAAAGTTTTCTCACTGCAAACTATCCAATGAACATTTGTTATTTACTAGCAGAATGTGGCTTTATGCTTGCTCTTACAAGTTTAATAATAGGTAATATATATATTTTGACACATTGTAGATCTCAGCAACTGGGACCTAGTAGACATAATTCAATCTAACCAAACACTCATTATGTACAACACTCCATGGCATGAGCCTTGTACATAAAAGATCAACATACAAATTCCCAGAAATCCCTCAAGCGATATAAAAGTGTTTAAACTATGATTACACTAAAAAAATAACAAGCATTGTATGACATTTTCTGAAAAACTGTAGGTTGTTTTTAAAAAGTTATCCATGTTAATCTAGGTTCTCTACAAAACAGATGGCAAGATGGCATTAAGTCTGAAAGAGATTTATTAGAGGAGATATCTGTGAATTATGAAGGAGGGGAGTAGGTAGGGTTTGACACCTGTGAAGGAGAGAGTGAAGGAAAGGAGAATGGGGTAGGAAGAATCTCAGACAGTAGCATGTTTCTAAGAAAATTCTGGGCAATCTAATGGGAAATCCTTGAGCCAATGTTGCCCATCAGGGGACTGGGTCAGTGTTAATAGTCCTGCCATTCTCACTCATTGGCTGGGAACAGCAGGAATACAGTGGTAGATCCCATGGGGTAGCAGCTAGGGTTCTGTCAACTCTGCTTCTCACAGGAGGAGATCTGGGTGATGCATTTCCATGGCTACCGCATCATCTTTTGTAGGTACCAAATTGATAGTCTTCAAATTTTTCATGAATGTTTGATAGACATACAGACCACAAGTGTTTTCATGTCACCAAATTTTACCTATATATTTGATACTGTAATGAAACATGTTACTACTAACAGAGGTTAAGAGTTATCTTAATACAACACTTTGGTTGTTATATATTTTAGATTAGCTTTTGAAGTATATAAGTTGTCTTTTTTCTATTGCACATCATGATAGTTAGTGTAGAACACAAGCAAAACTATACAACGAAAATTTAACATACTATTTTTCTTTTTTTCTTTTCTTTTTTTTTTTTTTTTTGAGATAGAGTCTTGTTCTGTCGCCCAGGTTGGAGTGCAGTGGCGTGATCTCAGCTCACTGCAACCTCCGCCTCCCGGGTTCAAGCGATTCTCCTGCATCAGCCTCCCGAGTATGTGGGATTACGGGCGTGCGCCACCGCGCCCAGCTATTTGTCTCAAACTCCTGACCTCAGGTGATCCACCTGCCTCAGCCTCCCAAAGTGCTGGGATTACAGGCATGAGCCACCAAGTCCAGCCTAACATACTATTTTTTGAATGTTAACTTAGTAAAAAACTTTACTAACTTGGGCAGTTGGAGGTTGACTGAATTATAGAATATTTCTAAAGAAATGTAGTTATTACTTTGTAGCACACATAGTAATTGCAACTAGAAGAATGAATGTTGACTGAGAGAGAAAACTGATATAAGGACCAAATGACTAGTCCTAATTACACACTAGTTAATTTGTTTCTGGGATAATAATTCTTATTCTCTTAAATGAGTCTCCGTACAATCTTCTCAAGTAATATTGCACTTGTAATTCATATCACACAGTTATCAGCCTACTGGATTCTGTCTTCTATAGGTTTTGCAAAACCTTTCTTCCTAAGTAATTCAAGAGTAGCCTGGGAGCTGAAGGCCCAACCTCTGAGAGTGAGTGAGGCCAGAGGAGATGCAGCAAAGGATACCTTAGGGGAGCCCAGCAGTTCCTGTCCTTCCATTATTCCAGATCTGTACACTGGACTTGACTTTTCCTGACCCACTTATCAAAATGCCACAGGGTACGAGGTTTTGAGTCATCAAAACTGACTGAGCTAGTCCATTTTATCCTGTTTTTCTCATATTTACCCTCTATACCTACTGTCTTAGTCCATTTTCTGTTGCTTATAAAAGAATAGCTGAAACTAGGTAATTTATTAAAAAATGATTTTTTTTTTTTTTCTGAGATGGAGTTTCACTCTTTTCACCCAGGCTGGAGTGCAATGGTGTGATCTAGGCTCACTGCAACCTCCGCCTCCCGGGTTCAAGTGATTCTCCTGCTTCAGCCTCCCGAGTAGCTGGGATTACAGGTGTGCACCACCACATCTGGCTAATTTTGTATTTTTCATAGAGATGGGGTTCCACCATGTTGTTCAGGCTGGTCTTGAACTTCTGGCCTCAGGTGATATACCCGCCTTGGCCTCCCAAAGTGCTGGGATTATGGGCGTGAGCCATTGCACCCGGCTGAAAAATGGTATTTATTTCTTATGGTTCTGGAGGCTGGGAAGTCCAAGTTCAAGGATGACATGTGGGCCAAGTTCATGGGGTCTCGCTGGTGGAGACTAGACTCTCTATAGAGTCCTGAGGCATCACAGGGTATGAAAAGGTGAGGTGGCCAAATGTGCTAGCTCAGGTGTTTCTACTCTTATAAAGCCACTAATGCCTCACCCTTATGACCTCATTACATCCTAATTACCTCCCAGAGATCCTACCTGTCAAATAGCATAGTTGGATTTCCCATCTCATTAATACTGTTACAATGGGGATAAAGTTTAACACGAGTTTTGGAGGAGACAAACATTCAAACTATAGCATTCTGGCACTGGCACTGGCCTTCCAAAACTAATGTCCTTATCACATACAAATACATTTATTCTATCTTCATAGCCCCAAGGTCTTAACTTATTCCAGCAACAACTCAAAAGTCCAAAGTCTTATCTGTGATCCTGCGAAAACAATTTATCTACTTCCAAGATACAACGGTAGGACAGGCATAGGATACACATTTCCATTCCAAAAGGGAAAAATAGGAGAGCAAAATGGAGTAATCGGCCCCTAACAAGTCAGAAACCCAGCAGGGAAGACATTAAATCTTGAAGCTCAGCCAGGCGCAGTGTCTCACACCTGTAATTCCAGCACTTTGGGAGGCTGAGGTGGGAGGATCCCTTGAGGTCAGGAGTTCAAGACCAGCCTGGCCAACATGGTGAAACCCTGTCTCTATTAAAAATACAAAAAAAATTAGCCAGGCACGGTGGAAGGTGCCTGTAATTCCAGCTACTCAGGAGGCTGAGGCAGGAGAATCACTTGAACCCAGGAGCAGAGGTTGCAGTGAGCCAGGATCATGCCACTGCATTCCAGCCAGAGTGACAGAATGAAGAATGAGACTCCATCACACACACACACAAAAAAAAACCCTTGAAGCTGGAAAATAATCTCTTTTGACTCCATGCTGGCATCCTGTGAACACTGAGGTAGGGAGTGGGTCTCCAAAACATTGGGCAATCTCATGCCTATGGCTTTGCTTGCTGTAGTCCACATGGCTACTCTCACAGGTTGGAGTCAGGTGCCTGCAGCTTTTCCAGGCTGGTGTTGCATACTGGTAGCTCTACAGTTCTGAGGTCCCAGGGTGGTCCTGCCCCTGCGGCTCCAGAGTGCACTGCTCTGTTGGGAACTTTCTGCAGCAGCTCTGGTCCCACATTTCCACTCAGCATTGCCCTAGCAGAGGGGTTCTCTGCAGTGGTTGTGCCCTTGCAGTAAGTCTCTGCGTGGGCCCACAAGCTGTCTGATACATCCTTTGAAATCTAGGTGGAAGCTGCTATGCCTCACAGCTCTTGCTGTGTGCCTGCAGAATAAGCAGCATGTGCAGGTCGCCAAGGCTCACTGCTTGTGCCCTCTGGAGTGGGGGCATGAGCAGCATCTGAGACCACTTGCATCACTGGACAGTGCTGCCAAGATTTACAACTTGGACCTTTTGGAGTGGCAGGTCGAGCCACACTGGGGACCACCTGAGCTAGAGCTGCTTGAGCAGCCAGAATGCCCAGGAGTAGAGGTCCAAGGCAGCCCGGGGCAGCAAGCCCTTAGAGAGTGCCCTGGGCCTGTCCCTTTAAACCATTCTGCCATTTTAGGCCTCTGGGCCTGTGATGGGAGGGGCAGCTTCAAAGATTTCTGAAATGCCTTTGGGATCTTTCTCCCATTGTCCTGATGAATCTCTGGCTCCTTTCTAGCCATATTAATCTCTTTAGCAAACAGTGCCTTGGTCATACGCTTGGTTTCCTCTGCTGAAAAAACTCTTTCATTCTCTACCACATGTCTAGGCTTAGAATTTCCCAAATCTTTCTGCTTTGCTTCCCTTTTGATTATGATTTCTGTCTTTAAGTAACTTATTCCTTTTTGCAGTTCAATGTAAGTGGTTAAAAGTAGCCATGCAATAGCCTAAATGCTTTGCTGCTTAGATATTTCTTCCGTCAAATATTCTAATTCATCATTCTTAAGTTCAGCATTCCTTGGAATTGGTAGCTGGGAGTAGGGTGTTGCTATAAAACACCCAGCCTTGGGCCTGGACACAATCCAGCCAAATTCTTTGCCACTTTCTAAGAAAGGCTTTTACTCCAGTTTCCAACACTTTGATCTTCAGTTCCATCTGAAACCTCATCAGAATGGCCTTTACTGTCCATATTTCTATCAGCATTCTGGTCACGACCACTTAAGTAATCTCTAGGAAGTTCTAAACTTTCCCTAGTCTTCTTGTCTTCTAATCCCTAATCAGAATCTAGGCTTTTTCCACCCTGCTCCTCCAAACTCTTCCAATCTTTGCCCATTATCCAGTTCCCATGCGGCTTCCACATTTTCAGGTAACTTTATACCAACACCTCACTCCCAGTGCCAGTTTTCTTAGCCCAAGTTGCTATAACTAAATACCTGATACTGGGTAATTTTGAAAGAAAAGACGTTTATTTCTTATGGTTTTGGAGGCTAGAAAGTCCAAGGTCAAGGGGCACATCTGGCCAGGGCCTTGAAGCTAGTGAAAGCTCTCTGCAGAGTCCTGAGGCAGCGCAGGGCATCACATGGCAAGTTGGCTGAGTGGGCTCAGATGCTAACATGCCAGCTTAAGTCTCTCTTCCTCTTCTCATAAAGCACCAGCTCCACTTCCATGATAACCCATTTGTCCATTAACCCATAAATGAATTAATCTTCATGAGGGCTCTGCCCTCGTAAAGGCCAATCACCTCTTAAAGGTCCCACCTCTCACTACTGAGACATTGGGGATTAAGTTTCAACATAAGTTTTGGAGGCGACAAATTTTCCAACCATAGCACCTCTGTGAATTTTATGTTCCACAAACTAATGTATATACTTCAGTTCACTCATGTAAATAATCACTATTTTCAACTAATGACATTTTAAATGTTGTACTCATATAAAACAATTTCAAGTATTTCAAATTTCATTTTTAAAAATCTTTCCTCCCACTGGCCGGGCGCGGTGGCTCACACCTGGCCCAGCACTTTGGGAGGCTGAGGCGGGCAGATCACGAGATCAGGAGATCGAGACTATCCTGGCTAACACGATGAAACCCCGTCTCTACAAAAATACAAAAATTAGCTGGGCGTGGTGGCGAGTGCCTGTAGTCCCAGCTACTCGGGAGGGTGAGGCAGGAGAATCGCTTGAACCAGGGAGTCAGAGGTTGCAGTGAGTGGAGATTGTGCCACTGTAGTCCAGCCTGGGGACAGAGCAAAAAAAAAAAAAAAAAAAAAAAAAAAAATCTTTCCTCTCACAACGCCTAGAGACTTGGAAAAATACATTCATAATTTAAAGAGAGTTAACACTTACTGAGAAGTATGTACTATACTACACACTGCTCTAAGTGGCTAACATGTTGTGTTGGCTAATTTTATGTGTCAACTTGAGTAGGCCACAGGGTACCAGTTTAAACATTGTTTCTGGATGTGTCTGTAGGGGTGTTTCTGAATGAGATTAGCATTGGAACTGGTGAACTCAGTAGACTGTCCTTCCCAATGTATTCGGGCATTATCTAATACACTGAAGGCCTGAATAGGACAAAAGGTAGAGGGAAGAATTCACTCCTTTTTTCTTGCCTCACTGCTTGAGCTAGGACATCTCTTCTCATCTTCTTTGCCCTCAGACTGGATTTATATCATAATTCCCCTGCTTCTCAGGCCTTTGGACTCAGACTGATTCACACCACTGGCTTTTTTGGGTCTTCAGGTGTTCAGCTTGCAGATGGCATTATCATGGGACTTCTCAGCCTCTAGAACTGCATGAACCAATTCCACATAATCTCTCTCTCTCCTATTGAAGAGCCCTGACTAATACATGTTATTTATTCATTTAATCTTCTCAACTTCCCTGTGAAGTGAAAGTGAGACAGGAATAATATAGGGTGATCACAGAAGAGCAGAAAATTCCAGGCAGCAGTTTTACATGATTAGCAAAAAGGAAATTGTTGAAATGGCTGCATAACCTAGGGGCTGATAAGATCCTGAAAAACCAGGGTGTGAGTCAAGTTGGCTAAGACTGACTGGACCCAGCATGGCACTGGATATGACCTAGGTTTCACCTAGGACCTCATTATATGCTCATTAACATACTAAAGCACACACAGACAGTGCCATGACTATTCTGGGAACACCTGTATTTGGTGTAAAAGTTGGTGGCACCACAATTCCAAGAAATCTTCACCTTTTTCCAGGAATCTTCATGAATATTCCACCTCTTGGTTATAGAAACCCATAAAGGTAGAAGCCCTAAACTCCACTGAGTCACTCTCTCTTGAGTATGCCCACACTCCCCTTTCTTGAATGTGTGCTTTTCTTTTCTTTGCTTTTTATTTTTTTTTTTGAGACAGGGTCTTGCTCTGTCACCCAGGCTGGAGTGCAGTGGCACAATCTTGGCTCACTACAACCTCTGCCTCCCCGGTTCAAGTGATTCTCCTGCCTCAGCCTCCCAAGTAGCTGGGATTACAGGCCTGCACCACCACGCCCAGCTAGTTTTTGTATTTTTAGTAGAGACGGGGTTTTGCCATGTTGGCCAGGCTGGTCTCGAACTCCTGACCTCAAGTGATTGACCCGCCTTGGTCTCTCAAAGTGCTGGGATTACAGGCATCGAATATGTACTTTTTACTTTGCAATAAATCTCAGTACTTTCCCTATTTTCTGACTTGTCTTTGAATTTCTTCTCATGATGGTATCAAGAGCCTGGACATCAGCTGGAATTAAGGTCCCACCAGTGTTTGGGGACCTCCTGCAGCCCACCAGTATCAAAAGTATTATTATCTCCAACTTACACATAAGGATATTGAAGCACAGAGAAGTTAAATAAGTTATCCAAGGTCACATAGGTAGTAAGAAGTAGAGTCAGAATTTGAACCCAAGTGATTGGGTAATTAATTAAGTCACTGGCTCCAAGTTAAAGATTTTCTGTTATTATTGTGGCCTTCTCAAACTATAATGTATTATTTAACTCACATGTTAAAAGCCACTATCCCCTAGCACGCAGCAACACAATCATTTTTTAAAAATTATTTTATTTATGTATGCATTTTATAAGCAACTGATTAATTTAAACTGAAAAATGATGAAGTAAAGGCCTACAGCTCTAAGAATCATTTCTAGGCTGGGCGTGGTGGCTCACACCTGCAATCCCAGCACTTTGGGAGGCTGAGGCAGGTGGATCAACTGAGGTCAGGAGTTCGAGACCAGCCTGGCTAACATGGTGAAACCTTGTCTTTACTAAAAATACAAAAATTAGCCAGGCGCAATGGTGGGTGTCTGTAATCCCAGCTACTCAGGAGGCTGAGGCAGGAGAATTGCTTGAACCTGGCGGGGCGGAAGTTGCAGTGAGTTGGGATAGTGCCACTCCACTCCAGCCTGGGTGAGAGAGAGAGACTCTGTCTCAAAAAAACAAGAATCATTTCTATACTCATTAAATTAATATATGTTAATGAAAAAATATTTTCCCTTTCCTATCTTTTTTTTTGAGACGGAGTTTCGCTCTTGTTGCCCAGGCTGGAGTGCAATGGCGCGACCTCAGCTCACCGCAACCTCCACCTCCTGGGTTTAAGCCATTCTCCTGCCTCAGCCTCCAGAGTAGTTGGGATTACAGGTGCATGCCACCACGCCTGGCTAATTTTGTATTTTTAGTAAAGGCGAGATTTCTCCATATTGGTCAGGCTGGTCTCCCTTTCCTAATTTACAGCAGCATATTTTCTTCCAAAGCCATCATATATATATATATTTAAACACATTATACAAACTACACGACATAAAGGATATAAAGAAAGAAAATAATCAGAAATAAGTTAATTCAGATGTACATATTCAGAAAACAATATTGAAGTTAAAGAATATGCGACTTAAAAATCAATACAGCGTCCTTTTCGTTCCCAATCTCCATATCGGGTAGGTTCTGGGCCCCTGGGTCCACCTTTTTCTTTGGTCACTGGATTAACATCATCTGGAAATTCTAAGGAAAACGAGATATAAATAAAGCAGTTAATGGAGGCAGGAAAGGCCTTATAGTCAATTTAATTCAATTAATTTATTTATTTATTATTTTTTGAGACAGAGTCTCCCTCTGTTGCCCAGGCTGGATTGCAGTGGCGTGATCTGGGCTCACTGCAACCTCTGCCTTCTGGGTTCAAGTGATTTTCCTGCCTCAGCCTCCTGAGTAGCTGGGATTACACGCACATGCCACCACGCCCAACTAATTTTTGTATTTTTAGTAGAGAAGGGGTTTCACCATGTTGGCCAGGATGGCTCAAACTCCTGACCTCAAGTGTTCTGCCTGCCTCGGCCTCCCAAAGTGCTGGGATTACAGGCGTGAGCCGCCGAGACCAGCCTATGGTCAATTTTAAAGACAGCGTTGCTGATAGGCTAGATCTTACCAACCTGGTTACCATGCAGTCTTTAAAAGAACTGTAAATGTGATTCTTTTTCCTGAGTTTGAGAAGAGAATACAGAGTACAAATTCATAAGACTTGAAAGGTCTTGAAATAAGATTACTTTGAAGGAGTCACTTTGACTTAATGCCACAGTTTTCTGACCAGTAAAATGGAGAGAACAATCATACTTCTCTCACTGTGTTGTTAATTAAACAAGGTAATACATGTAAAGGGTTTAGCGTGGTGCCAGGTACATAGGAATGTCAATTAATCTTAGCTAGAGAATTACTGTTCCTCATCATAGGGTTTTGGCTTCAGCAACTGGTTGGCTGGTACTGCCATTTATAATCATAATAGTAATTATTATTCTTAGTACTATGTGTTCATAGTAGGAATCCCCATCACAAGCCAGGCTCAATTCTCAGCACTTTATGTATGCTAATCCATTTACTCTTCCTAACAATCCTATGGGACAAGAACAATTATTGTTCCAACTTTATAGATGAAGAAAATGAGCCACAAAGGGTTAAGAAAGTTGCTCCGTATCACATAGCTTCTAAGTGATAAAACTGAGTTCAAATTCAGACATCCTGGCTGCAGTCTTGTTCTCAGCCCATACACTGCACTGCTCTGTATATGGAAAAAACAGGAGAGGAACCAACTATTAGACAGAGCGCTAATTCTTTGTTTTGTTTTGTTTTTTAAGATGGAGCCTAGCTCTGTTGCCCTGCTGGAGTAGTGGAGTGGCGTGATCTCAGCTCACTGCAGCCTCAGCCTCCTGGGTTCAAGCAATTCTCCTGCCTCAGCCTCCCAAGTAGCTGGGACTACAGGCGCACACCACTATGTGCCTGGCTAATAATTGTACTTTTAGTAGAGATGGGGTTTCACTATGTTGGCCAGGCTGGTCTCAAACTCCTGACCCCAAATGATCCACCCACCTTGGCCTCCCAAAGTGCTGGGATTACAGGCGTGAGCCACTGCACCTGACCCCTAATTCTTGTGTGTGTGTGTGTGTGTGTGTGTGTGTGATGGAGTTTCACTCTTATTGCCCAGGCTGGAGTGCAATGGCATGATCTCGGCTCACTGCAACCTCCGCCTCCAGGGTTCAAGTGATTCTCCTGCCTCAGCCTCTCGAGTAGCTGGGATTACAGGTGTGCACCACCATGCCCAGCTAATTTTTTGTATTTTTAGTAGAGATGGGGGTTTTACTTTGTTGACCAGGCTGGTCTTGAACTCCTGACCTCAGGTGATCCACCCGCCTCAGCCTCCCAAAGTGCTGGGGTTACAGGCGTGAGCCACTGTGCCCGGCCGCCTGGCCCCTAATTCTTAAACTGTATCTATTTATTTATTGTGGCCACTCTCCCAATACTTCCCATTCCTTCCCACATTTACATTATCTTCAGCAATTATCAGTAATTTAGTATATTTTTAAAATTTACTTGGATTATTGTCTGTCTCTCCCACTAAAATGTTAAGCTTCATTATGGTATAATTTTTTTGTGTGTTTTATCCATTGCTGTTTCAGTGTTTGGCTCACAGAGGATACTTAATACGTATCATATGAATGAATGAAGAGATTTATTCTCATCCTCATGGCCATCCTGTGGGCAGACAGTTTCATTCATTTATTCCACTATTACTCTGCCAGGCCCTATGCTATGTAAAGGTGGGGTGAGGGACACAGTAGTGACCATGCAATAGAAGGCCCCTTCCCTCACAGGGCTCACAGAGTACTGAAGTAGGCCAAAAAAAAAAAAAAAAAAAAAAAGGCAAACAAATACATACAAGAATAACAAACTCTGGCAAGGCTTGAAAGGGAAAGTGCAAAGTGCCCTATCATCTCAGTTTCTTCTCATAAGCGCATTCTAAGGCAGGTGTTAGGAGGAAACTGAAACCCAGAGAGTAGAAGCCTCTGAGAGCTCCAGTTCAAACCCAGATTTGCTTTATCCAAACCCCATGGTTACTTAGGTCTCTCTTACATTCAATCCCTAGAGAAGTCAGTTATACTCCTGAGACACAGACCAAAAGGCAACTAGACTTTTGGGGGCATGGGTGTCACATTCCCTCAAGGTGGGTATTCTCTGCTGAGGTCATCATCGTAGCTACTTACAGATGTTAAAACCTGTTCTACTGAGGAAGCACATTGCTTGGACTCTGGGAGAAGGTGTAGGGGCCAAGGAAAAACATCCTCCTTGCCCTCTAAAGGTTTGCCAAAAATCAACTGACAAAAGACAGATTAACAGAAGAAAAGGCATACGGCTTTTATTTTATCCTGCATAGCACGGGGAAACTGCAGGAGAATGATTACCCAAACTATATCTCTTTAGAAAACTAAATGATCTTCACCAAAATCATAAAGCCCCTCAGGCAAAAGAAAAAGGATACAGAATTTACCGTGAAAATTTTTCAAATATTCATTCTTTTATTCTTGTTATATTGTGAATAAACTCTCCCCCATACTCATCAGCATTCTGTTTTCAAAATAATTCCATGCTTTACTGCAATGCAAGTTGGCTTTTTCCTACTCCACGAATTCCCTTGAAGGCCTCTCTAACGGAAGTTCTTCTTTCTCACATATCTCTGTGGCTCACTGGATGTCTTAGCTTGAGCTGCCATAACAAAATACCATAGACTAGGTGGAGTAAACAGCAGAAACTTATTTTCTTACAGCTCTGGAGGCTGGTAGGCTGAAATCAGGGTGGTAGCATGGTTGGTTCTCATGAGGGCTTTCTTCCTGGCTTACAGATGGTCGCTTCTTGCTGTGTCCTCACATGGCAGAGAAAGAGAGACAGCAAGCTCTCTGGTATCTCTTCTTATAAGGGCATTATTCCCACCATGAGGAGATTCCCATCAGCTTTATTAAAGTATTGTCTGCTTATAATAAAATTCACCCATTTTAAGTACGCAGTTCAGTGAGTTTTAACAAATGTTGACAGTCATGTAAATAACACAAAGTGTAAAACAGTTCCATCTCTTAAAGAGTTACCTTACTCTCATGATCTAAACCTAATTATCTCCCAAAGGCCCCATCTCCAAATACCATCACCTGGGGGGTTAGAGCTCCAACAGATGAATTTTGGGGGAACATAATTCAGTCCACAGCACTGGGGAAGAAAGAACAGGTCAAGATGTCCCTGCTCCTCACTGCTATTTCCAGCCTCTCATTCTAATGCCACACCTCTATAGCCTTTCCTTTTTGGAATTCTATACCATTTACTTATCCAGTGCTTTTCTCTAGTCTTATAATAAACTCCAAGATTCTTCTGTCTTCTTGCATGGGATCAATATCTGGTTCATAGTTTCATCTCTCTCTCCCCATCATCCCTAATATCAACATCCACATTAGTAAATCATCACACATCGAGGCCACAAAGGTCACCAATCTCTTTCCTGATGACTTTCGTATCTACTTCTGCTGTCCACTGGACTTTATTATTTTTTGAGTATGTTCCTCCTCCAAATCCCACACTCTTTTGAGCACTCTTCTTTCTGACCACACCCTCGTATCTTTCCATGTCTCTTCTTCCTCACATTTGTTAACCTAATTTTTGCCCTTATAATAGCCTGCAGTTTTCTGAAACTTTTTGTTCTCACCATTACCACCCTGGTTCCTGCTCTCAGTGTCCCATTTTAGAACTAATACAACAGAATCCCTCTTCCACATTATACTATGTGAAAGGAACCAGACACCAAAGACTACATACTGTAGAGTTTCATTTATATAAAATCCTAGAAAAAGCAAAACTACAGTGATAGAGAACAGATCAATGGTTGCTGGGAGGAGGTGGGGAGAGGATGAACTGCCTTGTACCTCTTTAGGGGACAGAACTATTTTACACTTTGTGTGGTTTCCATGGCTGTAAACATTTGTTAAAACTCACTAGCCAGGCGTGGTGGCTCATGCCTGTAACCCCAGCACTGTGGGAGGCCGAGGCGAGCGGATCACGAGGTCAGCAGTTCGAGACCAGCCTGGCTAACATGGTGAAACCCCATCTCTACTAAAAATACAAAAATTAACCGGGTGTGGTGGCAGGTGCCTGTAATCCCAGGGAGGCTGAGGAAGGAGACTCGCTTGAACCCGAGGCAGAGGTTGCAGTGAGCCGAGATCATACCACTGCAAGCCAGCCTGGGCAACAGAGCAAGACTCCGTCTCAAACAACAACAACAACAACAACAACAACAACCTCACTCAACTGTATATTTAACATGGGTGAATTTTATCATATGCAGACTATATTTAATAAAGCTAATTAAAACAACCTCTATCCAAATACATTTCCTCACTGCTCACTGCATAAAGCCCTTACACTGTAACCTGGGATTTCAGGCCCTCCCAGATTTGAGCTGAACCTGTGTGTCTAGCTTTATATTCAATTAATCCAAGCCTGTCTAACCCACAGTCCACGGGCTGCATGTGGCCCAGGATGGCTTTGAATGTGGCCCAACACAAATTCATAAACTTTCTTAAAACATTGAGTTTTTTTGTGTGATTTTTGTTTTGTTTTGTTTTTGTTTTTGTTTAGCTCATCAGCTGTTGTTAGTGTATTTTATGTGTGGCCTAAGACAATTCTTCCTCCAATGTGACCCAGGGAAGCCAAGAGATTGGACAACCCTGTATTAATCAAATATATATATAATTTATGCTGAAGCCAAAGAGGCCCATTAGCTGTGTCTTGTAAGTGTTAATGTTCTGCAGCCTCTTTCTCTTTGACCATAGCTTTCTCCAGGTATTTTGAAATGTCTCCTCACCACACCTTATCTACTTATAAAAATTTTACTTTTCCGGCCAGGCATGGTGGCTCACACCTGTAACCTCAGCACTTTGGAAGGCCAAGGCAGGTGGATCACCTGAGGTCAGGAGTTCGAGACCAGCCTGACCAACATGGTGAAACCCCGTTTCTACTAAAAATACAAAAATTAGCCAGGTGTGGTGCCAGACGCCTGTAATCCCAGCTACTCAGGAGGCTGAGGCAGGAGAATCGCTTGAACCCGGGAGGCGGAGGTTGCGGTGAGCTGAAATTGCGCCATTGTCCTCCAGCCTGGGTGACAGAGCGAGACTCCAACTCAAAAAAACAAAAAATTATTTTTCCTTAGACCCCAGCTCAAACGTTATCTCTTTTGTCGACTTTCCTCTGATCTTTTTGTGTATCTCTCATGCTAGTTACCACATGATGTCCTGTTCATCGTTATTTACATTATCTCATCTTCCTTTCTTATTCATCTTTATGTCAAGCAGGGTGCCTAGCTACAAACATTTTCCTTTATGATCTTAATAATGAAATCTACTCTTTTCAAGGAGACAACCTACACAGTTTTCTTAGAATAAAGTACATACTAGAGGCAGGGAGACAAGACTAGAAGGAAGGAAACGAGGAAGCAGAGAGGCTTGTTAGGTGACCAGTGGAGCTAGAGACAGCTTGAATTTGGGCCCTACTGGTAGGATGAGTAAGAGGGAATAAATTTGAGAGATGTTAAAAGGGTAGAAGCAACAGGACTTGGTTAGTGATCAGTCACAGGAGACAGGAAGAGGCAGGAGTGAAAGATTATCCCCAGATTTCGGGCTTGGGTGACTTGGTAGATGGGGTGGACTGGAAATCCCGAAGGAAGAGGAGGATATGAGATCAGGCAGGTGGGAGGGCCGAAGGTGAGTTGGAACAATGGGTACACGATGACTTTAGTTTTAGAAATATTAATTTTGAGACTTCTGGAATGTGCAAAGAAAGATACTCAGGAGGCAAATGGAGACAGGAGAGTGATGCTCAGGAACGAGGTCTGATTAGAGGTATAAATGTATGAATCACCAACACATAGGTGATATTTAAAATCATTTTAAGCCGGGCGTGGTGGCTCATGCCTGTAATCTCAGCATTTTGGGAGGCTGAGGTGGGAAGATCGTTTGAGCCCAGGAGTTCAAGACCAGCCTGGGCAACATACTGAGCTCTATCTCTTAAAGAAACAAATAGAAAAATTAGCCAGGTGTGGTGGTGCGTGCCTGTAGCCCCAGTTACAGGAGAGGCTGAGTAGGGAACCCCAGGAGGTTGAGGGTGCAGTGAGCTGTGATGGCGCCACTGCACTTCAGCCTGGGTGACAGAGTGAGACTCTGCCTCAATCAATCAAATAAATCTAATCATTTTAGGGAAATATGAAATCTCCCTTGGAATACTTAGGGGGCTAAGAACAGAGGCCTGGCAAATACCCACATTTAGGTGTTGGGCGGAGGCAGAGGAGCTCAAAAAGGAGCCCAGGAAGAAACTGGTGAAGAAATAGGGTGAGAAACTAAAGAAAGCATGCCAGGAATGGTGGCTCATACTTGTAATCCCAGCACTTTGGGAGGCCGAGGCAGAAGGACTGCTTGAGCCCAGGAGTTGAGGCCAGCCTGGGTAACATGGCAAGACCTCATCTCTACAAAAAAATTTTTTAAATTAGGTGAGCATGGTGGTATGTGCCTGTGGTCTCACTTACTCAGGAGACTGAGGCAGGAGGACAGTTTGAGCTGGGAAGGTTAAGGCTGCAGTGAGCCATGTGTTCATGCCACTGCACTTTAGCCTGGGCAACAGAGCAAGACCCTGTCTCAACAAAACAAAACAAAACAACACACACACACATACATACACACACAAAAATGAAACTAATGAAAGCATAATGGAAATCAAGGCAGGAGATTTCCAGAAGCAATAGTTAACACTGTCAAAGGTTGTGGATTGTTCAAATAAAACAAGGATTGAAGAGTACCTGCTGTATTTGGTGATGTTTGTCAGAAATTTCTAAGGGATGGTAGGTTCAACATAAACTTGAGTGATACAAGACTTACGTTGAATGCCTACCATTATGTCAAATAGATGATTAGCTTTTGAAAAGTGCAGGTTTTTGCTTTCTTTTTTTTTTACTGTGGTAAAATATATATAACATAATATTTCTCATTTAACCATTTGTAAGTGTACAATTTGGTAGTATTAAATACATTCACTGCCAGACACAGTGGCTCACGCCTGTAATCCCAGCACTTTGGGAGGCCGAGGGGGGTTGGTCACTTGAGGTCAGGAGTTCAAGACCAGCCTGGCCAACATGGTGAAACCCCCATCTCTACTAAAAATACAACAATGAGCCAGTGTGGTGGTGTGCCTGTAATCCCAGCTACTCGGGAGGCTGAGACAGGAGTATTACATGAACCTGGGAGGCGGAGGTTGCAGTGAGCCGAGAGTGTGCCACTGCACTCCAGCCTAGGTGAAAGAGTGAGACTCCATTTCAAAAACAAAAACAACAACAAAAATATATTCACAAGGTTGTACAACCATCACCACTATCTATACCTAAAACATTTTCATCATCCCCACAATGAACTCTGTACCCACTAAACAATGACTTCTCCCTTAGTCCCCGGAGTCCCTGATAGCCTCTATTCTACTTTCTGTCTCTATGAATTTGCCTATTCTAGGTACCTTATATAAGTGGAATCATATATTTGCCCTTCTGGGTCCAGCTTATTTCACTAAACATAATGTTTTCAAGGTCCATCCATGTTGTAGCATATATTAAAATTTAATTGCTTTTTATGACTGAATAGTTTTCCACCGGATGTATATGCCACATTTTGTTTAATGATTCATTTGTTTGTGAACATTGGGTTGTTTCCACCTTTTGGCTACTGTTAATAATACTATGAACATAGTTACAGAGATATCTGTTCAAGTCCCTGCTTTCAATTCCTTTAGATACACACCTAAGAGTGGAACTGCTGGGTCAAACGGTAGTTCTAAGTTTGATTTTTTGAGGAACGGCCATACTGTTTTCCACAGTGGCTGCAACATTTTACATTCCCAGCAGAAATGCCTGAGGGTTTCAATTTCTCCACATCCTTCCCAACACTTGTTATTTTCCATTTTTTTCTATTATAGCCATCCTAGTGGGTATGAAGTAGTATCTCATAGTTTTGATTTGCATTTCCCTAATGATAATGATGCTGATGCTGAGCATCTTTTCATGTGTTTGTTGGCCATTTGTACATTTGTATACCTTCTCTGGAGAAATGTCTACTCAAATACTTTGCTATTTTTTATTTTTATTTTTTGTAGATTACTGGAGTTCTACACACACACACACATACATATAATATACACATATATTTGTTATTTATTTATCATACCTCATTATTCATATAGCAAAATATATAAGTTAAGACTCAAGTGCTTTGCTATTTTTGACTTTTCGTTGAGTTATTGGAGTCCTTTATATATAATATGTGTACATTACATATATAAAGTGGTTATATTTATTATACCTCATTATTCACATAAGATCTTTGATACAAATAACATAACCTTCTTTGATACAAATAACATCATTTATTTGTAACAAAGAAGGTCTCAACTTATATATTTTGTTATGTGAATAATGAGGTATAACAAATAAAACAAACACAATCAAATACCTGTCAGAATCTTGAAAATCTTTTTTATTAAGAAATCTACATGTATCGATGGTCAATATGGTGATTTTACTCATTGTTGAAATATGCTTTATTACTACAGAATTTAAGCAATAACAAATTTCTTTCCTTTCACTCATTTTCTCAATAACTAAAACACTTTCCTTGATACTTCAAAAACTGAGAGGTGCTTTATTATACTTACTTTCCAGTGGTTCTTTCTCTAAATGGGAATCCTCTGGTGCATCAAAACGACCTTCTGGTAACTTCGGCTTCTTAAGGGACTGTTTGACAAGTTCAGACTTTCCTCCTTGAGAAGAACTTGTTTTCCTCAGAGAATGACACAGAAGGGGTGATCCTAGAAGAGTGGAGATAATAGAAAAATAGGAGCTGTTCATTTATTCCACTTTAAACATTTATAAAATTTTATTTATTTGTTTTTAGTTTATACATTCACATTTCTCAAAGTTCAAAAAGTACAAAAGGACGCAGAGTGAAAATTCTTCCTTCCTCTCCAGCCATTTCCCTTCCTGGAAGACCACCAGTTTGAAAAGAAGGGCTATGAAATAAATTAGTTAATTGTTATCAATATTGCAGAAACTTATATTAAAACATTAATTCCTATCTGAAGCAATGCCAAAAAACCAGGAGTTCAAATATTAAGAGTAACTTAGTAGTACAAACTTTTCAATGACAATATTTAGTATTCAAATCTCTAAAAGTCAGAAGTGGCTACATTTAAATCCTAATCAAGGTCCTCTTTTCCTGTCAACTAATTTAAGAATACATCAAGTTGGGCATGGTGGCATGCACCCGTAGTCTCAGTTATGCAGGAGGCTGAAGAGGGAGGATTCCTTGAGCCCAGGAGCTCAATTCTAGTCTGGGTAACATAGTGAGACCATGTCTCTAAAAAAAGATTGTTTTATGGGGAAAGAAGTCCCTATTTGATAAATGGTGCTGGGATAGTTGGCAGCTATGTGCAGAACAATGAAACTGGACCCCTATTTGTCACCACATACAAAAATTAACTCGAGATGGATTAAAGATTTAAATGTAAGACCTCAAACTGTAAGAATCCTAGAAGAAAACCTCGGAAACACTCTTCTGGACATTGGTCTTGGGAAATAATTTATGACTAAGTCCTCAAAAGCAACTGCAACAACAACAACAACAACAAATTGACAAATGGGACTTAATTAAACTAAAAAGCTTTTGTAGAGCAAAAGAAACGCTCAACAGAGTAAACATACAACCTACAGGATGGGAGAAAATATTTGCAAACTACACATCTGAGAAAAGTCTCATATCCAGAATCTATAAGGAACTTAAACAACTCAACAAGCAAACAACAACCGCACTAAAAAATGGACAACAGACATGAAGAGACACTTCTCAAAAGAAGACATATAAGCGGCCAACAAACATATTAAAAAATGCTCCACATCACGAATTGGTAGATAAATGCAAATTAAACTCATAATGAGAGACCATGTCACATCAGTCAGAATGGCTATTATTAAAAAGTTAAAAAACAACAGATGCTGGTGAGGCTGTAGAGAAGAGGGAATGCGTATACACTGCTAGTGGGAATGTATCTTAGTTCAGCCACTGTGGAAAACAGTTTGGAGATTTCTCAAAGTACTTAAAACAGAACTATCATTTGACCCAGCAATCCTGTTACTGGTATATACCCAAAAGAAAACTACTCATTTTTCACACCAGAAAGACACATGCGCTTGCATGTTCACTGCAGCACTATTCACAATAGCAAAGACATGGAATCAACCTAGGTGCTCATCAATGGTGGACTGGATAAAGAAAATGTGGTACATATATACCATGGAATACTATGCAACCATAAAAATAATGAAATCATGTCCTTTGCTGCAACATGGATGCAGCTGGAGGCCATTATTCTAAGTGAACTAATGCAGGAACAGAAAACCAAATATTGCATATTCTCACATATAATTTTCTAATTCTATAGAGTGAAACACTGGATACTCAAGAACATAAAGAAGGCAACAATACAAACTGGGTACGACTGTCAGGGAGGGAAGAAGGGGATGCAAGGGTTGAAAAACTAACTTTTAGGTACTATGCTCATTACCTGGGTGATGGGATTATTCGTATCCCAAATCTCAGCATCACACATATACCCAGGTAACAAACCTGCACGTGTACTCCCTGAATCTAAAATAAAACTTCGGATTTTAAAATGTACTGGGTGTCTGCAATGCGTAAATGACATCATTTTCTCTCTAGTTTCTAAAAAGAGTTGAACTTTCTATGCTATAAAAGTTATCCAAACCCTCATTGAGATAATATTCAGCAAGGGCAAAACCACAGGGAAAAAAGTGATCTCAGCGTTAGGGGTTTCCAGCTTCCTAAAGAAATTGCTTTTAGAAGCAGATCAATTTGAGTACAAGTTCTAGCTACACCTCTGTAGCAAACAGAATAATGGCCTCAAAGATAATCAGAATCCAATACCCAGAATCTGTGAATAGGTTTGGTTACACGGTGAAGAATTTTGGTAGCAGACAGAATTAAGGTGGCTAATCAGATGACCTTAAAATAGGGAGGTTATCCAGGATTATGGGGTGGGTCAATGTAACCACAAGGGTCCTTTGAAAGGGAAGACAGGGTTGGAAGACAGACCAGACCCGATGTTGCTGGCTTTGAAGATGGAGGAAGGGGGCAAGCCAAGGAATGTGGGCAGCCTCTAGAAGCTAAAAGAGAGAAGGAAATGTATGTGGCCTCCAGAAGGAACACAGCCCTGCTAACTCCCTGGTTCTAGCTCAGTGAGACCCCTTCCAGACTCCTGACCTCCAAACCTGTAAAATGTGTTAAGCCACCAAATTTGTGGTAATATGTTACAGCAGCAATAGGAAACAAATGCAACCACTTACTAGGTGTTGGATGTTGGTCAAGTTACCCTTTTTGTTTCCTTCCCTGTAAACAGAAAAATTACAGTACCTGTCACATGAGATTGCTGAGTAAACGGGACAATTTATGCCTTTAGGATAGTGATAAACAGTATTTATTTTTAGTTTGATGGAATTATCTGTAAGCTTTTGACAGCATTACATATTAGAATGTTTTTTCATTACACATATTTTTCTCATATTCTAGTCATCACTACATAACCCTACCTTGTTTAAAGAAATAGACACAAACACATATGCATACAAGTGGTTAAGATAAATATGTGTATATCTGTGTATGTGTACACATTGAGCAAGTGCATCAATAACTTGAGCCTAACTCTGGGATGTATAAGTTAATTTGTGTAAGGGTTTCTGGTGAAGAACAGAAAACTGTGTCTTGGGGAAAGCGAGGAGGAGCAAAGTGTAAGTTGGAGAAACTGGTCCCTAATATGACCTTGCAGACTTCTGAAGGACTTTATCTGTAGAAAGAGGGTTTACAAGGAAAAGTTGAAAGACCAGTTTTCTCAAGGGACTCTGAGGCCGTTGGAAACATAAACAGAACTATTTTTGTAGTCAGGTAACAGTGTGACAGAACACGGGGGAAGATAATGCCCCTCATTTCTGTACAGTACAAGGTAAGATGGGACACTGTGCTCCTTGGCACCTGCAGGCTTTACAGCTTTCGACACAAGTGTGTGCACATCAGCCTGCCAGGGGTGTTGGTAGTGAAGCACATACAAGTAGCTTCAAAGGCAGAGCAAAAGAAACAAGGGCGTGTCAGATGAGGAGCTAAGCCCAAGGACCACTCCTGTTAATTCTGCCTATTAAACAGTAGGTGTTGAGCAATAGTAACTGTATTCATGTTAGGATTACATTTTGGCTATCAGCAGACTTTTGACTACCTCGACTACACGGGAAATAGCTGACAAACTTAAAACAAAAGCCTCTTTTAACAACATCATGAAATAACAACCATAAAGCCCATCTCTTCTACTTCAAGGGGTGGTTTGACTTTATCCAAACCTATTTAGAATTGTGTTTACATGGACATAATAGACAAGAAGAAAACCTTCTAAAAGAAGAAATAATAAAAGCAAAAGAATGACTCTCTCTCTCTCACACACACACACACACATATACAAAAACAACACACAACTCAAAACTTTTGTTTCTGGTAATTTGATAAATCAGAAATGCCAAAACTCTACAGCTATAAAACACCTAAAAAGGTAAAACAAAATCAAACATCTTCTAAATCAGAGATAGAACCTTTACGAAAGTAAATAATGATAAACTGAAGACAGTCCAGTGAGGTGAACACAAAGTGAAATGGCTACACTTATTGCGTCTTTTTTTTTTTTTTTGAACAGAGACAAAAAAAAATTAGCCACCACACACAGCTAAGTTTTTGTATTTTCAGTAGACACGGGATTTCACCATGTTGACCAGGAGGGTCCTTTTTTTTTTCAGACAGAGTCTCACTCTGTCCCCCAGGCTGGAGTGCAGTGGCACGATCTCAGCTCATCGCAACCTCCACTTCCAGGGTTCAAGTGATTCTTGTGCCTCAGCCTCCCGAGTAGATGGGATTACAGGCACCCACCAATACGCTGAGCTAATTTTTGTATTTTTAATAGAGATAGGGTTTCGCCATGTTGGCCAGGCTTGTATCGAACTCCTGACCTCAAGTGATCTGCCTGCTTTGGTCTCCCAAAGTATTGCGATTACAGGCATAAGCCATGGTGCAAAGCCTTCTTGTGTCTTTCTTGCCTAGATCGTAGGATACAGAGCTTTCAGGACAGCAGGGAGATGACAGTCTCTTAAACTCAAGCTAAACAGAAAGCGCAGGAGAAGCCAGGACTCAGGGAGGCTCACATACTGAGAAAAGAAAGTGAACTGGAAGATTTTTGTTGTTTTTTGAAACAAGGGTCTTGCTCTGTTGCCCAGTCTTGAGTGTAGTGGCAGAATCATGGCTCACAGTAGTCTTGATCTCCTGGACTCAAACCATCTTCCTGCCTCAGCCTCCTCAGCAGCTGGGACTACAGCCACACAACACCATGCCCAGCTAATTTTATTTTTTGTAGAGATGGGGGTCTCACTATGTTGCCCAGGCTGGTCT
Organism: Homo sapiens; assembly: GCF_000001405.40. Lineage (NCBI taxonomy): Eukaryota > Metazoa > Chordata > Mammalia > Primates > Hominidae > Homo > Homo sapiens. The sequence goes on along the minus strand of NC_000006.12, from coordinate 70,574,728 downwards.
TAAACTCCTGAACTCAAGTGATCCTCTTGCCTCCCAAAGTGCTGGGATTATGGGTGTGAGCCACCGCACCCAGCTGAAAGATTTAAAACATAGATAAAAACCACCTGGGGGATTTTGTTAAAATGCAGATTCTGAGTAGTTCTAGGTGGGACTTGTGATTCTTGCATTTTTAACAAGCTCCCAGGTGATGCTTATGATGCTGTTCCAAATAGCAAGGAACTAGAAGAAAGACAGTTAAGGAAGAAAAAGTATCTACTTTAACCTTGGTTCTGAGTGAAGATGTGAAAAAAAGAAGCCCCTCTGAGATTCTGAAGCCACTGACTGACCCACACCCGTGTTTAGGCCTAACTACACACTAGCTGCATCTTCCAAAAATCCCTAAGCATCTTTTTTTTTTTTCTTTTTTTTTGAGATGGAGGCTTGCTCTGTCACCCAGGCTGGAGTGCAGTGGTGTGATCTCAGCTCACTGCAACCTCCACCTCCCGGGATCAAGCGATTCTCCTGCCTCAGCCTCCCAATAGCTGGGATTACAGGCATGTGCCACCATGCCCAGTTAATTTTTGTATTTTTAGTAGAGATGGGGTTTCACCATGTAGGCCAGGCTGGTCTTGAACACCTGACCTCAGGTGACCCACCCGCCTTGGCCTCCCAAAGTGCTGGGATTACAGGCATGAGCCACCGTGCCCAGCCAGCCTAATCATTTTTCATCATCTCTTTTTGCTTAATTACTTTTGGCTTTGCAAGTTTTTTTTAGGCTGGGCACAGTGGCTCACACCTATAATTCCAGCACTTTGGGAGGCCAAATTAGGAAGATTACTTGAGGTCAGGAGTTCCAGACCAGCCTAGCCAATAAGGTGGAACCCCATCTCTACCAAAAATACAAAAAATTAGCTGGGCGTGGTGGTGGGCACCTGTAATCCCAGCTACTTGGGAGGCTGAGGCAAGACAATCGCTTGAACCAGGGCAGCAGAGGTTGCAGTGAGTGAGATCACGCCACTACACTCCAGCCAGGGCAACAGAGCAAGACTCTGTATAAAAAATAAAAAAAAAATAAAAAAAAGAAAAGAAAAGAAAAGAAAAAGAAAAATTAGGCCAAAAAAAAGAAAGAAAAACACGGAAATTCAGAAATAACAAACCTAAAACTCAATAAAAAGGCCAAATAGCTGGCCGGGCATTGTGGCTCACACCTGTAATCCTAGCAATTTGGGAGGCTGAGGCAGGTGGATCACCTGAGGTCAGGGGTTCAAGACCAGCCAGGCCAATCTGGTGAAACTGCGTCTCTACTTGAAATACAAAAATTAGCTGGGTGTGGTGGAGGGTGCCTGTAATCCCAGCTACTCAGGAGGCTGAGGCAGGAGAATCACTTGAACCCAGGAGGCAGAGTTTGCAGTGAGCCAAGACTGTGCCACTGCACTCCAGCCTGGGCGACAGAGTGAGATTCCGTCTCAAAAAAAAAAAAAAAAAGGCCAAATAGCAGAATAAATACAATTGAAAAGAGAATTTATAATCTGGAATAAAGTTGCAAAGAAATTATACAGAAAAACGCATAGAGACAAATGAATAAAAATAATGAAAGATTAGCTGGGCATGACTGCATGACGGTGGTGCCTATAGTCTTAGCTACTTGGCAGAAGGCTGAGGCGGGAGTATGGCTTGTGTCCTGGAGATCAAGGGTGTAATGAGCTATGACTGCACTACTGCTCTCTATCCTGGTGACAGGACAAGACTCTGTCTCTCAGAAAAAAGAAAAAAGTGTTCCCAGAAGTAAAGTGGGAGATAAGAATACAGAGAAAATGCTTTAACATACTGACTATACAAAAGTCTTTATGTTTATCAAAATCAAAATCTTTATAGGTTTTATCAAAATCAAAATCCCACCCAAAACACACATACCTGTGCATGCATGTGCACACACACACAGACCCACGAGTCTGAACAGAGGAATGTAATTTTATCAGTAATTATAAGGGTAAAGAGACTATTAGTCTGCAAAACAACAAAAACCCCCATACAAACAAACCGGAAACAAGCCATATGCTGTTTATGTGAGATGCACCATTTGCATGTTTAAAAAAAAAACCACGGAAAATGGAAAAATAAGATAATAAGAAAAAAATGAATAAAAACATAATTTACAATGTAAAAATAACTTTCAATATAGTCTTCATTTTTTAATTGATAAATATTATATACATTTATGGTGTACAGCATGTTTTCAAATATGTATATATTGTGAAATAGCTAAATCAAGCTAATATATGCCTTAACTCACATATCTATTATTTGTGATGAGAAAATTTAAAATCTACTTTCAGCAATTTTCAAGTATACAATACACTGATATTAACTATAGTCACCATGTTGTACAATAAATATCCTTTGCATAACTTATAACAAAGAAGATCAACAATAAACAAAGGTTGGTGCTCTGAAAAGACTGAAAGTGTTCCAGCCTGGCCAACATGGTGAAACCTCGTCTCTACTAAAAACACAAAAATTAGCCAGACATGGTGGTGCACGCCTGTAATTCCAGCTATGAGGCTGAGGCAGGAGAATCACTAGAACCCGGGAGGTGGAGGTTGCAGTGAGCCAAGATCGCACCACTGCGCTCCAGCCTGGGCGACAGAGCAAGACTTTGTCTCAAAAAAAAAAAAAAAAAAAAAAAAAAAAGACAAAAAAAGACTGAAAGTGTTGTAAAAGCTTTGGTAAGGCTACTATAAAAAAACAAGAGAAAGCAAAATAGATAATATGAGAAAAAGAGAGTACATATTATATGGAGAGCAGAAAATTTTAAAAAAATACCAGAAACTTTATGCCTATATATTGAAACAATACAAAATGGAAACCTTTCCAGAAAAAGTTAACTTACCAAAACTGACTTAAGAGGAAACCTGATAAATATAATAATAACCATTATAGAAGTTAAACAAGTAATTTAAAGTCTTCCCTCGAAGAGAAGAACAGGTCTAGACAGTTTTGCAGGTGAGTTGTAACAAACCCTCAAGGAACAAATAATTCCAATCTTAAACAAAATCTAACAAAGAAGGGAAAAGAGTGAGTAGAATCCCCAGTACATTATATGAGGCTAGAATAACCTTAATATTAAAACCAGGGAAGGCTGGGCGCGGTGGCTCACACCTGTAATGCCAGCACTTTGGGAGGCCAAGGCAGGCATATCACGAGGTCAGAAGTTTGAGATCAGCCTGGCCAATATGGTGAAACCCTGTCTCTACTAAAAATACAAAAATTAGCTGGGAGTGGTGGCGTGTGCCTGTAATCCCAGCTACTCCGGAGGCTGAGGCAGAAGAATAACTTGAACCCGGGAGGCAGGGGTTTCAGTGTATAATAGAAGAAAATTACAGGCCAATTTCTAAACAAAATATAAGCACAACAAATACAACATTATATTTAAAAATATAATCACTATGATCCTTTGGAATATTTTCTAGGAATGCAAGTGATTCACTATCAGAAAAATCTGTAATTTACCACCTCAACAGATTAAAGCAGAAAATGATAAACACCTCAGTAAGACGAAGAACACCTCAGTAAGACAAAGAAAAATCAATTAAGTAAACTTCAAGATTTATTCATCATTAAAAAACAAATACAAATACATAAACAAAAACAAAACAAAATCCCAAAACTCTACATAGAAACAGACTTCCTTAACCCAAAAAGGGTATAACTGTAGCTAATACCATATTTTTTTTTTCATGTTCCATGAAATTTTATTTCACAAAGGCTTGGACTCTGAAGACCCACAGTTATGGATCATTAAATCCTGTAAGTAAATGTAAATCCAAAATAAAGAGTTTTAACAAAAACATAAGACGGAGATTTTTTGGTTTAAAAGAACAGAATTATTTGGGAGATAGCTAGAACTCTTCCCTGAGGATTCGTTTATAAAACATGCCTTAGAAGTTATTAGGAGATGGTGACTTAAAAAAAAATGTAGCAATTTTATCTAAATGACTGCAATATCACACCTTAATGATAAAAAGAAATGCATTCCCTTTATAATCATAAACAAGATAAGTATGCTTGCTGTCAACACTTCTAGTCAACATGGTGCTGGAAATCTGAGCAAAGAAAGAAAAAAGATATAAGGATTAGACAGGGAGGGTGGTGGGGGGCACGGTGGCTCTCGCCTGTAATCCCAGGACTTTGAGAGGCCGAGGCTCTCAAGGATCACTTGGCTAACATGGCAAAACCCCATCTCTAAAAAAAATATAAAAATTAGCCGGGCATGGTGGTGCACACCAGTAATCCCAGCTACTCGGGAGGCTGAGGCAGGAGAATCACTTGATTTCGGGAGGTGGAGGTTGCAGTGAGCAGAGATTGCGCCACTGCACTCCAGCCTGGGTGACAGAGCAAGACCCTTTCTCAAAAAAAAGGATTAGACAGGGAGAAACTAGACTGTCACCATTTGCAGATGATATGAATGGCTATGCAGCAAAGTCCCCAAAATCTGCAAAGTAAATTATTTAAATTAATAAGGTAATTTAGATACAAAATCATTAAGCATCATGTTTCTGTACATAAACAACAGTCAGAAAATAGTAAGATTTATAACAAAGTTATGGCTATAATTATCAAGACAGGTAGTATCAGCACAGGAATAGACAAATAGGTCAATGGGACTGAGAAAAGAGCCAAGAAATAAACGTATGCCTATATGTATAAGTAAACTTGATTTATGATGGCTCGCATTATATCAGTAGGGGAAAGGTCCTATAAATACATGAACCTGGGACAAGTGTTTGATATGAAAAAAAATGAAAACTGGTTTCCTGCCTCACACCATATACAAACCATCAATTCCTGGTAGAATAAAGGCTTAAATGTGAAAAGCAAAACTATAAACCTTTGAGAAGAAAATATAAGAGATTATGTCCATGACTTTAGGGTACAGAAGGGTTTCTTAGACAAGACCACAAGGCAGTCACAATAAACAAAAGGATCAAGACAAAATTTTATAGATAAAATTATAAACATCTGTTTATTAAGATACCTTTTATATTGAAGCTGCATGATTACACATGCAGACCCGTTATTCTATTCTGCCTAGCAGTGACAGAAACAAACCACAAATTGAGGTATTTGACACTTACGTAACTAAAAAAGGTTTAGCATACAAATATATGTAAAGAATATAAATAAGAAGCAATCTGTTAAGAAAAAAGGCCGGGCGTGGCAGCTCACGCCTGTAATCCCAACACTTCGGTAGGCCGAGGCTGATAGATCACCTGAGTTCATGGCAAAACCCTGTCTCTACCAAAAATACAAAAAATTATCTGGGTGTGGTGGTGGGCGCCTGTAATACCAGCTACTTGGGAGGCTGAGGCAGGAGAATCGTTTGAACTCAGGAGGCAGATGTTGCAGTGAGCTGAGATCTCGCCATTGCACTCCAGCCTGGGCAACAAGAGTGAAACTCCGTCTCAAAAACAAAGAAAGAAAAAAGAGGCCGGGTGCGGTGGCTCACGCCTGTAATCCCAGCACTTTGGGAGGCCGAGACGGGCGGATCACGAGGTCAGGAGATCGAGACCATCCTGGCTAACACGGTGAAACCCCGTCTCTACTAAAAATACAAAAATTAGCCGGGCGTGGTGGCGCGCGCCTGTAGTCCCAGCTACACGGGAGGCTGAGGCAGGAGAATGGCGTGAACCCAGGAGGCGGAGCTTGCAGTGAGTCGAGATCGCGCCACTGCACTCCAGCCCGGGCGACAGAGCGAAACTCCGCCTCAAAAAAAAAAAAAAAAAAAAAGAAAAAAGAAAGAGGTATTTCACAAAAAGTGAATATTTGAAAAGATGTTTTACTTCTTTAATCAGAGAAAAGCAAAATCACAATGAGGTGTCATTTCATTTCCCTGTAGGCAGCCAAAAATTAAAACCTAAGGCAAAATTAAGTTTCGGCAAGTTTGTGGAACAACAGAACTCCAATACACTGCTGGTAGAAGTGAAAATTGCTATAGAATTAGAAAATGCCGTTACACCTTGGCATTATATTGTAACAATGAAAAGACCTATAACATACTCCAGGAATTCTACTCCTTCCACTAATGCACAAATAAGGTACACAAGAATGTGTAGCACCCAATCCTAGTGTTTCTGGAATTACCCAAATGTCCTTTGAGAAGGGCACTGGAAAATGCATCATATGTTCACACAGTTGAATGAATAACTACAACCTCATGCGTCAATGTGACTCAATCACAAAACACAGCGTTATCTGAAAAAAAATCAACAATATGAAAACATTTCTATAAAGATTAAAAACACCATTGCACAGTTGTATCAGGAAGCAGCAAATAGAGACCTCCTTGGCAATAGAGACTATTTCTTAAATTGGAGTATAAGTTCATAGATGCTGGTTGTGCTTCATAGCTTACATGACTGCTACATAGCTTACATGTGTGCTACGTGTGTGTGTGTGTATACATATATATATATGGAATAATTCATAATTGTTTAAAACTAGTTAAAGGGGGATGTTGAATGAACCCTACAAAATTTTAACGTTATTACCTTGAGGTTTGGATAATGTAGGACTTTCACTTTCTGTATTATTCATTTCTGGACTATTTAAAACTTATACAATTAAGTAAAATGTTTGTATTTGGGTAAAATGATTGCACAAAGGAAAACAAATTGCATAGAAATCTGGCACCATTTGAGGGCAATAATTACTGTTTTCAACTTACATAACTTCTCCAGGTGTCATATATTAAAATTATGTTTTGCGGACCGGGCGCGGTGGCTCACGCCTGTAATCCCAGCACTTTGGGAGGCCGAGGCGAGCGGATCACAAGGTCAGGAGATCGAGACCATCCTGGCTAACACGGTGAAACCCCGTCTCTACTAAAAATACAAAAAATTAGTCAGGCACGGTGGCGGGCGCCTGTAGTCCCAGCTACTCAGGAGGCTGAGGCAGGAGAATGGCGTGAACCTGGGAGGCAGAGCTTGCAGTGAGCCGAGATTGCGCCACTGCACTCCAGCCTGAGGGACAGAGCGAGACTCCATCTCAAAATAAATAAACAAATAAATAAATAAATAAATAAAATTATGTTTTGCATAGTCTGGGCTGCTAACTGTATTATCTTGAGAAAAATTTCCAACAACAATGGGTTTAAAAATGTTGGTTTTACTGAAAGCATGAATGCTTTTTCTGTACTGACAATTCCTGGCTTCATCTAATTTACGTTATACTTATTTGCCTTTGGCTCACTTCTGCACTTTTCCCATTTTTAAAAGATAAACTGTAAACTGCCACAAATCCTTTTCTGCTGGAGCCTGGACCAGGAGCGCGGATTCCTGTAAATAATGATGTAAATAAATAAGTAAATCAATGACTCCCATTCCCAAAGGGCCTTCTTTTCCATTTTTCTCTGGGGCATCGAAGTGCGGTGTGCCCTGCGAGCTCCCACAGGAACAACCCGGAACGTTTGTGGTCCTGTTGGGCCACCGCGTGCTCGGTAGGAAGCGGACGTCCCGGGGGCTGAAAGGGCCTTAGCGATTTTCTCGCTCTAGTCCCACCCGAGACCCGGGGCGCTGCAGGAACCTGCCCAGGCCACCGGGTGGGCGGCTGGGCGGGAGAAGCTGGGCAGCCCCTGGCAACACCGAACGGCCAGGACACACGCGGCTTCCTCCGCGGGAGGCGCTTCTCTCTGCGCCTGGGCCTTCACGACCCCTCCCGCGACCGTGGCCCCGAGGCCAGGTGCTTACTTGCCGCTCTCCACGCCGTGGCCGAGACCCAGCTAAGCAACCAGGGAAGCCTCGATGGGGTCATGGCGCCGACTCCCCGAGCCTCCGCGCAGGCGCAAAGCAGTAGTGGGAGGAGCAGGGGGCATGATCCGGAGCCTCCCTGCAGAGGGCGGGGCCTCCGTGGCCGGCTTTAGAAAAGGAGTTAGAGGCATCCCTGGGCTCTTTGGCCAAGAGAGACCCAGGCTACCTTGAGCCCGGTGTTAAAACGCCAAATCGTGGCTGCAGTTAGAAGAGGGAATAATTCCGTTCCGTTCATGCTTGTCAGTCTGAGCCGAAATGGCCCGTGGAAGATCCCTTTTATAGTTTACAAAGATTGAGCACCTTTTACTCTCTCACTCATGTAAAATGCTTCTTTTACCTAATTCTCCCTGTTTTGTGTTTTAAATCTTTGTTCAGTCAGCTCCTAGTTCGTCCATTCTGACCGACTAACCAGATGATATGAAAGGCGACATTTTTGAATGAGGTGCAAAGCAAGAAAAGGCTCTCCATCCAGGCCAGGATCCAGTGCAATGAGCTCTGCCCCTTAACCCTTACATCCCACCAGCTCTGATAGCGTTGAGTGGATGTGGCAGACCTGGATGCTTTGTGCAACTCGTGGAAATATTTACAGAATCATAGTGAAGGCCCCCAGAATTCTGGAATTTTGTCTTTTCTTTTAAAGAAAAGTTTCTGGCTAGCTATTGCGCCTTGGTAGTGTCTGACCATGTGACATCAAGTGGTTATACGATCGAAGCTTCTTATCATGAACTGAGAATTATCTGGTTCTCCTAGATAAGGAGATCCTTTTACGAAGAGAAAGTGGGCCGGGCAAGGTGGCTCACTCCTGTAATCCGAACACTTTGGGAGGCCGAGGCGGGTAGATTACCTGAGGTCAGGAGTTCGAGACCAGCCTGGCCAACACTCTACTAAAAATACAAAAATTAGCCGGGCGAGGTGGCACATTCCTGTAATCCCAGCTACTTGGGAGGCTGAGGTAGAAGAATCGCTTGAACTCGGGAGGCGGAGATTGCAGTGAGCAGAGATCACGCCACTGCACGCCAGCCTTGGAGACAGAGCAAAACTCCATCTCAAAAACAGAAAAAGAAAAAAGAGAGAAAGTGGGATACACAGAACTGGGCCAAAGTCAAAACGGAAACAGTTTTCATTTGTAGGGAGCTCACAGTCCTAATATCATGCTTTTGACCTTTAGCTTATATCTACAGTTTAATAATGAATTCCTTGTGACTAGCTGACTGAGGAAAAAATTCAAAGTCGGATGATGGCTTTGCTCAATAAACTGGCCCAGCTGGCAACTGACTGCTTTTCATATTTAGAGCCCCACTTAACAGAGGCCCTGAAGGAACAGAACAGGGAAAAAAAATTATTTCCAGCATGCATAATTTAGCTTATTTATGTATTTTATGTTTTTACAGGCACATGTCACCACACCTGGCTGATTTTTCTATTTTTAGTAGAGACAGGGTTTCGCCATGTTGACCAGGCTGGTTTCAAACTCCTGGCCTCAAGGGATCCACCCCTCTCAGCTTCCCAAAGTGCTGGGATTACAGGTGTGAGCCACTGTGCCTGGCCAGAATTTAGCTTATCTTGTATGCTTTGCCTAAAAAGAGACATGGCTTGAGATAAAAATCGACATTTCATAGGCAGTGACTGGTTTGTCAAGTGGCTGGGAACTGGGAATGTAAAAGTTTTGGACTGGGTCTTTGGAATAGGACCTCTCAAAGTGGTCCCAAAGCATGAAAACATTTGGGTCCTATTGAACGTTAAAAAAAAAAAAAAAAAAAAGAGCTTCCATTGCAGAAGGGCTCTTAATCAGAACAAGATTATTAGTTATCTATTGCTGCCTCACAAATTATCCCAAAATTTATTGGCTTAAAGCAATAAACAGTTATTCTCTCACAGTTTTTGTGGATCAGTAACCTAGAAGCCAGAGTGACTGTGGTTCTGGGTCCTAAATGAGGTTGCAGCCAAGCTGTTGGCTGAAGTCCCAGTCTCGTATAAATGCACAACTAAGGGAAGATCTGCTTCCAAGCTCATTCACATGATTATTGGCAAGATTTGGTTCCTTGTGGACTTTGGACTGGAAACCTTCTCAGTTATTTGTTAAGTGGGCTTCTCCAAAGGCTATCTTGCAACATGGCAGCTGGCTTTCCACAGGACAAATGAACTAAGGAGCAAGAAAGACCACTCAAAATGGAAGCCCTGAACTTCTGTAATCTCATTTCGGTAGCGACATCCCACCACTTCCACTGTATCCTATTATTAGGTCCCGGCCACTCTCAAAAGGGGATTACACAAGGGCTGCAACAGTGACCCATTCTGTGGACATCAATTACTCAGCCTCCTTCCCCCACAACAGGTGTGGACTCAGTAACAAGGTAGCCACGGTGGCAAGAATGGAGACATACATGTACTTTTAACACCGTCTTTCTTCTGCCATGACTGATTGGCTACTACCACTACTCGCCAACTGCAGTGACCAACTTGATCCCATGATACACTTTTATGTGGTCTGGGTGGCAGGTCTGATTACAATGAAATCCTACTGTTATGAAGGAGGTTGCAATTTGTTCTTACAGGAAGAGACAATTATTCTGCATTTAGATTGTTTTCCCTGATTTATGCTTATTATATACTTCACCTGTGGACTTACTGAATACCTTAACACACTACTCCATATTTAATACAATATCATATACAACATTGCTTCTTACCGAAGAACTCATTTTCTTGTGAAAGATGTAAAGCAGGGGACTAATGCCTGCAGGATTCACAGTCTTATATATTCCATCATCCAAAAGCAACCGATTTTATGGAATGACGGACAGCCTTATTGAAGGTTGTTTTGGAACGAGGTGAGAAAATACACTTTGGGATACTGCCCTAAAGGATTTGTCATATTTTCCAAATGAGTCAACGGTATTTGGTGATATATCTTCTGTTGACAGAATAACAGAGATCAAAGAGTAGAAAAGGGTCTGACTTCTTACTATTGCATATGACTTACTGATATAAAATATATTTTGCTTTCCATTGTAGTAGAGAAGAGACAAGCTCCGAAGGCCCCTGAACATGCCTGTATATTATTACTGAGTGTGCCAGACTGCAAGCCGTATCCATCTCCTGATGCTAAGCAGTTTCTGTAGTTAGTCATATAGGCACCTAAGTAGGTCAAGGCAATCACAGCATTACTACCATTTAACTGCTGCTCCCTGGGGGAGAGAGACTAGCTTGTTTGTTGTTTGCTCAAAAACTGCTTGATTCTTGATCCTGGATTCTTCTGTAATGCAACCCCCCATGTGCACAGACGTCATCCGGCCCTCTGCATCACACTGTGGGAATTGGGCTACGGGAACTGATGCAAATATGCGGACACTCTGGCTTCTATTTTGCTGTAATAAAGCTGTTTTGTCTTTTGTCCAGGAGTATCCTGTCATCATCCATGAAACTGCAGCAACCTAGCCTGTAACCTTGCAAGTAGGATAAAATCTCAGACCCTTCACTACTCTTGCTAGCCATCTCTGAGTCCAGGTTCTGTTGGTATAGCAATTTTTGTGCCCAGCTGGAATTGCCACCCAGCCATTTTGACCTCATTCCTCTAGGTAAGGTTAGAGAAAGTGGTGATGGTGCTAGCTGGAGTGATTGGCCCTGATGACCATGGAGAAAAGAGAGTAGGGAGAACAGTATAACCAGAAGTCAGGGGGGTCTCCTGGAATCCCTCCTCACAATACCATGTTTTTATATTTTATTTTAAAAAATACCATGCTGAATGGTAACATTTACATATAAGACTATTACAACCATATATAGGCAAGACCACCCACACCTCAGATCCTCTGTCATCCACTGGATACATAAATCTGATCAGCAGAGGTGCTGCTTGAACATAAAGAAAACAGAAAATAGTTGGCAGTGGTGAGAAGTCATAACCATCTAGATTCACGACCACTGACAGGACTAAGTACTGTATTTGCGACGTGTTATTAGAGAAATTTGGGACATAAAACATGCTGCTGCTTTTACACTATCCTGAAAATTCTGATTCAGGTGGTCCGTAATAAGGTCCTAGAATGTGTATTTTTAAAGTAGTCTAGGTAATTCTTGGCACGGACATTGCAAAGCCCTGCTCTATTTTGTTTTCTTCCTCACTGGCTCATGCATGTTTATAAAATTTTCTCTTATTTCATATGTATATATATATTTGAGTTGGGGGGTCTCCCTGTCGCCCAGGCTGAAGTGCAGTAACTCACTGCAACCTTGAACTCCTGGACTCAAGTGATCCTCCCACCTCAGTCTTCCAAGTAGCTGGGACTACAGGTGCATGCCACCAGGCTCACTTAAATTATTTTCTAGAGATGGGGTCTTGCTATGTTGCCCAGGCTGGTCTTGAATTCCTAGCTCAAGTGATCCTCTCACCTCAGCCTCCCAAAGTGCTGGGATTACAGTCATAAGCCACCACGCCCAGCTTCTTTCCTATTATACTGTTATTATGTATAGGGGTGGTGGTTAGGTCACAATTTTGTCTATGAGTTGCACACTATTGAGATGAGATTATTACAGAATCAGAGAACATCACACTGAGGTCCTGGACTTAAAACTGGATGAGGGATAGTAGTACTATGTCAGAAAGATGCATTTTAAATGTGTAAATATGGAGAGAATTATGCTTGCAGATGTTGGGAAGACAAAAAGATGGACTATATTACACCTGATGTGTTTTTATATTTGGTGCTGTCATCAAACCCATTTCATATGTTTGGTTAACCTTGGTAGAATAAAGGGTCCCATTTTCTACTGTGGAAACTAACGAGGTCAGATACATCTGCTGTCTTTGATGCCTGACAGCCCAAGCACTGGCACAAGACTTAAACTTGGTCAGTTGGACATTCTACTACGCTTTGAATCTGAAGTGATAAAACAAGTACTTGAAATCCAGTTTCCAGGGTCATCCTGGCTAGAGAAGAATACAGTCATTTAGCTCTGAGGTCATCAGAACTTGGCTATGCTTTTGGTCATCTACTTTCCTTTGGCTTCTATTTGTTTTCCAAACCTGGCTCTCTAGCCTTTCCATCAATTCTGTGAGCTACCTGATCCTCCTCCAATAAATTCTTTTTCTGTTTAGGTTGATCATAATTTTTTTTGTTGTTTGCAACCAAGAACTCTTACTGGTATACTTCAATGAGATTCATTCTCTAAAGTAAGAGTCAATAATACCATTTCAGATCATTGTTTCCTCTCTCCCCCATAACTGTACCCCATCTCCCACAATCTGAATTTGGAGGTGAATAGTGTGTGGTGGTTTCCCAGATAAATCAAGTAAGTTAAATTTGTTAGATTTTAAACCATGAACACAGATGTGCTTTTAGAACTGTATTAAAATAACCAAAAACTAATCAATCAACTATGATAAGAGCAATTTCCACTCAAATACTATTTATATGATTGAGTCCTTTGATAAACCTGAAAATTATCCAAACTTTGAATATGCACATTTCAAACTCAGAGCCAAGATATAGGAATATAAAAAATGTGCTTGGCAAAAATATGTGGTGGCTAATTAATATATTTACATTTTCTAGTTATAATGCACTTGGGATATTAGTTTATAAAAATTTTGAGTACTTTCTAAAAAGTAAATAATTATCAATAGCAATCAAAATTATTTTAACTATAATAATATATACAAAAGATATAAAAATACAAAGGCTACAAGTTATATAATTAGGCTGGTCTATGTTATAAATAAAATATATATACCTCTAGTATTCAGAGAATAAGCAAAGGATTACAAGGGTTGTAGCTGTTCCTCCAGATAGCCATTTGTTCATTTATTAACACCAGAGGCAATAACAACGCTAAAAATAAACATGCATCAATTGTACAATAAATACTTACAAAAACCTCTGTCTGTCACAATTAGTGAGTGCAAACAGAACTTCTACCCAACCTTAGTGCATTTTTATTTTCACAAGTAAAACAGAAAAGGAAAATAGTGAATTTAATGCTATTCAGCACCTTTAGTAAAGTCAAAAGACTCAACATCTCCATATATCAAAAACATTTGCATCTGTATCACCAAACATGTAAAGTTAATTATTTTGTTCCATCTTTAACATGAATTATTTTATTTACATTACTTTTTAGTTCAATAAATTTTAACAATATTTAAAAATTATCTAAATTCATAAAAGTATTTCATAAATTTCAACATTTAATTATTATGTACATATAAGGAAGTCCATGAAAAAAGTTAAAAGAAAATGTAGTCATAAAGTTCAAGCAACATTACCAATTTAGCAAAAATTCCAACCAAATCAAGGCAGAGGGCATTCAAACATTCAAAAATCTTTATCTGCTGCCAACATGTACAGGAACATTTCCAGTAATAAAAGTCAGTATGAGAAATAATGTTGAAATCACCAGTAGAAAATATATTTTAATAGGCATGAAATATGTTTAAGCAACAGTAATGACTTTATAGAAAACTTGTATTACACTGTTTTATATGAACTACCTGGTTTGATTGTATGATAAAGTTGTATTTTAGAACTACAGAAGTTGATTTCAAAAAATATATTGTAGCAGCCATAATTTTATTTCCAGTTAAAACACAGTAAAATGTGAAAAGAAAAATTTATAATTAACTAAATAATACCCCCAGTATTAGAAAATTTTAAATCCCATGCTATTCTAGCAATAATGGTCTCTAATATAATGTAGTCTGATGTAAGAATTGTGGAAAGCCAATAATAAACAATCAGACACAGGTATGGGCTTAAAGTTTCACTGAAATACTTAGGTAGCAAAATATATGAAAAAGTAATAGAAAAGTAAAAAGATAAAATTAAAAAAATATTGCACAGCCACATTACCTAGAAAGTAAAGTTGATGTTTAAAAAGCACTAAACATGGATGATATAAATTATCTTCCATATAAAAAGGTATAAATATTTCTTAGAACTTATCAGCATCTACATTTTAATATAATACATTATTTGAAACATTGTTGAATGAGGTAATTGTCCAGTCGCTAACAATGCTTTTATACTATTGGAAATATTTGAGGGCAGCAACCAGAAAGAATTTCTCTAAAAATATTTCCGAATCAAGAACAGCTATATGTGCAGCTCTCCCAATGAGTGAATCAGCTGTATTGGGCAATGCATTGATGACATTATAGCGAACCAAATTACAGTCCTTGCTTTGCAGAACGGGTCGAAGCAAGTTGTGGATCATTTCTGAATAGATCTGTCCTATGGAACCAACAGAAAAAAGGAAAATTAGTTCACAATAGTAACTGAAAATAAAAAAACTATGCCAATTTTTAGATAAGTTATAAAATTTAGTTACATTATTTCCATATAAAGCAGAAAAATGGCTCTTTTTAAAAAGGTTTAATTTTCCTTCAACTATCATTTTTGGTTCTGTTTATAGAAAATGTAAGTAATCACATTATCTAGTCAAGTGGAAATAACAAATTTATTATACATTATTCTTGAAATTTGATTTTTTTTTTTTTTTATTTTTGAGATGGAGTTTCACTCTTGTTGCCCAGGCTGGAGTGCAATGGTGTGGTCTTGGCTCACTGCAACCTCTGCCTCCCGGGTTCAAGCCATTCTCCTGTCTCCGCCTCCTGAGTAGCTGGGATTACAGGCATGCACCACCACACCCAGTTAATTTTTGTATTTTTAATAGAGTTGGGGTTTCACCATGTTGGCCAGGCTGGTCTCGAACTCCTGACCTCAGGCGATCCTCCCGCCTCAGCCTCCCAAAGTGCTGGGATTACAGGCGTGAGCCCCTGCGCCCAGCCGAAATTTGGTATTTTTAACTCAAAGCAATGCCTATAACAAAGAAATAGTTTTCTTTAATGTTAAGTCACTTATAACTCATTAAACAATTATGAAAATAAGCTAGACATGGTGAGACATTTTGATAAGGCAAAATTATAAACTTGGCCTACAGCAAATACTTTAAAGATGTTTCTGTGGCAGTCAAAATTTCCAAATTATTTTAAGAAAGAACAGCAACCTCCTATAGTCAGATGAACAACGTGAGCTTGGCTCAAGTAACATGATCTTCTGTTTGGTCTATAGGTTTATTTAGTACTTGTGTTCCTCTCTCCTTATTTTTGTTTTCTTTTTTTGTTTTTGGAGACAGGGTGTCACTCTGTTACCCAGGCTGGAATGCAGCGGCATGATCACAACTCACTGCAGCCTCCACATCACAGGCTCAAGCAATCCTTCCATCTTAACCCTCCCAAGTAGCTGGGACCACACAGGCGTGCACCACCATTTTAATTAGCCTAGCTAATTTTTTATTTTTGGTAGAATGGGGTCTTGCTATGTTGCCCAAGCTAGTCTCAGAGTCCTGGACTCAGGTGATCCTCCTGCCTCAGCCTCCCAAAGTGCTGGGATTACAGGCATGAGCCACTGCGCCCAAACAATGTTTAGCTAATTCTTACAATGGATTTACTGAGGTCATACTAAGCACATAAAAGATAACGATTAGAATACATCCACATAAATGTATAAACTGCCTTCTAAGGGGCAAAACATTGTTTACAATGCTTATGCATTACTATATACTAATAAATGAGTACTAACAGTGTCCATGGAACGTGTGAGCTTTAGAGAGGTAAATATTAAATTTCAGAAGACAGGTAGGATGCTGCCTGAGGAATGACAAGAAGGGAAAAGTACACAGAAGTACAATCAGATATAGAAAAGAGAGGTGTTTAAGAGAAAGACTGACTTAATACATACTCATCAAAAAACTTTTTACTCCCACCTCTCCTCTTAGTTTTCATTTTGAGTCAGGTTGGATTTGTGGTTCCATGCTATTTTAAAAATATGTTAATACAGGAAGAAGTCTAAACATGTCTTCATCATTTGATTCCCCTTGTTCCCCAATGTCACAGAACCTCACTATTAAAATAAGGGACATTTATCTAGTTTCAGCTACTCATCTGAAGGTTAAGACTCTTCTGAATTTTTTCCTTAGGTGGACTCTAGCCTTTGCTAGAACAGAAGTTAAGAAAAGGTTATTTTGATGTCACAAATGTACAATAAAGGAGTACTTACCATGTAGCAGGCAGCATGTTAGGCACTGTCAATAAAAATGTGCTTAAGACAGTTCTTGCCTTAAGGAGCTGTTCACCGTCACAATGTAGAAAAATAAAGGATTAAGAGTTTAAAATCAGCCTCATTCCAAAAACGGATCTGAGGCAATATTGAGAGGTAGGAGACCAGGGTTTTTTTTTTTTTTTTTTTTTTTTGAGACAGAGTTTCGTTCTTGTCTCTCAGGCTGCAGTGCAACAGCATGATCTTGGCTCACTGCAACCTTTCCCTCCCGGGTTCAAGCTATTCTCGTGCCTCAGCCTCCCAAGTAGCTGGGATTACAGGTACCCGCCATCACGCCCGGCTAATTTTTGTATTTTTAGTAGAGACGGGGTTTCACCATGTTGGCCAGGCTGGTCTCGAACTCCTGACCTCAGGTGATCTACCTGCCTTGGCCTCCCAAAGTACTGGGATTACAGGCAGGAGCCACCACGCCCGGAGACCAGGTTCTTGACCTAAGTCTGTAATTAACTGATTCGGGCTAAGCCACTTAGTATCTCTGGGCTTTAGTTATAAAATGAGTAAACAGGACTCAAGTTTCCTTCTGGCTCCAAATGGCTATACTTTAAATTTATTTTGTTATTCACAAATAGCAAAAGAACAAATAAAGTCTTTATCATTTACTATCAGTAAAGAGGGGCAAATCCTTGCTGCCACCTTTGCGTAAAAGCGAGGTACAGCAGAACATATGACAAGGATGACTACAATTGTCAATCCCATTAATTCAGAGGAAATCAAAGTATGAACTACTTCTGAGGCAGCAAAATGGAGAGGCATTTGTAATTAGATGAAAGTATTACTTCATTGGTAAAGGCAGTTCACGTGGCAGGTGAGAAGAATGGAAAAAGGACAGCTGTTAATATAAGTGGGTGGAAAGGAAGTAACAGGAAAGAGAAGGGTGACAGATACGAGAGAAAGTGACTACAAGAAAAATTTTGGAAAGAGCTCATTAATACCTATAACTCTTTGAAATAATTTTATTCCATTACCTGACTGTTTGTCCTTTAAAGCTGTTTTACACATTTCAATGCGGGCAGAGTGATAAGGAACATAGCGATCCTGTAGGGATCCCACTAGCACAACATTTTTGAAATAATGAAGCCCTGTGAATAGAATATAATAAATTATAATGCAGTAGTTAACTAGATTTTAAACAAGTTATTAGTATCATATTAAGTGACCAAAAAATAAATTTCCTTAGCAGTACTAAGTTTCTGACTTTGTCAATACTTGATGATCCTTTCTCCAAATTTCTGTATGTTCTCTACAAAAAAACCCACCTCACTGTTATGTAGTCTTGATGCTGATATAAGAATGTGTGTTTGCACTGGGAGCAGGCACTGTTGCTCAGTGGTGTGGAGATAGGCGGGAACAGAATATGTGGACTAATGTTCTATAGAAAGTATTCCATGACATTCTTACCTTCCAAAAGGTATTCATCAATATTTAGGACTATTTCCAAAGAAACAAAATTATACTCTTCCATTAAAACAAACAAAACACCTCACAGTACATCATTTAAAGCTTTTTACTTTCTTTTCATTTTTAACACTTGCTTAATATGATTTATATTTTCTTTTTTTAAATTATTATTATTATTTTTTGAGATAGAGTCTCACTTTGTTGCCCAGGCTGGAGTGCAGTGGTGCAATCTCGGCTCACTGCAACCTCTGCCTCCTGGGTTCAAGTGATTCTCGTGCCTCAGCCTCCTGAGTAGCTGGAATTACAGGTGTGGGCCACCACACCTGGCTAATTTTTGCATTTTCAGTAGAGATGGGGTTTCACCATATTGGCCAGGCTGGTCTTGAACTCCTGGCCTCAAAGTGATCTGCCCACCTCTCAAAATGCTGGGATTACAGGAATGAACCACCATGCCTGGCCTAAGGATCTTAATCATGAGATGAGTATGGATTCACACACAGCCAAGTGTGACCGTATGATACTATCTATGCCAAAAATAAGGCCATCCTTAGATTATACCACTTTTTTGGGGGAGGTGACATTTTGAATGTATACAATCCTAAGGAGATAAATGAAATAATCAAGTATCTATTATAGAAGTTAATTGAACATATATTTAAAATAATATTGTATAAAATATTAAGAAAAAATGACTCCCCCCCCTTCATTCTCACATCTCGTGACACAATTTAACACTAATATCTTCATCATTATCAGTACTACTTTGGGAATCATCTATGTGTCCTAGAGCACAGGTATTCATACATTTACCCCTGGAGTCATCTAAGACTCTCTATGGTGTAGATAGGTGTGTATAGCTTTAAGAAAACTGATTTCCAGGCTGGGCGAGGTGGCTCATGCCTGTAATCTCAGAACTTTGGGAGGTCGAGGGGGGAAAATTGCCTGAGCCCAAGAGTTTGAGACCAGCCTGGGCAACGAAGTGAGATCCTGTCTCTACGAAAATTAGCCAGGTGTGGTGCTGCATAACTGTAGTCTCACTCAGGAGGCTGAGGTGGGAGGACCCCTTGAGCCCAGGAGGTGCAGGCTGCAGTGAGCCATGGCTGTAGCACTGCACTCCAGCCCAGGTGACAGAGCAAGAGCTTGTCTCTAAAAATAAAAAAGAAAAAAAGAAAATTGATTTCCAGATCCCAACCTCCAGATGTGTTTTTTTTCTAAAAGTGACTTGACTTTTTCCCACTTTACAAGAGAAAGATATTATCTCTCCAATCTACTTCAGATCTTATTAAGGTATATGGCCCTAGGGTATAAAAGTCTCTGGAAAACCAAGCAAAATATAAAGTCTAACTTTTTCTGACAAAAAGTCAATTTGACTTGACTGTTTATGACAGTGAGAAATGGCTTTGCCAATTGGATTTTATGGCACACATTTCCTATAAATTGAATGAGCTAAATCTGTAATTCCAATAGAATGAGTTGAGATGTTATATTTTATGAAAATATAATTAATGGCTGGGTATGGTGGCTCACTCCTATAATCCCAGCACTTTGGGAGGCCGAGGGTGGATCACCTGAGGTCAGGAGTTCGAGACCAGCCTGGCCAACATGGCGAAACCCATCTCTACCAAAAATACAAAAATTAGCTAGGCATGGTGGCAGCCACCTATAATCCTAACTACTCAGGAGGCTGAGGCAGGAG
The DNA here is from genome assembly GCF_000001405.40 of Homo sapiens. Classification (NCBI taxonomy): domain Eukaryota; kingdom Metazoa; phylum Chordata; class Mammalia; order Primates; family Hominidae; genus Homo; species Homo sapiens. The sequence goes on along the minus strand of NC_000006.12, from coordinate 70,554,734 downwards.
AATCGCTTGAACCCAGGAGGCGGAGGTTGCAGTGAGCTGATATTGTGCCACTGCACTCCAGCCTGGGCGACAAAAGAGACTCCGTCTCAAAAAACAAAAACCAAAAAAACCCCCCAAAACCAAATAAATGAACCTGTACCTGGACCTTATACTCCTCTGCTGTTACCCATTTCTTGGCACAGTGTTGTAGCAAAATTCTTCATGAGTTTTCTACGTGTCTCCCTTCTCTTCCTTTCCTCCTGTTCTTTACTGAACCTATTCCCAGAAGTCTTTCTTCCTAATTACTCCATGTAAATTGCTCTTTCAAGATCACCAATGACCTAGACAATGCTAAAAATTTAAGGATCAATTCTCAGGCCTCATCTTATTTGACCAAATTTTAATTCTACCTGGTAGCCTGAATTTACATCCGAAATACAATGGTTATTTCAGGCCAGTATATCTTCTCCAAGTAAGTCCAAATAAAGTAACTGAGAAATCATCTTGTGTTAGTGATTTCAATATAAGGCAGCACTCTCTTTTCTGATGGGTAATTTTAGGAGAGAAAACAAAACTTACTTTGTTTTCAGGCATATATGACATTTTATTCTTTACTCATCTCTCTAATTATCATTTTTGTATCTGCTCCTCAAATCTAAATTTCTGGCCTGCTTTTCTTGCCAGATACCTTGACACAAAGCTTTGTGTCACTTTAATACGCACTATGCCTAACACCAAATTCTATTTCCAAAATTTTGCTTGCTATCTTTCTTAAATTCTTTATTCTATAAGCCTATTATTATTCTAGTCCAATGAGAAATATTGGCCACCTTTAATTATTAATTCCCTCATATATACTACAACATCAAGTTTGGCTTGCTTCATATGTAGTACATGTTGCTTTCTCCTCTTACCAGTATCACTGCTATTCTCTACTTGCTGGTCTCATGACTTCCATTATAAATTTCTTTCCTGAGAGTTTTATTTTATATGTTTCTTTCAAATTAAATTTTATTTTTAATTGTTTGGAAGAATTTTAAATTTATATCTGCTTCTTTTTAAAAAAAAGATTTCATTGTAACGTTTAGAAAATTTCACATCCATTATAAAAATTAAGTTATGCAACATGTCTGGGAGGGATAAAAAAGTGACCATATCTTTGATCTGTCCCTGTTTAAAGTATCAGATTAAATTTTTATATTAGAAAGTATGTGTCTTCCCTCAAAAAATATCAATATTGGCTCCCACATATTAAGGTCCACTCAATTTAGCTAAGTAGTCTGTAACATCAAAATCTGGCCCTAACTTTTGGTGGGAACTAGGAACTTATCAAGTTGAGGCAGTCTAGTTGAGAATAAAGGACACATTGGACTAGGGATCAGGAGACTGATTAGTTTAGGGTTAAAATGCTGTATCTCTGAGAATACCATTTTATTTCAGCGTAGTATGGAACTATTGTTAATGAATGTAAACAAATCAACAGGTTAAAGGAGAACTTCTATGGTGTGCAGTTATAGGTGGGTCCAGAAACTGATCTGGTTAGCTTTCTCAGATGACTGGGCATGGCTGAAGTCCCCAGGCTGGTCTCCTCTGCTGGGGGGAGCAACATGGTTGGTTCACTGGTTTATCTAATAATGGCTTCCCCAATTGTGCTTTAAAAATATAATCATTTGCTATTGATGCCTGATGTGAAAAAGGTTGGAAGAGGAGGCTGGGTTAAACTATTTTTAGTGCTCTATATTGAAAAAAAGATGTAAAATATTTTACTAATTTCTCTCCAAGTTAAAAAAAATTAAAAATATGTTAGTGCTTAGTGCTGAACAAACAGTAGGCTCTCAAATATGCTGGCTAACAACAGATTTGATTTTTAATAATTCTGTAAGTGGCTCCTGAAATGCGTATTTCTCAAGGGTTCTGGATAGGTGACATATAACTGTGTTCCCTCTCTCTCTCCCTACCCTTTTTTATTTTTAGAACTGAAGCAGTTTGGCTGGGCGCAGTGGCTCGTGCCTGTAATCCTAGCACTTTGGGAGGCCGAGCTGGGTGGATCACAAGGTCAGGAATTTGAGACCAGCCTGGCCAATATGGTGAAACCCCGTCTCTACCAAAGATACAAAAAATTAGCTGGGCACGGTGGCAGGCACCTGTAATCCCAGTTACTTGGTAGGCTGAGGCAGGAAAATCGCTTGAACCCAGAAGGCGGAGGTTGCAGTGAGCCAAGATCACGCCACTGTACTCCAGCCTGAGCAACAGAGCAAGCCTCCGTCTCAAAAAAAAAAAAAAAAAAAAAGAATCTTCAACTATTCCCCCTTTACTACCTCCTCTTGCCTTCCCCCTCGCCCCGCCGCTCCTGCTGCCATTCACTAAGGACACAGCTAACAGTTGTGTACAGGCATGCCTCATTTTTTTGCATTTTTCTTAACTGAGGTTTATATAAAGGGTTTATATAAAGGGTTTATATAAAGCAGAAACCAGGCTCAATTGTATTTGGATTACTTATATAAGATACATTATGTATAAATTAATGTCACTGATGTCTGTTCTTTCTGAAAATTCATAGTAATATAACATTTTGCCAGATGTTTGTTAGTATTGTTTACAACTCCAGAAGATTGTACACTTAAAAGGTTTAACTTTTTCAAATTCAATATTTTTAAAGCAATCAGTTTTATACAGGTATACCTTGTTTAACTATACTTTGCTTTACTGTGCTCTGCAGATATTATGTTTTTTACAAATTGAAGGTGGTAACCCTGCATTGAGCAAGTCCATTGGCACCATTTTTCCAATAGTACATATTCACTTTGTGTCTCTGTGTCACATTTTGGTAATTCTTACAATATTCAAACTTTTTCATTATTTTTATATCTGTTATGGTGATCTGTGATCAGTGATCTTTGATGTTACTATTGGAATTGTTTTGCAATGCCATGAACCATGCCTATGTAAGACAGTGAACTTATGGACTATGCTCTGACTGCTCCACCAACTGGCCATTTCCAGTCTCTCTCCCTCTCTCCTTGGGCCTCTCTAATCCCTGAGACACAATTATATGGGAAGTGGACTGATCAATAACCCCACAATGGCATCTAAATGCTCAAGCAAAAGGAAAAGTCACGTCTCTCACATTAATTATTTTTATTTTTTGAGACAGGGTCTCACTCTGACCCAGGCTACAGTGCAGTGGTGCAATCATGACTCATTGCGGCCTCTACCTCCTGGGCTCAAGGGATCCTCCCACTTCAACCTCCCAAGTAGCTGAAACAACAGGTATGCGACAGCACATTGGGTATTTTTTTTGTTATTTTTTGTAGAAATAGGTGCTCATTGTGTTGCCCAGGCTGATCTCAAACTCCTAGGATTCGGAGATTCCCAGCCTCGGCCTTGCAAAGTTCTGGAATTACAGGCGTGAGCCACCATGCCTGGCTCTGTTTCTTACTTTAAATCAAAAGCTAGAAATGATTAAGCTTAGTGAGGAAGGCATATCAAAAGCCAAGACACGCTGAAAAGCAGGCTTCTTGTGCCAAAGAGTTAGTCAAGATGTGAATGCAAAGGAAAAGTTCTTGAAGGAAATTAAAAGGGCTACTCTAGTGAAAACACAAATGATGAGACACCAAAACAGTTTTATTGCTGATGCGGAGAAGGTTTGGATGGCGTGGATGAAAGATCAAACCTGCTGCAACATTCCCTTAGCCAAAGCTTAATCCAGAGCAGGACCCTAACTCTTTTCAATTATCTCAAGGCTGAGAGAAGTGAAGAAGCTGCACAGAACAGCTGGAAGCCAGCAGAAGTTTAAGGAAAGATGTTGTCTCCATAACATAAAAGTGGAAGGTGAGGCAGCAAGTGCTGATGGAGAAGCTATGGCAAGTTATCTGGAAGATCTAGCTAAGGTATATGACAAGACTACACTAAAAAGCAGATTTTCAATGTTGAAAAAATTGCCTTCTATTGAAAGAAGATGCCATCCATGACTTCATAGATAGAAAGGAATCAATGCCTGGCTTCAAAGCTTCAAAGGGCAAGCTGACTCTCTTGTTACGGATTAATGCAGCTGGGGCCTTGAAATCAATACTTATCATTCCTAAAATCCTGGAGCCCTTAAGAATTATATGAAATCTACTCTGTGCTCTATTAATGGAACAACAAAGCCTGGATTACAGCACATCTGTTTACAGCATGGGTTACTGAATATTTTAAGCCCACAGTTGAGACCTATAACTCAGAAAAAAAGATTCCTTTCAAAATATTACTGCTCATTAACAATCCCCCTACTCAACCAAGACCTCTCATGGAGATATACAAGGAGATTAATGATGTTTCCATGTGGGCTAACACAAAATCTATTCTGCAGCCCAAGTGATCCATTAGTTATTTTGACTTTCAAGTCTTATTACTTAAGAAATACATTTTGTAAGGTGATAGCTGCCATAGGTAGTGATTCCTTTGATGGATCTGAGCAAAGTAAAATGAAAAGCTTTTGGAAAAAATTCACCATTACAGATGCCATTAAGAACATTCATGATTCATGGGAGGAGGTCAAATATCTACAAGAACAGAAGTTTGGAAGAGGCTGATTCCAACCTTCATGGATAACTTTGAGGGGGTCAAGACTTCAGTGAAGAAAGTAACTGCAGATGTGGTGGAAATAGCAAGAGAACTACAATTAGAAGTGGAGCCTGAAGATGTGACTGAATGGCTGCAATCTCATGATCAAACTTGAATAGATGAAGAGTTGCTTCTTATAGATGAACAGAGAAAGTGGTTTCTTGAGATGGAATCTATGCCTGGTAAAGATGCTGTGAACATTGCTGAAATGACAACAAAAGACTTGGAATATTACATAAAGAGTTGAAAAAGCAGTGGCAGGGTTTGAGAGGATTGATTCTAATTTTGAAAGAAGTTCTACTACAGGTAAAATACTATCAAACAGCATCATATGCTACAGAGATATCTTTTGTGAAAGGAAGAGTCAATAATACAGCAAACCTCGTTGTTGTAATTTAAGAAATTGCCATAGCCACCTCTATCTTCAGCAACCACCACCCTGATTGGCAAAAACATTATGATTAACTGAAGGCTCAGATAATCATTAGCATTTTTAACAATAAAGTATTTTAAAATTAAAGTATGCATACTTTTTTTTAGATATAATGCTATTACACACTCTTGACTATAGTATAGTGTAAATATAACTTTTATATGCCCTGGGAAACCAAAAAAATTCATGTGACTCACCTTTTTTTATGGTGATCTGGAACCACATCCACAGTATCTCCAAGGCATGTCTGTATTTTGTCCCAAATTCCTTTCTTGGTATACACACAATTTATTTTTCATTTTAAAAATATAACTGAGATTATAGTATTTATACTATTTTATGTCTTTTTTCACTTAATATTTTGGGGACAGCTTTTCATGTTTGTATAAATAAATTTATCTCATTCTTTTAACTACTACATGGAATTACCAGGATTAACTTTTAGTATGTCTCCTATTTCCCTAGCAAAGGACATTTATGTCGATTCCACTTCAGAAGGGAGAGGACATAAAAAAAGTATAACACTGTAATGAATAGCCTTTACCTCATTGTGTGAGATTTCTGTAGGAAAAATTCCAAAAGTGGAATTGTTGAGTATGTTCTTAAAATTCTGATAAATGTACTCTCCAAAAAGATAATAAAATTTCTCCTTCCACCACTAATATATGAAGGTTTCTGTTTCACACACTCATCAATACTGTATAGCATCTTTTAAATTTTACCAACCTAATGGCAAAAATGATTAACTTATTGTTTATTGGCCTTCCATATATATATATTTTTTAATTTTTAATTTTATTTTTTGGTAGCTAACTGCCTCTTTTCTCTTTTGTCCATTTTTTTCTTTTGGGTTGTTATGTATTAGGAACAGCAGTACACATTATACCACTCAGGCATAAACAATATTACCTGTCACCTCCAGATGTGTGGTCTGTGAATGAATTATGTATTTGCCAGATTACATGATCATTAAAACTTCCTCACAAATTTCCCACTGATTAAGATTTTTAAAAGATTTCTATATTTGTAAGAATAAAAGGCATTATATATTTCTTCATAAAATTATATTAAAGACATTTTTCAAAATAGCTCTTTACAGAGATTCTGATGTACTTCTCTAGAGAAACAACACTAAGGTTTGGAATTACTGCTTTAGACTGAGATCCCTGCAGGGTGTCTATGGCTCCTCATGTTCACGCAGCTCAGTGGAAGCAGGCAAAATCAGTAAAGATTAGTCAGAGGATTTCAAAGATACCCTTTCACTCTCAGATTCCATGATGATAAAATAAATTTAAAAATTCTGATACTGATTAAATACACTATGTTGTTACACTTCTAAATGTGATTCTTACGACAGTACTGTACTTTAAAAATGCATTTTAAACTTGGTAACCAGTTTTCTAGTTATTTAAAAAAAGTGTATTAATACTGATATTGTGCTTTTGCACAGAAGGTTTGCTTTTTATATTAGCCAAGAACCAAGTTAGTTAAATATATTATGGCCCTTTTTGAACCTTTTGGCTTCAATTTCTTGTCTACCAGTGTTGGCTACAGAAGGCAGAAACTCAAAGTGAAGCACAGCAAGCTCCAGAGGAGCAGTGCTGGTAGGAATTACAGCAGTACTTCATCTGAGTTGAAGTACAGCCAACAAAAATGTCTGAAGTCTATTTTGGGAGCTAATATTCTAGGTTTATCTTTTCTACACCTACCTTGATTCTAGCTTCTCAAAGACAACGTAGTTAACTAGTCCGTGGGTGAATACTTCACTGAGCCCCTCAAGTGGCTAATTATTTGTTGAACGGTTACCTTTAATTTGGGAAAGTGACAAGATTTCCCTATTTATAGGATGACATGGTTTAACCAGAAAAATCTGTAAGTATGTTGTTACTTTTTACCAAGAAAAAGATTAAATCTTCCATATTGCTCTGGACTATATAATAACATGATTGATATATGAACACCTTAATTGAAACTTTCATCTTCATAGTCTAAAGTCTTTCCAATTCTTCTGGCTACTCATTTGTTCTAAAACTTCAGAGTTTTAATGCAATTCACTTTGAGTCATTTTGTGTTTACTTTCTGGAACTGGCTAAAGCAGTGGTTCTAAACTGGTGATTTTCTGCTCCAAGGAATATTCTGCAGCATCTGAAGATATTTTTGGTCATCACTGCTGAAGGTGGAAAAGTGTATGTGCTACTGGCATCTAGTGGGCAGAGGCCAGAGATACTGCTAAACATGCTACAATGTTCAAGACAACCCCTGAAAACAAAGAATTCTCCAGCCCAGAATATCAATAGTGCTGAAGCTAAGAAAACTCTGTACTTTTAAAACATATTCTTAACAATATTAAACTATTCTTATTTTTACTCATTTTAAATAAATTTGAATGAATTTTCTTCCTAAAATAATGTTAGCTGATGCTGGTTCTTTCCCGCACTTTCAGAAACAAAATATACATATTATTTACATATCAAAAGTGATACCTAAGATTAAATCCCTTTGTAACCTCCTGGATACAAAGAGTCCTTTGTGCCACAGTAGGACAGCAGGACCTTTATTTAATTTCTATACTTTATTTGTCAGAATTCAACAGCTGGTAAAAAGACTCTAAGCAGGTATTTTTAGGAAGATCTTAAAATAAGGATATATTGTTTTTGAAATTCCAACAATGAATAGACTCTTTTTTGGCTATTTTGAGCCCTCATTATGGAATGTCAGAGTGGCCATGATTCCTCTCTCTGCTTTAGTAATATAATCTTGACTACTTCAACACTGCTGTCATCTAATGTCTATATATTATACATTTATTTTACTTTCCACATTGCTCTAGCTCCTTCATCTTTCTTTTCCCTGCTATCCAATGCTGAGATGCTTGTATGCCACCTGCAAATTATTTACATATTCTGTTAGCAATCTGTAGAATACCACAGGTTTTGTCAAAAGTTGCTATAAAAATTTAATGAATGTTTATAATTGTAATTCCTTAATCAAAATAGATAATTTCCCTTTAAAAGTAACATTTCTGTAACCCTTTACCAGATCTATTGTGTTCACAAAAAAGGTAATTTCTCACCCAATACATTTATGATTTTTATAAAAAATACAGTATTTCTCAATTGTTTTACAAAACACACAAATTATTTTAGGCTTTTAAAAAGCTTTCTTCATTTTAAAATAATGAACAGCTTTCAATAAAAGGAAAGCTATTAACTAATGATATGTTGCATAGAAAAAGACTGTTTCAAAAGGAAGACCCACAGAAGAGGCTTTGCTTAAATAAAAAAGGCAAAAGGGCAAATGGCTGGATTTTGATTTAGACAAGTAATTTTAGGCTTTTCCAAAAGAACGGAAAATTCGCTGTTCAGAAGAAACTGAAGCAATAATCAAACCAGGGCATCCAAGACTGTAGCTTTAGAATAATAAAATATAAAAAAGAAATGATCACTTTTGATTGTTTTAAAACACTTGAGAATAGCATATTGGTTAAGTACTCTTTTTCTTTGTTCTATGTTTTCCTGTTTTATTTAACTTATTTGTTTGCTGTGAACCTATATATTCTATTTTGTGAATAAAGTAATTATATGTAAATATACAGGCATAGCAACTTTCTAGGGATGGACTACTCATTTCTCACAATTCACTAGATATGCCCCCCCGAAAAAAAAACCCCAAAACCCAACACCCCACATGAAATAGTTCGAGAGACTTGTTTCAATCTCTACAACGTAATTTTAAAATCAATTGAAATACTTGTTGATATTTAAAAGTGCTATTAGAAGTAGCTTTTTAAGTTCCTGAAAATGTATATTATTGGCTTAACATGATGCAGTGTGAACCATGCACGAATGCTTACTGGCTTTTCATAAAGCTAAGTGACCTCAGGCAAGTCATTCAATCTCTCTGTGCTTCAGTGTCCTCATCTGCAAAGTGGGGACAATATTCCTACCCTAGAGGGTTAAATAAGCTAATATGTATGTGTTTAAATCACACCTAGAACGTGGTAAATGTTACATGTGTATTAGCTATTATTATTTTTCCAGTATTTTAGTATTAACCAATGCATTAGTCACAATTACTAGAAAATGGTACTCTTTTTCTTTTTGAGATGGAGTCTTGCTCTGTTGCCCAGGCTGGAGTATAGTGGCAGGATCCCGGCTCACTGCAGGCCTCCAACTCCTGGGTTCAAGCAATTCTCCTGCCTCAGCCTTCTGAGTAGCTGGGATTACAGGTGTGCGCCACCACACTGGACTAATTTTTTTGTATTTTTAGTAGAGACAGGGTTTCACCATGTTGGCCAGACTGGTCTCAAGCTCCTGACCTCAGGTGATCCACTCACCTTGGCCTCTCAAAGTGCTGGGATTACATGCATGAGCCACCGTGCCCAGCCAGAAAATAGTACTCTTTAGTGTTTTTTCCCAGAATGGATATTAATTCAATTCAGGTATATACTAATAAACTCGTGAGTACAAAGAGAAATCTTAAAACATAAAAACAATTTTAAGTCATTCAAATAATTTTTATAGCTAGTAATATCAGCATTTAGATAAAAGTTCTGTTAAAAAAATTTTCCTAAGATAGATATATATTGTTTGTGTAAAAGTCAATTTCTGTAATCTATAATACTCGTGGTTTTTTTTGTTTGTTTGTTTTTGTTTGTTTTTTTTTTGAGACAGAGTTTCAGTCTTGTTGCCCAGGCTGGAGTGCAATGGTGCGATCTTGGCTCACTGCATCCTACGCCTCCTGGGTTCAAATGATTCTCCTGCCTCAGCCTCCCTAGTAGCTAGGATTATAGGCACCCGCCACCACGCCTGGCTAATTTTTATATTTTTAGTAGAGATGGGGTTTCACCATGTTGGCCAGGCTGGTCTCGAACTCCTTTCCTCAGGTGATCCACCTGCCTCAGCCTCCCAAAGTACGGGGATTACAGGCGTGAGCCACTGTGCCTAGCGCTAGTGGGCTTTATTTTTTTTTAAGTTTTTGAGACAAAGTCTGGCTCTATCCCCCGCTGGAGTGTAGTGGCACAACCTCAGGTCACTGCAGCCTCCACATCCCTGGTTCAAGCAATTCTTGTGCCTCAGCCTCTGGAGTGGCTGGGATTACAGGTACACATGACCATGCCTAGCTAATTTTTGTATTTTTTTGTAGAGATGAGGTTTCACCATGTTGCCCAGGCTGGTCTTCTTTTTTTTGGGATGGAGTTTTGCTCTTGTTGCCCAGGCTGGAGTGCAATGGCGAGATCTCGGTTCACTGCAACCTCCGCCTCCCAGGTTCAAGCGATTCTCCTGCCTCAGCCTCCCGAGTAGCTGGGATTACAGGCATACACCACCATGCCTGGCTAATTTTGTATTTTTAGTAGAGATGGGGTTGGTCAGGATGGTCTCGAACTCCCAACCTTAGGTGATCTGCCTGCCTCAGCCTCCCAAAGTGCTGGGATTACAGGCGTGAGCCACCATGCCCAGTGTCCAGGCTGGCCTTAAACTCCTAAGCCCAAGCAATTCACCTGCCTCAGCCTCCCAAACTGGAGAGATTACAGGTGTGAGCTACCGCACCTAGCTTATGATATTTCCGCACCTAGCTTATTTAAGTCATTTATTCATTTTTTTTTTTTTACCATTTACTAAGTTTTGAACTCTACAGAATCACTTTACACATATTATCTCATTTAATCCTTTTAATAATCTTATGAGATACTACTATTCTCATTGACCAATAAGGAAACGAGTTTATTTAAATTAGGTAGCCTAGTCAGTGTTTGAACTATAACTAATACCTATGTGTGATGTCAGAGTTTGGTTCTTAACAGTTTTAGACTAGTACAACCAGATCACGCACTATAAGGCAAATAATAAATTAATAACTTAAAAGAAAAAAATTGAACTAATCTTTACAGTTATATTTTCTTTACAGTTTAGATATTCTTATGTTGCTATTATTATTGCTAATTAAATGTTACTTTGTATAATGCTGTATAAAGACATAGACCTCAGGAACACTTATGTTCAGCTTTGCCTTTCACGTATTTCCTAACCTGTCAGCAAAGGGTATGAACTCCATAGCTCCACACAACGGTTCTAGCTAATATTGTTTTTCTCACATAAGAAGCATATGCCATGTTTCATTTTGTAGGAATATTTTGTAATTTGATCAATCAAGTATATATTTCTGTATACTGTAAGAAACTTACCATTGATGCTCTGTATCATTACAAACAAAATCATAAAACCCAATCTATAAGAGAATTTTCCTTTCACTGATTCTAATAGTAGACAGTACATGTAATAATCATTCCCAAATCTCTTTCTCATATTAAGAACAACATTTAAGGCAGAATCCTGAAAAAGCTAAAACAGGACTCAAAAGCAGTGGTATTTTCAATAACTAAATCTATTAATATCAAATATTTCAAGAGTAGAATGGAAGACATGGGTGATAGGAATGAGGATAAGAACAGATGTAGGTTTAAATGGCCAGGGCTTAAGTTCACAAATTCAAGTAACTTCAGACTTGGAACTACCAGTCGCTGAATATATGGGCTAGATTTACATCTTACTATATAATATTTAAACTGTTTTTGAATATTGAAAATAATATTAAAAATATCATTGATTCATTTGTTAATTCAATCGGTGTACACTAGAAGAGCTATGGTACATACTGAATATGTATGTGGGAAATGGGAATGAGTAGTCATGACAGATCCTACTTAAGGAAAGGAAGTTAATACATAAAAATAACTGACATGAGATAAACTATAATGAGTATGGTAAAAGGTTGATATATAATGCTATGGAAATTCAGAGATAATATTAACAATTTTGAGACATGGGAGGCAAAGAAGTGAGGTCAATCAAAGATGACCCTAAGGTGTTTCAAAGGAGTAATTGAGAGAACAGTACCATTAAAAAAAGGACAACAGGAGAGGCGGCCAAAGAAGACATACAGTTTTAGACATATTCAGTTTGATATGTAAATTGAGATGTCTAGCAGGCAAATGAGGATTGAAATTCATTAATAAAATCAGTCCTGGAGACATAAGATTGGGGACATAAAAGTATATATGGGACAGCTGAGATGGGAGAATTGCTTGATCCACGAGTTCAAGGCTGCAGTGAGCTATGATTGTGCCATTGCACTCCAGCCTGGGTGACAGCATGAGACCCTGTCTCAAAAAACCCCAAAGGTATACAGCGAGTATTCTGAGAGTAGAGGAGCATTAAATCAGATAGGGCATCAAGAAAAGCTTTTGATAGCAGGTGGCATTAGAGTTTAATTTTAGAAGGTAAACAGAATTAGTTCTGAAAAGATGGGTAAACACATGAGGAGGTACAAAACACATGAGGTGATACAAAAACACATGATACAAAAACACATGAGGTGATACAAAAAGCATGAGAAAATGCAAGCAATCAAAAACCATGAATAGCATGACCACAGCAAAGGGTGTGTGTGTGTGTGTGTGTGTGTGTGTGCAGGATAAAAAGAAAACAGAGAATCAGAGACCAGATTATAGAGGACTTGATGCTCTTATCCATGGAATCTAAACTTCACTGTGAATACCACAAAGCATCATGAAAGATTTTCAAATGAGACCAATATGGTTTGATATTAGATGGCCAATATAATCTATGGCTTCACTGGATGATCATTTCGTCTAACGAGGAAGTGAGAATGGGGAGAAGGGGGTATACATGTGGCAGGGTAACCAGTTTGAACAATAATTTAAATAAAAGTGATGAAGGCTAAACTAAGGCAGTGGCAAAGAAGAAGAGAAGCATCCATCAGCCACTAAGAAGGTTAAATGTTTTAAAACTTGGCAATTCTGTAGATATGGGGTATAAATAAGAAAGCAGAGTCAAGAACACTTTCTAAGTTTCTCACTAGGCAGATGATGCCATTCCAGTAGATGTGGAATCCAGAGAAGTAATCAGGGGACAGATGCACTGTCTGAAAACACTAGATTTGAAGCACCCATGAGACATCTCCATGAAGATGCTAAGTAAGCCTCTAGGTGTATAAGTCTAGAGCACAGCACAGAGGACAAGCTAGAGATATATATTAATATTTGAGAGCTACCAATGGTAAAGATGGATATGGAATGATGCTGTCCAAGAAGAATGTACAGAGTGAGAAGAGCAGAAGACAGAGGCTAAAACACAAGAACAGCTTTCATAAAGGGGCAAGGAAAGAAAAGAAACCCATATAGGAAGCAGAAAAAAAGCCAAGATGGAAAAAAACCAGGAGAGGTGGATCCCACAAAAATGGAGAAAGGAAAATATTTCAAGAAGGAGTTTTCAGTAGTCTTAAATGTCTTAATATTCAAATAAAAGCAAAGAGATCACTGGATTTGGCAAGCTTCAGTGGAGTGGTGCAGACAGAAACCAAAAAAGTGAAAAAAAGGGGGGAGTAATAAAGTGACTGTTCTTTCAAAAGGTTCAACCCTACCCCCCAACACTCTCAGAAAAAGGGGAAAGGGGGACAAGTACAGAATAAGAGATCAACAGAAATATTTATTATTATTATTAAGATGGAAGAAATGGGAATAACTTTATCTATTAAAGGATTAATTACTGAAAGAGTAAGAGTTTAAAGATACTGATGAGAAGGTATGAGTTCCAAAACAGAGAGGGTAATTATTCTTGAACAGATTATAAATCTTTCACTGAACTAAAAGGAAAACATAGGTTAATTAATGTTGGTAGGTAGAAAGAAATGTCTTGAACTTCAAAGATAAAGTAGAAAGCAAAAGCAAAGCTAACTGTGAGAAATGAAGGGAGCAGTGAAAACCTGATGTTTGAGGAAAGGTGAAACTTTGGGAGAGTGTCTAAGGGAATAGATAGGAAGCTAACTAAAGATAACTAGATAGGGACCCTGTGGACCTACAGTGCTGCTGATTCTGCATGTCTGTGTGATCTTTTTTGGAAGAGATCAAAGGCTAGGTATAAAAACAGTAATATAGATTTGCAAGATGACTAGGATAGAAAAACAAAGAGTAATACATGAAAGACAAAAGTAATCCATGAAGTCTGAGACTTGAGTCAGGAAGGGAGTAAAACCATGAACGGGAGGGAGACTTAAGAAAATGTAGCAGGAATTAGCCAGGTGCGGTGGCTCACGCCTGTAATCCCAGCACTTTAGGAGGCCGAGGCGGGCGGATCACAAGGTCAGGAGATCGAGACCAGCCTGGCTAACATGGTGAAACCCCGTCTCTACTAAAAAATACAAAAAATTAGCTGGGCGTGGTGGCGGGCGCCTGTAGTCCCAGCTACTCAGGAGGCTGAGGCAGGAGAATGGTGTGAACTCGGGAGGCGGAGCTTGCAGCGAGCCGAGATCGTGCCACTGCACTCCAGCCTGGGCGGCAGAGCGAGACTCCGTCTCAAAAAAAAAAAAAAAAAAAAAAAAGTAGCAGGAATCATAAATGAGTCTAAAAAGCAGATGAGAAGGGAGTGAGAGAAAAAGAAGGATAAGACATCACAGTAACAGAATGGAACGTTGGCTGAAATTTCAGGACTACAGTGTAGCCGTGGGTATGAGTTCAACATGGAGTGGAATGAAGGGACACTGGAGTTGAGAAAGGCATGGTGATGCATAATGAATTATCTAAAGGGTTGACTCATCAAATTACCAAAAATGATTCCAGATCTAAGTACGTTAAGACCCAAGAGGAGAATCTTTTCCCAAACATAATCATGTTACAAACATTTGTCAATGTCTTTCTTTTTTTTGAGACGGAGTCTCACTCTGTCTCCCAGCCTGGAGTGCAGTGGCATGATCGCGGCTCACTGCAAGCTCCGCCTCCCAGGTTCACGCCATTCTCCTGCCTCAGCCTCCCGAGTAGCTGGGACTACAGGTGCCCACCACCACGCCTGGCTAATTTTTTTGTATTTTTAGTAGAGACGGGGTTTCACCGTGTTAGCCAGGATGGTCTCGATCTCCTGACCTCGTGATCCGCCCGCCTCAGGCTCCCAAAGTGCTGGGATTACAGGCGTGAGCCACCACGCCCGGCCGTGTCAATGTCTTTTATTCTCCTGGGATAACCAGGAGGTCATTATATTAAAGAATAATAGATGGTAGCACAGCTTGGATGATACAAGCCTCAAATAAAGTGGTTTTATATAACAGTGGAGGAGTAATGATTGCAATTAGAAATGGAAAGCAAGAGGGCTATTTTCCTTACTTTAGGTGGTACTTAGTAAACGACGAACTGAGCTTCTATAGCAGGTATTAGCAAGACATGGCCTGTGAGATTTGGCTACTGCTGTTTTTGAATTAATAAAGTTTGTCTGAAACACAGTCATGCTCATTTGTTTCTGTATTTTCTGTGGTTGTTTTCATACTACAATGGTATTGTTAAGTAGTTGCAAAGAGATTGTATGGCTTACAAAACCAAAATACTTACTATCTGGCCTTTTTTAAAAAAAAGTTTGCCAAACTCCACTCTGTAGCCAGGGGAGTGAAGACATGGGGGCGAGGAGGGGAAGAAAAAAATCTGTTTCAGTTACGTCTCCACTTTCAGAAGTAAGCGGCAATAACATTCTTCGAAGAAAATAAAGGCAGTCTGTTCCCCTCAAATGAGGATTTCAAAGGACACTGGAAAAAATATGCTGGGAAGATGTATGAGGGTGAATTGAGGGAGATCATAAGGTCAGAAGTAAGGTTATTTATAGACAGTAAAAATGGCAAAGGAGCAGTTGGGAACTTTAGGTTGTAAAGGCCTGGAATATATATGCAAGATGGGGAATATGTTTAATAATTAGTTAATAAAAAATAAGTAATAAGATTTATCCAGTAGTGAGAATTGTAGAAAGGATAATCATTAATAGTTTAGTTTCTGACACTTTCAGAAATGCTTGCTAGCCATATAATATAATATAATATAATATAATATAATATAATATAATATAATATAATATAACATAACATAATATGAAGGTAGAAAAACGTGGCAGTTTATAAAAAGGGGTGAGGATTGGGGTGGGAGACAGCTAGAACAGCGGGGATAGGACATGCAGAAACATGGTCTAAAAACATAGACTAACAAAACTGGCACTGAGTTACAAATGTTGAAATTCTTAGGGCAATTTCAAAGTAGCTGTGTAGCTCACAAAAGAGAAATACAGTCATGTGAAAAAGACTAAAGAAATCTCTTTCAACTGCTTAGTTTCAGTTCTGAGTTTGCTGTTTCATTATTAGGAAATTACAGTAGAATGACACTTTTTTTTAACCACTAGAAAGACATGTTGATAATTTATTTGCTAAATGTTTATTTTTTAAAAAGTTTTCACATGTATATTTTCCAAACTGTTATTATATACTTACCTGCTTTGTTACTAAGCTTATATAAAAAAGTTTGGCGAGGGTCTGAGTGATCTCGACATGTCAGCTGCAAAAGCGAACCTGATTTTTTCCATTTCTGCATAAACCAGAGACCTAGAGAGTCATATATGATATAGAAGTATGAAATGAAATATATAAAAACATATGCCAAGATTATTAATTTTAATATATATTTCACTTCAAAAGATGACATTGCCTAAATTAGCATTTTTGTTGGCTAATCAAAAATATATTTGGAAAATATTTCCATGTTCCGATAACATTTATAAACATGCATGCTTAGGTTAATTATGAATTAATGGTGGTTGATGGACAGCTTGCTATTTCTATTTCATTCAGTAATGAAACAGATAATAGCATATGAAGAACAAACTGGAAAAATTATACCTTTCAATATATTTGTTCAAATGATAAAGAAGAAGATGAAGAAAAACTTCAAATACAGTAGTAAGTCAAATGCCTATGCAGAATGATCAGTCTATAATTACAGTTTAGTTATGACATAATAGACTAATTGCAAACAGACCACATCTTAGAATGAAAAATTGTTTAATGTTTTCTAATAACAGCTGAATATCATTTGTTTTATATTAATTATTTTTTTATATTATCAGTAACCCATATTTAAATGCATCTTGCTCTTCAGGAAATTAAGCAAAATTTCAATCACTCAAGTTGGTTTTCAAGACTATGAAATATTCTTTTCCATTTTCATTGCTTCTAATATTAGGGAAACAGGAGAAAATTAAAGGAAAACAATCCTTTAATTGGTTAAAACTGATAGCTGGAAACATATCTGGGAAAAAGTTTAGTGAAGAATGAAATTCAAAGTACTACATTCGATTCATGTTGGGTTCTATTATACATTATTTAAGGACTTCATTTTTCTCATTTCCTCTTTTTCAAACTGTAGAAGTCTAGAACTGGCTGTATTTTTAAATCACCAACTTGAAATGGGATACAGGAAAAATGGTATGGTTTGTCATTAAAAGGAAGTGGTAAAGGAAATAGCAATAAGATTTTCAGGGATCAATGAAAAGAGACAGAGTTAAATATAATTTATTCTCACAGTGGGAATCAATTGACTAATTTATAGATCATTTTTGCAAACATCTAAGGGAAAAACCAAGCCAAACAAAAGGCAAATCAAGGCCAGGCGCAGTGGCTCACACCTGTAATCCTAGCACTTTGGGAGGCCGAGGCGGGCGGATCACGAGGTCAGGAGATCAAGACCATTCTGGCCAACATGGTGAAACCCCGTCTCTACTAAAAATACAAAAATTAGCTGGGTATGGTGGCGTATGCCTGTAATCCCAGCTACTCCGGAGGCTGAGGCAGGAGAATCGCTTGAACCAGGGAGTCAAAAGTTGCAGTGAGCCGAGATCGCGCCACTGCACTCCAGCCTGGTGACAGAGTGAGACTCTGTCCTAAAAAAAAAAAAAAAAAAAATCAAAGTACCAAATATTTGTTGATGAGAATATAAATACTAATCAAATTTAGGGTCTTAACTTTCATATTAACTTCTTCAGAAATTCTGAATCACCTTCGTAAAAATTATATTCTCATATCTCTTTACTCTTTTTGAACCAAAATTAGCTAATATTCTATATAAAATGTTATAACTTGATAATGTATTAAATGTAGGTGTTTGTTATCTGTTCAAGTAATGGGATGACAAAACTGTTTATAAGATAAAACTTTACTAAAAATATTTAGAATTTAATGAAAAAAAGAAAAAAATGCTCTTGTGAATTTTGACAAATACCATCTCAATATAAGAAAAGCCATTTTCTAAAATGACTTTTATCAACTTATTTCATGTGCATAACAAAACAGAAAATTAGCTACATTTTTTATTTCACGAAATTTCCAGTATGTGACAAACTGGTTCTAAAATAAACACCAGAAAATACTAAGTTCATATTTTTCTCCCTATTCCATATTTTTAATACAGAACAATAAAACTTTTTACCTGTATTAACAAGAGCACTGCTGTTGTAGAGTGTACCAAGGTGAGGTCCAGAAAGAGACAGAAAGGTATGAAGTTTGTTGAGGTAATATTTAAACCTTGGCCTTGTAAGCACTGAACGAATTATTAAATTGCCCAACGAATGTCCAATAAAGCTTTAAGAGGAAAAAAAAATTAATTTTCTCACAGCATTAGTTTTAGAAACAAAAATCAAAGCTGATCCACTATAAAATGGATGTGAATACTAACAATTTGAAAATTTCTAATGTTGTAAAAGTATAGTGATACTTTGAAATGATATACCACATTTTGAAGGAAAAAATGTGAGAATGTATAGAAGATCCTCATTATTACATAATTTAAATGTTTATAGAAACAACATATTAATCTGAAAACTTTTACTCATAGTTTGTAACTGCTTAGATATAAGTACGTATTAAAGATAATAATATAATGACTAGATTACATATTTGCCTTCTTAGGTACATACACAAATTATTTACTTCTTAATTCATCATTTCAAACAAAATGATGAAATTGTATTTATAAACGACAACTTGGGGAAATTATATATCTGTTTCTCTTATTCTCTGGTCTATACTTCAAAGATGGACAGTTTTTGACTAACAATATTTTCAAGGCATAGGTAAAATATATGCATTTTCCTACTATGAATCTTCGATTATGCAAAAAGAATAATATTTATGTAGCTAGCACTTCACTTTTGTTATGAAATGGTTTAAATCAGTGGTCCCCAACCTTTTTGGCACCAGGGACTGGTTTCACCAAAGACAATCTTTCCACAAACAGGAGTTGTGGGGATGCTTTTGGGATGAAACTATTCCAACTCAGGCACTAGATTCTCATAAGGAACACACAGCCTAGATCCCTCGCATGGGCAGTTTAAAATAGCGTTCACAAATCTAATGCTCACCGATGATCTGACAGGAGGCTGAGCTCAGGTGGTAATGCTTGCTCACCCGCCCCAGTGCTCCTGCTGTGAGGTCTGGTTCCTAAGAGGCCACAGACAGGTACCAGTCTGTGGCCCAGGGTTTGGGGACCCCTGGTTTAAATCAAAATAGCCTGTTTACTTACTGTTATTTTACAACAGATGGTATAAGATTCCCTGGGGACAATTAGCAGTGAAAGAGAGCTTGAGAGCTGTCTAAACACTGGCTTACAGGTATATCTTGCGAGACGCTCAGGACAAACTTCCCTCCCGAACTGAACTTCCTAAAGTAGTGGGGGTGGGAATTCTGATGGTAGCTGACAGTCTACAATCAACCAGATTACACTTCTGGAAAATGATTGATTATAACTGACAATCTAACCTGAAAGACAATACTTTTGAGGAGGAATAAATAAGTTGAAATATTATTTTTCTCATCATAAAATAAATGAATAAAAGCTAACAAGATTTTAAGATCCACAAATGAATAATTACAACAAGAAAATAATCTCTTCCTCCAAACAACAAACCTGAACCTTCTCCCATATTTTAACAGAATTCTGTTTTTTAAAAAATGACTTTAGGTAGAAACTGCTTATCTCTCTTCTTATTCCCTATACTTCGAGTTGGAAACAAACTGCCCAAAAGCTTACAGTATGCAGAACCAGCTTCTTCCTCTAACCTAGTTGGGATATGAATATAGTCAGTTTATTCTACCCTTTTGGAAACAAAGACTCTTCTCTCCTACATCTATTAACAAGATCTAATTAAATAATGAAACTCATACTGGTGTAATCATCATGTCTTGCTTGTGGAAAACTGACTCACAAAAGTATACAGCAGTCATAAAATCTGGCTGGGCAAGGTGGCACACATCTGTAATCCCAGCACTTTGGGAGGCCAAGGTGAGAGGATCACTTGAGCTCAGGAGTTCGAGACCAGCCTGGGTAACACGGTGAAACCCCCATCTCTACAAAAATTAGCTGGACATGGTGGTGCATGCCTGTAATCCCAGCTACTTGGGGGGCTGAGGTGGGAGGATCGCCTGAGCCCAGGGGTTTGAGACTGCAGTGAGCCGAGATGGCGCCACTGCTCTCTAGCCTGGGTGACTGAGCAACACCCTGCCTCAAAAAAAAAAAAAAAAAAAAAAAAAGTATACAAACTTTGAAAGTATTTTTGTTGCTTCATATACATATATCATATACATATATCATATACATATATGTAACTCACAGAGCCTATACTTCTTCCACTTAAAGTGTACAATTCAATGTTTTAAAATATATTCACAGAGTTTTAACTCTCACTATAATCAATTTTAGGACCTTTTTTCCACCTCAAAAAGAAATCCTATATCCTGTAGTTATCCCCACCATCCCCCATCTTCCCCAGCTCTAAGCAAACACTAACCTATTTTCTTCTCTACAGATACACTTTTTTGGACATTTCATATAAATCTTTCCCTAAAATCTTTACTTTTTTTCACTATAAATTAATTTGAGTTGTAGTCTCCTATATTTCAGAATAGGACAACCCTATCACAAATTCTGTTTAACTTTTATACAATTCATAGAAATATAAAAATAAATTGCATAATATTAAAGAAGATACCTTATTTTTGAGACTGTTAGACTATATATCTGAATATACTGTATTATCTCATCCAAAAGACGATCAGTCATGCTATCAAAATCAGCAAAAGTATCATTCTAAAAAGAAAGCAAAGCACATACATTATATTTGGGAATATGTATAATCACATGAAAAACTAACAATATAAACATTTTTAATTTAGGTACTGAAAGTATGGTTAAGTTCAATGTTTTATAGAGAAGTTAGTGAGTGTAATTTTTTTATCTTAAAACGAGCAAAGAGAGTAAATTTCTAGGGGAAAAAAAGGTTCAGTGTTCTTAAAATACTTGCATTATTTGTTTGTTTAGCTCACTACCAGTATGAAACATAAGATGTTTACAATGGTTTAATTAATGAAATATTTCTATAGAAATGTGAAATTCTAGAAATATTTCATATGTGAAGAGATCATAAGTCAAAATGTAAATCATATATATTTCCTTTGGATATACATTTATATTAAATTTCATAGAAATCAGAAAAATTATTTCTACTATTACAGGCATTTTGTAGTAAGGCAAAATTTAGGTAGAAACTGGTACAAAAATGTTTGTTTTCACTGAAAACACTGTCATATTGTACCTGATTTCTCTCAGACATAAGAAAATCAATTCTTCCCCCAGGCAATCCAAGTTCAATGTAAGTTTTTACTAATCGGAGATCTGCACTGTTTCCTAAAAAATGAAAAATGATGTTTAAAGGATGAGATAAAGTAAAAGGTAGAAAGTACACCATCACATATTTTTACAGTTTTTAGAGACAAGCTTATGGCCTATGCCATTTGTGAACAGACAATATACAATGAAATAGAGTTCTCAATTTTTATGTCAAAGCTGATTTCTATTAGCCAGGCAATGTCAATTCAACAGTTTTTGTTTTCTTTTTTCTTTCTTTTTTTTTTTGAGATGGAGTCTTGCTCTGTCGCCCAAGCTGGAGTGCAGTGGCATGATCTCGACTCACTGCAACCTCCGCCTCCTGGGTTCGAGCGATTCTCCTGCCTCAAGCTCCCAAGTAGCTGGGACTACAGGTGCATCCCACCATGCCCAGCTAATATTTTGTATTTTTAGTAGAGATGGGGTTTCACCGTGTTAGCTAGGATGGTCTTGATCTCCTGACCTTGTGATCCGCTGGCCTTGGCCTCCCAAAGTGCTGGGATTATAGGCGTGAGCCACCGTGCCTGGCCAACAGTTTGTTTCTTAGGTGGTTTTGGTGGCTTTCACTTTTCTACCTAACAGTGTATTTATTTATCAAACTGTTAGCACATCACTTTGGTGACTCCCGGCTACAGTAGCTATAAATGGTGTCTTACCATCACCATTCTAGGTAATCATACAGCAAACTGTGAATGCATTTTAGATTTAATCTGTTGACCTTCCTTTGGTGATACTGGCACAGACTGAGAAAAATAAAAATCCATTTAAATATCTAAGAAAGTTTATTTTAATAATAATTAACTCAAAAGGCATCTACACATATACTTACAATACAGATATAAGACACAAGTGTTCTTCAAAAAGTTCATAGAAAATGCATCATAAAAAAAACTACGTATGGGTTTCAAAAATTTTTTACACCAAAATAAACACATACTAATTTGTTATAACATGTTTGAACAGAATCTAGTTTGAGGCACTAAGAAGGATAAGAAATCAGTTTGAGGCCGGGCACGGTGGCTCACGCCTGTAATCCCAGCACTTTAGGAGGCTGTGGCGGGTGGATCACGAGGTCAGGAGATCAAGACCAGCCTGGCTAACACAGTGAAACCCTACTAAAAATACAAAAAATTAGCCGTGTGTGGTGGCAGACGCCTGTAATCCCAGCTACTCGGGAAGCTGAGGCAGGAGAATGGTCTGAACCTGGGAGGTGGAGCTTGCAGTGAGCCGAGATCGTGCCACTGCTGACGGAGTGAGATTCTGTCTCAAAAAAAAAAAAAAAAAAAAAAAAAGAAATCAGTTTAAAAAGAAACCTTATCAAACAACATTCTGCTAAAATGGAAGCAAGAACAAACATCACACTTATGGTGAAGCTTCAGCGGAAGAATGGTGAAATAACGGAGGCTTTACAAAAAAGTTTATTGGGAAATGCCCCCAAAGAAATCAGCAGTTTACAAATGGGTAACTTGTTTAAAGAAGGGAAAAAACAATGTTGAAGATGAAGCATACAGCAGTAAACCACCCACATCAATTTGTGAGGAAAAACTTCATTTTGTTCATGCCCTAATTAAAAATGACTGACAATTAACAGCACAAACAATAGCTGACATCTTAGACATCTCAATTGGTTCAGCCTACAGAATTCTGACTGAAAAATTAAAGTTGAACAAACTTTCCACTCAATGGGTGTCAAAACCATTGTGCTCAAATTAGCTGCAGACAAGAGCAGAGCTTTCAATGGAAATATTAAACAAATGGTATCAAGATCCTAAAGCATTTCTTCAAAGAATTGTAAGAGGAAATGAAACATGGCTTTACCAGTATCATCTTGAAGACAAAACACAATCAAACCAATAGCTACCAAGAGGTAGAAGCGGTCCAGTCAAAGCAAAAGTGGACCAGTTAAGAGCAAAGGTCAAGGCAACAGTGTTTTGGAATGCTCAAGGCATTTTGCTTCTTGACTTTCTGGAGGACCAAAGAATGATAATATCTGCTTATCATTAGAGTGTTTTGAGAAAATCAGCCAAAGCTTTTGCAGAAAAATGCCTGGAAAAGCTTCACCAGAGAGTCCTTCTCCATCATGACAATATTCCTACTCATTATTCTCATGAAGAGGGCAATTTTGATGGGAAATCATTAGGCATTCATCTTACAGTCCTGATTTGGTTCCTCTGACTACTTTGTTTTCTTATCTTAAAAACTCTGTAAAGGGGATCCATTTTTCTTTGGTTTAATGTGTAAAAAAGAAGGCACTGACATGACTAAATTCCCAGGACCCTCAGTTCTTGGAAATTTACTAGAATGGCTGGTATAATTGCTTACAAAAGTGTCTTGAACTAGACAGAGTTTGCACTGAGAAATGAAGTTTATATTTCTATTTTTATCTTTTAACTCTATTTTTCCACAATTTTTGTTTGTTTGTTTGTTTGAGATGGAGTCTCACTCTGTTGCCCAGGCTAGAGTGCAGCGGCTCAGTCTTGGCTCATTACAACCTCTGCCTCCTGGGTTCAAGTGATTCTCCTGCTTCAGCCTCCCAAGGAGCTGGGATTATAGGCTGGCCAGCACCATGCCTGGCAAATTTATTTTTCCACATTTTTTCTGAATTCCTCTCATATATAAATATAAAAATAATTATCTTCAAAAATAGTTTAGTGGATTCCTTTGGTTTACTAACAATATAAGCATGTCGTTATAAACTGCTGAATTTTTATTTTACCTGATATTTATCTTTTAGAATTTTATGATTTAATGCATTGACAGAGATAATTCTTTTATTCTTCATTTTAAAAGTTGTACCTCTAATATTCACCAAAAACTATAAGTTTTCTATAGGCTCGAAATATATATGCTTAATCACATTAAGGAAATAGACTAATCCTATTGAGATCAAAGTTTTGTGCTTACTGTAATAATTAGGAATGGATATTAAATTTTATGAAGTTTCTTACTTGATTTGCTGATGTAGGGTATTTTATTACTGAAATTCCTTATACTTACTTATCCTTCCATTCTGGGAAATAAACCTTATTTGTTATAGTAACTTACTCTAATATATTAATTCCAAGTGCTAGAGTTTGGTTAAATATATTTGAATTCATTATTATTATTTTTTTTTTTGAGACGTAGTCTTAGTCTGTAGCCCAGGCTGAAGTGCAGTGGCGCGATCTCAGCTCACCGCAAGCTCCGCCTCCCAGGTTCATGCCATTCTCCTGCCTCAGCCTCCGGAGTAGCTGGGACTACAGGCGCCCGCCACCACGCCCAGCTAATTTTTTTTGTATTTTTAGTAGAGACGGGGTTTCACTGTGTTAGCCAGGATGGTCTTGATCTCCTGACCTTGTGATCCGCCCATCTCAGCCTCCCAAAGTGCTGGGATTACAGGTGTAAGCCACAGCGCCCGGCCCATTAAGTATATTTATGTCAGACTGGTCTACTGTTTTTTGGCGGCAGGTGTTGGTGTGATATCTTTATTGGATTTGGTAACAAGGTTAGGTTAACTTTAAGGAATAAAATGGGCTGCTTTCTATCTTTTTCTCCATTGTTCTAGAACAATTTATGTAACATAGGGATAATTTGCTTCTTAAAATTTTTAAAAAAGAATTTGCCAGAGATTCTGGCAGATTCTGGGTCCAGAAGTCTTTCTTGGGGGATAATTCTTTGAAGACTTTATTGTTTGGAGGGAGGGAAGAAAAGTTAGCATTGAGAATATTTTATTTCTTGAGAGTCTGGTTTTTTTTTTTTTTTTAAAGAAAAATCTCCAATTTTATGACAATTTAGTACCAGGGACATTTGTTTAATATTTTCATAATCCACAAAAATCTAGTTTGCTGCTATAGAATCTCATAATACAGTAATATTGCATTGTTCTAGAGATATTTGGCATCTTCTAACAGTTCCTACATCTAAAAAAAAACTGTTGAGTAACCAAAACAGCTGTCATAAAACCCCAGCACTAAAGCCAGGTACCTGTATTTATAATTTAATTTTTATAACTTAATTAATGAAATTTTAACTTCTAGAAATACCGATTTTTCTAGCACACAAAGTTTAAAGCAGCCAGGTA
This sequence comes from Homo sapiens, assembly GCF_000001405.40. Lineage (NCBI taxonomy): Eukaryota > Metazoa > Chordata > Mammalia > Primates > Hominidae > Homo > Homo sapiens. Next base: position 70,529,120 of record NC_000006.12, on the reverse strand, counting down.
AAAGGGAACCAGAAAGACTATCAAAGGGAGACAAAATAACTGCCAGGAGGTGACAGCTGGCAAAACCAACAATAAGAGAGAAGATAAAAAAAAAAATCCACTGAGCTCAGGTCCTTTGCAGGGACATGGATGAAGCTGGAAATCATCATTCTCAGCAAACTAACACAGGAACAGAAAACCAAACACTACATGTTCTCACTTCTAAGTAGGAGGTGAACAATGAGAACAAATAGACACAGGGAGGGGGACAATCACACAATGGGGACTGTCAGGGGGTGGGGGACTAGGGGAGGGATAGCATTAGGAGAAATACCTAATGTAGATGACAGCAAACCACCATGGCACGTGTATACCTATGTAACAAACCTACATGTTCTGCGTATGTATCCCAGAACTTAAAGTATAATGAAAAAAAAAATCCCAAATTAAACAAAATGTTGGCACATGAGTGTCAGTTCCATGGAAAATTTACTTACGAAGGAATCTAATATTACACTTAGGATAATTAAAATTAAGCATATTTCTGTTTCAGAATGCATTTAAGATTCAATTAATTTAAGCAATTAAAAAATCTTTTTTTAGTTCAAAGACTAAATGAAACTAAATGAGATCTATTAGGAAAAAAATATATTGAGTTGCTCTGGGTTACATCCATAGATGTCACATACCATCTAAACCGTGCACACAGACAATCAGATGTACTCCATCTTCAGAACCATCCTCTTCTTCTACACTAAAATAAGGTACTGAGGATGCCAGCAGAGGAACTTCACTGTACATGAACCCAGGAAGTTTTAGTAGCTTCAGTTCTTCTTTTGCCTGAAGGAAGCTGAAGCAAAATACAAAAGATACTCTTTACTAAGGATCATATTCAGTTGTTAGAACCCTCCTGAATTTAGAGAATTGTAGAAGTGGAAACCCAACAATATTTGGTTTTAAAACCATGAAAATATGTGGCATCACCTAAGTGATTTAGAAATCAGAGAGTAATTTTCTTTATTATTTGTAGTACATATTCTATCAAATACAATGAACACTTTAAACCTGAAATCACTTGAAAATATTCTTTTAAACTTGAAATCAACTCTAAGAAAACATTCTGAGTGAAGTTATACTTTCTGCAAAATTTAACACTGTATGCACAGAAAAGCTGGGAGAGGGACTGGAGAGGTGATAATCTGATGTTTATCCTGTAATGAAATCTTATCCCCTTTGCTCCTTTTTAATCTTGCATAAATGGAAGGGAAGGAGTGATTTACAAAATGTAACAGTGAGAATGGAGTTACAGTATTTAGCAGATTAGGTTATTTGTATTTTTCTCTAAAAATACCAATAAGAAGGAGCAGAACGAAGAGGGGAATGTGACTGCATACAATTAGTGGTATATACTCGTTTGCAATGACGGACAATCTAACCAATTTGGGGATTGCAAACATCAAAAATTATTAACTATTTAACATACATCATTTGGACTGATAAAGTGAAGCTGGAAGAGGAACCTGATGAACACTAAACTGAGTAGGATAAGCTGGCCAAAAATATATAAAGTCTATATTAGAGATCATTGCTTTCTGATGACTCAGACAATCTGAAGTAACCAGACGGTGATATAAACTTTATTTTCCCTGCATATCACAATTTTTTAATTGGCTATTGTTACCTCAGTGGTTTCACTAGCTTTAGACACTATGTATCTTAATTTCTGTGTATAAATCAGAATAATCTGGGAACTTTAAAAATCTCTCTCTATATATATACATGCCAAGACCTCTTACCCCAAATATTATGACTCAGTCTGGCTGAGGCAATAGAATATTTTAAGAACCAGTGCACGCTGGTAAACCTGTATCATCGCCAGATTTTTCTGGATATTTTACTGGTACATGAAATCTCAATTCTGGAAACCAATGACTTAGCTGAAGGCAATCAGCATCTGGTAAGTTCAAGAAGTTTCCACTACCCTGTTACTCATTTAACTAATATTATCCTTATTTCCTAGATAAACTCATAAAACTTGGCTTTTGTCTGGAAGTTAATGGAGGAGAAATGAGGGACTGATGAAAAAAGGGTTTTAAGCTCAGTTATTCCATACTTCTAACACAAAACTACCATTGGAAAATCTGTATCAGGAATGTCTATCCTATAGAACAGCAGAACAGCACGATCATTCAGCAACTATAGGTCTGTCTGGCCAAGGGTATATTATGTTCATTTCTCCATTTCGGATAGTCATCAAAGAAGCACTTTTGTATTACAGAAACCAGACAACAAAATAGACACTCAATCCTTTAGCACTATCTATGATTTTATATATATATGTGTGTGTGTGTGTGTGTGTGTGTGTGTGTGTGTGTATGTGTGTGTGTGTGTATATATATATGTATATATTTAGCAGCAGGTACTATTACGTTCCATTACTTACGCTTGTATTTGAGGTTTTGGTGAACTTTCATACCAGGAAATCGAAGAAGTGAAGTTGTAAGAAGTACTGCTTGGCTGCTTTGTAATGGCATCAAATTTACTTTTGGAAGAATATTTAACATTACAAGGAGACTCTCGTGGTGCAGACGGGAAGGACAAACAACCAGAAGTACAGACAGTAGGCATGTTTATACCATCTCTCAGATAGTCACTGTTTATTTTTTCAGATTTTGTAAGTCTTTCTTCCATTAGTTCATCTCTGCTTGTATAGTGAGCATTTATTGTTCCATCCAAAGCTGAATAATCTGTTTCTTCATAGTACCCATTTTGAACCATTTGTTGATCCTGCTCTTCCTCCTCATCCTCTTTATCCTGTTCCTGCTGAAGATTACTAATTTCTTTTTCAGAAGTTTCCTTCTGAGGGCTAAGTGCATTGCTGTAGCTAACAGCACATGTGTCAGAAATATCCGTACTGCTTTGAGAACCAAAATAATTTTCCACAAGCCCTTGCTTTACTATATCAGTACTGGCTGAAAAAGGATCACTTGTACCCAGATGAGTTTCACTTTCAACTGTAGGGATTTCTGAATACATCTGTGTGAGATTTAATACATCACTATTTTTTTTCATAGTTCTATCTTCACTAACATCTGTATTACTAGAAATGGAACCTGAAATGACACAAGGAGTGCCTAAACAAATCAGTTTTGAATTTAATGTAATTGCTGTCCCTGTAGAGTTATTAGATTTATCAGGACTCTGGAAGCCTTTACACATAGTATCCAAGTTAGGTTTGGAGCTGCAACTACTTTTCACATCACTGGAAGTCTCTTCATCTGAAAAAACAAATTGTAAAGGGTCTTTAATGCTTGAATTTAAGGAATGTATTGCTACAGTTTCATTGTCCAAGTTCCCTGAAAATACAACACTCTGCTGTTGCAAAGTGATACTTGACTTTTTAGTATCATCACATTTTGGCAAATCAGTCGTTCCTAGATTTAATACAGTTTTGCTATCATTTAGATGGCATTCAGGTACAACAGATTTCTTAGAATTTTCATCAGGTGACAGTTCATCATCGGAGGGTAGAGAGTTTATGGATGTCAAAGATGACTGTATTTCACTTATAGCACTTGTACTCTCAGTACAATGATTTCCTAATGAAAATTTTACATTATAATCAGGTTTCATCAAAAGCTGAGGAAATAATCTTTCACTATTGCAAGGACCTTGCCCTTGCACAGTTTCAAAGACTAAATCAGTGTTTGGATGTGTCGCAAAAGAACTCGGTTCACTTTCAACACCTGAATCTGAAAATCTAGATGAGGCATATGTGGCACTAATATCTGGTAACTTAATTGTATCTCCACTTACTACAACATGATATTCTTTTGTAGAAGGGGCAGGTAGATTACTTCGTAATTTAGTTAATGATTCTCCAATAGAAAGACACTTTGCTTCTTGCAAAGCTTCCTTTTCAAATGTTATTTCTATAGATTTAGATTTACCATTAGATTCTAAGGACTCAAAGTTGGGTAGTAAATTATCCACAAGTATTTCCTCTTGTCGAAGCTCTGTCCAAGGTCCTAGTTTGACAGTTATATTCTCTCCACTGAAAGGATCTTTATTACTGGGCTTTATTTCAATTGTTCTAACTCCCAAAGATGGGGTTGTTTGATGATCATGGCAATCGTCTGATGACCTTCTGGATGCCAGATTGTGTTCCATTTGTGTAATTTCACTATCGTCCTGGGAGATATCAAGTTTACCTGAAATGGACAAATTTGCACAAAGATTTAGGTTGCCAGAGTTCAAAGGATCAAACTGGTCTGGTTGAACATTTTCAATATCTGGAGACTTTTGTTCAGTTCTCTCTGTATTAGTTGGCAAACAGCTAGCTTCCTTTTGACTTGTCTGTCTCATGTAGGTCTTTGGGTCAAAATTATATCCACATATTGTGGGATCCAGACCTTCCTTCTGACTATGTGAAGGATTGCCTTCAAAGCATTTAATGAGATCATTTGATGCTGTACTTTTCAAACATTTGTAGCCTACCAAAACCACAGAATCCTTAGAGTTCTGTTTTATTAATTTTTTTGTGTTTTCAGATTTCATTGTTTTCATAAGCTTAGTAACCTTAACTTTGGATTTATTTGATTCTTCATTCTTTCCTTTTAGAGATTTTGTTAGCTGCTTTTCACCTTCTGTATACCAAATACTGGAGGCACCAGCAGGTCTGACTTTCAACTCTGGGCTAGAAAGTCCTGCTACAGAGCTTTCTTCAGTCTCATATTTATCCATTTTACTGGACTCTGATCTCTGAAGATTCTGAATTCCCATCCAGGGTGCATCTAAGTCTTTTATCCAAAGAAAAAAAGATTCAGGTTTAAAACAAGGTGTGAGAACTCATATGATTAAGACTTCTTTTTCTAACTATAACTTCTAATATCCTCAAACATAAATAAAACTAGAGAGGGAAAAAAACTATTCCACATTAGGGAATGGTTTTATGTATATTAGGAAGAATATACTGAAAACTATACACATAGCTTGTATATTTTAGTTAGATTACACTTACCTTCAGTAACTGAATCTAAATACCTATCTTCAAAGATTATAGGTAATGAATTGAGATCTCCATCTAATTCACTACATTCAATAGGTAAGGGTGGAAGAGAACTGCAGAAGGAAGTATTTTTGATAGCGGTGCACATCTGTAGATGACTCTGAGCACTGAAAAATATTTCTTCAGTCAGATTGTAATTTAGAAAAATTATACCCAACTCCCCTTTGTAGAATCTACCCTTTCCCCTTCCCTCCTCAATTCCTATCCCTCATCTGCAAGACATAACCTTCTTATGAGAGAGCTGCTTGGTCAGCGATAAAAACTGGTAAAATGAAAATGATAGTTTGTTGGCAATAAATTATTGACTTATTAAATTACAGACTGCTAATTATTTATGTAATTCCCATTATATTCTTCCATACTTTCTTATGTTATTTTAAAGTGAATTTCTATGCTTAATGTCTCAACTTCTAAATCTGCTGCAAATCACATATAAGAGAAATACCAAAAGCTTAACTGCTTAATAATTATTTGATGCTAGTGCTGGGAAAAAGACGTGTTTCATTTCTACTGTTTCTACTTAACATATATTGACAAATAAAATTAACAGCTATTTTAAAACAAGATGTATAATTTTCTAATACAAAACAGTTAAAACAGAAAACCCTGTCTTATGGAAAATTTCAAACAAATCAAAGAATAGTATAAAATACCCCATATACATACCTCCGAACTTCAACAGTTAACATATACCCTTTCTATCAGCACTCACTACCTACCCTGATACTCTATTATTATTTACAGGATTTTTTTTGTGGTATAATTTATATGCATTAAAATATAAATCTTAGCTGTATGCTTTTGACAAATGGATATATGATACAGAACATTTCCATCTACTCAGATGGTTCCCTCATGTCTTCCCAATCCAGCACAAGTCAATGCCAAGAAAACCATGTCCTGTCTTTTTTCCATCTTGCTTTTGCTTGTTTATAACTTCATATAAGTAGAATCATACAGTATTCAATTTTTAATGTCTAGCTTTTTTTGCTCAGCATAATGTCCTCAAAATATTCCTTAATGCCAAAGAAAACCAGGACTAAATCTACTCAGTAGGAAAGATAGAAGGCATTTGTTCTGGATATTTTAATTGTAAATCATTTACAATTACAGAAGACAGTATATATGAAAATCTGTAATAAAAAAGGATGAACATAAGAAATTCTGGCCTGTGAAAATAAAGACAGAATATGGCTAAATGGAAGGCTACAGCCAAAGCTGTATGAGACTACCAAGATTATGGTAGATCTGATAAAAAAGGAGGGAGGAATACAGTGCATTATGCTTCTTTATATGTAAAGTATGGAACTTTAATGAAGTAACTAATAAGATGAAACAATTTGATTATAGATGGGATTTCTGAAATTCAAATTCTCCTAATTTCTTATATTGTTAATACTGTATATTCTGTCACTGATAAATTCTGAGACAGGTATCTTATGTAAAAGGAAGTAATATCATTTTAATTTTGAATTTATACTACTCACTGAAGTTCCTGGTATGCAATGGCAGCTTCTCTTGGATGCTCAAAACAAAAGAATGCCTCAGAAAATCTGCGTACCTAAAAAATTCCAAAGGAGAGTATTAATAACATGACGTATTTAAAAAGTCAATCCGGCATCTTATGGTAAGGAGAGAAACTGCCTCCATTACGCCTTCCACAATCACCCGTCAGAATTAAACTTCCCTTCTCCCTCTTCAGTGTTGCCAATGTATTTTTGTACTGCATGAAATAAATCTGGAAAGCATATATAAATATAAACTATTATGATTACCACCATAGCCTTTACCACCTTTTGTCTTAAAATAAATCATCTCCCCTCCTAAAGTGTAATGTTCTTTAGAAGAGAAGCTATGGGCCAGGCGTGGTGCCTCACACCTGTAATCCCAGAACTCTGGGAGGCTGAGGTGGGTGGATTACCTGAGGTCAAGAGTTCGAGACCAGCCTGGCCAACATGGTGAAACCCTGTCTCTACTAAAAACACAAAAATTAGTGGGGCATGGTGGCAGGTGCTTGTAATCCCAGCTACTCAGGAGGCTGAGGCAGGAGAATCGCCTGAACCCAGGAGGCAGGGGTTGCAGTGAGCCAAGATGGCGCCCTTGCACTCCAGCCTGGGCGACAAGAGTGAAACTCCTGTCTCAAAAAAACAAAACAAAAAAAAGGCAAAGCTATGTTTTGATGACCTTTGCATCCCCACAAAACATGTATCTTGGCATATTACAGAATCAAGTACTTGATAAATACATGTTGAATCTAGCTGAACATTTCTTCCATTATATTTGTATTTTAACCCTTTCATTTTTAATTATGAAAGGAAAGGCTTTGTCAGCTACTGGAGCAAAATTAGGCAACAGGAGCCAGAAAAGATGTCTTATTTGGACAGTACAGGGAGGAGAAATTATATTACATCTACAATTATTTTCTAAACAAAGTAAGATCTAGGATTCTTTGGTTTTAAATGTCCAACAAATTAGAGACCTATTTTACTTGTCATCAATATCCGGCCAGGTGAATTTCTGACTTACTAAACTTGTTTCCCTAAGCAGATAAACCTGGGTCTTCAGACAAACAAGTCAATGAGGGAAGTGGGAAAAGAAGATATCAATGAGAAGGATGCATTCTGTGTCTTTACTTTCATATGTGGTCCAAATGCTTTTTTCCCCTCTCCAACATTAAAGGAAAGGTGAGAGAAAAATAACAGCCTGTCTGGCTATTAAGATGATTTCCTTTGGGGCTATAAAGCATGAAAAAAACGCATCTTTAAGTTATCTGGATTCCTGCAGTTGCAGCTGGACCTACGAAACTGGCGCTAGCTGCTTTTCCTTCTCTCTCTACCTTCTCTAAGTCCTACAATAATGATCATTTCTTGACAGTACTCTACCTCATAGTCTCCACACTAAAAACTTTATTCTAATTCTTTGACTTAAACCACATAAAAACTCAATGTCAAATTGAATGATGAAGAAAAAACAAACAAAAAAAAACCTCTAGGATGATATTATCTTCATTTAATAGGTGAGGAAACAAAGACACAAAGAGGTTAATTATTTGGCCAAGATAACATAGCTAGTAGGCGATAAACCTGTGATTCAAACGAAGATTTGAGAAACTCCAGTTCTTGTGCTCCAAACACTTACCTTTTCCTTTCTGCATTAAGACTCCTTGTTATCAGAAATCTTTCTTGTATGCACCCAAATGAAGTTCTTTCTAAATTCACTCTCAGCATAATTATCATGCTGTAGCTATTACAACTAAGGGTATTAACTGTAGTGTGTGGCCATAACTAAGGTATGACTGCCACCTGATGGCAATACAGCTAATTTTCAGGCAAAAGTTTGACAGAAAAAAATTTTTAATTTACAAATTTAAATTTCAAATATGGGGAATATATATATTACTGCTTTGTATATGTATGTATTTTGGCATGCATTTTTGATATTTATAAAAAATGAATTTTGTGTGCCCAATTAAAAAAAAACTTATTTGGCAACATCACTTATTCAAAAGCTAGGAGGAAGACAGCCAAGCATTCAAAATAAGTATTTGTTAATGCTTCACAGAGTTAAATACTCCTGTATCTGTGTTCATTCTAATAATGCTGTTCAAATTGCTAACACAGTATTTATATTACAATTCTATACATGTGCATTCAGATTAGATTCTAATCTTGAGTGCAGGGTCTATATCTGATAGATTATCTAATATCTATGCTACCTTGAAAAAAATAAGCACCTTGCAAATGTTTACTGAACAAATGTTTTTTACGTCCTTGCACTAACTCATAGCAAAATTATCATAAAATTGTTTCATTACAAAGCTGATTTATACTTACTAGTTGATACAATTGCACTTGGTTTCAGTTATTTGCTTTCCCAATCCACACCACATTAAAAGAGCAAATTAGACAAAGAAAAATGAATTACAGAGGTAAGTACACAGGCAGTTACAAGAAATGATGAGAACGTGATGAAGAAATATCCGTCCTTAAAAAAAAAGCCTAGAATTCCCCTATAAAAGATCACACAAAATAAATAAAAAATTAATACTTGAGGTCTTTTAATGGATATTCCAATATCCTGGCATTTTTAATAATATGGAATACTAGTGCATTAAAAGCTGAGCACATTAAATAAAATTCACAACTAAATTATTATCATATATATCATATCATACCTATACTAAAGTATGTTTAGTATAGGCATGCCTTGGAAATATTATGGGTTAGGGTCCAGACCACCACAATAAGGTGAATATTGCAATAAAGCAAGTCACATGAATTTTTTCAGTTTCCCAGTGTGTATAAAAGTTATGTTTACACTATACTGTAGTCTCTTAAGTGTGCAATAGCATTATACCTTTTTTAAAAAAGCCAATGTGTATACTTTAAAAATATTTTATTGTTAAAAATGCTAATGATCATCTGAGCCTTCGGCTACTTTTGCTGCTGGAAGGTCTTGCCTTGATATTGATAGCTGCTGATCAGGGTGGCTGCAGTGGCTATGGCAATTTCTTAAATTACAACAATGAAGTTTGCTGCATCAATTGACTCTTCCTTTCACAAAAGATTTCTCCTTAGCATGTGATGCAGTTTAACAGCATTTTACCCAGAGTAGAACTTCAAAATTGAGTCAATCCTCTTGACTCGCCACTGCTTTTTCAACTAAGTTTATGTAATATTCCAAATCTTTTGTTATTTCAACAATGTTCGCAGCATCTTCACCAGGAGTAGAGTCTATCTCAAGAAACCACTTTCTCTGTTCATCCATAAGAAGCAACTCTTCATCTATTCAAGTTTGATAATGAGATTGCAGCCATTCAGTCACATCTTCAGGCTCCACTTCTAATTCTAGTTCTCTTGCTATTTATACCACATTTGCAGTTATTTTCTCCACTCGTCGTGACCCCTTCAAAGTTACCTATGAGGGTTAGAATCAACCTCTTCCAAACTTCTGTTCATGTTGATATTTTGACCTCCTTCCTTGAATCATGAATGTTCTTAATGGCATCTACAACGGTGATTTTTTCCCAAAAGTTTTCCTTTTGCCCAGATCCACCAGAGGAATCACCATCTGGGGCAGCCAACACCTTACAAAATGTATTTAAGTAATAAGGTTTGAAAGTCAAAATGACTCATGCATCACATGGGCTGAAGAATAGATCGTTGTGTTAGTCCACATGGAAACATCGTTAATCTCCTTGTATATCTCCATGAGAGGTCTTGGCTGAGTAGGTGCAATATTAATGAGCAATAATATTCTGAAAGGAATCTTTTTATTCCTGAACTGTAGGTCTCAACAGTGGGCTTAAAATATTTAGTAAACCATGCTGTAAACAGATGTGCTGTAATCTAGGCTTTGTTGTTTTGTTAATGCAGCAGAGTAGATTCTGCATAATTCTCAAGAGCTCTAGAATTTAGGAATGGTAAATGAGTACTGGCTTCAACTTCAAGGCACCAGTTACATTAGCTCCTAACAAGAGAGTCAGCCTGCCCTTTAAAGTCATGTACTGATTTCTCTTTTCTAGCTATGAAAGTCCTAGATGGCATTTTCTTCTACTAGAAGGCTGTTTTATCTCCATTGAAAACCTGTTGTTTAGTGCAGCCACCTTCATCAATTATTTTTGCTAGATCTTCTGGATAATGTGCTGTAGCTTCTCCATCAGAACTTGCTGCCTTACCTCACACTTTTATGTTATGGAGACTTCCTGCCTTAAACCTCAACACCCAATCTCTGCTAGTTTCAAATTTTTCTTCTGTAGCTTCCTTACCTTTCAGCCTTCATAGAATTGAAAAGAGTTAGGACCCTGCTGTGGATTAGGCTTTGACTTAAGGCACTGTTGTGGCTGGTTTGATCTTCTATCCAGAACACTCAATCTTTTCCCACATCACTACTAAGGCTGTTTCACTTTCTTATCGTTCCATTAGAAAAGCATTTCAATTTCCTTCAATAACTTTTCCTTTACATTCACAAGTTGGCTAACTGGTGCAAGAGACCTACCTTGCAGTCTATCTTGGCTTTCGACATGCCTTCCTCCCTAAGCTTAATCATCTCGAGCTTCTGATTTAAATTGAGAAACTTGCAACTTTTCCTCTCACTTGAACACTTAGAGATCATTGCATATTAACTGGCCTAATTTAAATATTGCTGTTTCTCAGGGAATATGGAGACCCAAGTAGAGGAAGAGAGATGAAGGGAATGCTAGTTGGTGAAACAGTCAGAACAAACACAACATGTATTAAGTTCACTGTCATATATGGGCACAACTGTGGTGCTTCAAAACAATTCCAATAGTAACATCAAAGATTATGGTTAGAATATTTAAAGAAAAAAAATTACCCATTAAAGATCACACTACTGGCTGGGCATGGGGCTCATGCCTGTAATCCCACCACTATGGGAGGCCGAGGCAGGTGGATCACCTGAGGGGAGGAGTTCGAGACCAGCCTAACCAACACGGTGAAACCCTGTCTCTACTAAAAATACAAAAATTAGCTGGACATGGTGGCAGGCACCTGTAATCTCAGCTAATTAGGAGGCTGAGGCAGGAGAATTGCTTGAACCGGGGAGGCAGAGGTTGCAGTGAGCTAAGATCGTGCCATTGCACTCCAGCCTGGGTGACAAGAGCAAAACTCCATCTAAAAAAAAAAAAAAAAAAAAAGGAAAAAGACGTGCACACCACCATGCCTGGCTAATAGTTGTATTTTTTGTAGAGATGAGGTTTCCCCATCTTGCCCAGGCTGGTCTGGAACTCCTGGGCTCAAGTGATCCACTCACCTCAGCCTCCCAAAATGTTAGCATTATTGGCATAAGCCACCATCCCCCACCTGGATAGACTTATTTACTGGAAGTGCTAGATGTGGTTTGTATATATACACATAAAGGTGATAAAATATTGTTTATGCTTATAGTTATAGCCAAATTGGAAGTCTGCCTAAACCTTGCGAAATATAAAAGCATCAAATTATATACTATAAATAAGCAATATGTTCCCAGAAAGAAGTACTTTTAATTTATTTAGAAAATAGACATTCACAGTTATACTCAAAGAATATCAGATCAAGTAGTTTAAGCAATAAGTATCTCTTCTTAAAAATGCAAACTTCATAATGTTTTGAGTAAATAATGCATCATTGTAAAGAGGTTCTTAAAGTGGAAAAGAATGGCTATACAAGCTATTCCTAACTTTTCCCCTCTACTAGAATATAAGTTCCATCAATACTGTTGAAAATACTATTTTATGGCTGGGCACGGTGGCTCACACCTGTAATCCCAGCACTTTGGGAGGCCGAGATGGGCGGATCACAAGGTCAGGAGATCGAGACCATCCTGGCTAACACGGTGAAACCTCATCTCTACCAAAAATACAAAAAAATTAGCCAGGCATGGTGGCGAGTGCCTGTAGTCCCAGCTACTTGGGAGGCTGAGATGGAGAATGGCGTGAACCCAGGAGGCGGAGCTTGCAGTGAGCCGAGGTCACGCCACTGCACTCCAGCCTGGGTGACAGAGCAAGACTCTGTCTCAAAAAAAAAAAAAAAAAAAAAAAGAAAAGAAAATACTATTTTATGATATTAAAATCTCAATAAAAGCTAATAAGAATTCACTGACACTCTGGTTTCCTTACTGGAAGGTAATGGGTCCACATTAGAATCTAGGATCCTGCTAATCCATATGGCAGCTTTAAAGTATAAATTTCAAAAACATGCTCCTTCTACAGGCAGATGCAACTAGACTCCAAGGAGGACAGGCCAAATTTCAGTTCCCACTCTTTCTAGCACAGTTACTCAGGGATACCCTAACCCTGTTAATCACTTGCACAACTTTTAAAAAGTTCCCTAGGTCTGGACCTCATTCAGCACTGATCTAAGTTCCCAAGAAATTCAAATGTACAGCCGGGGCTGAAAACTTCTATTTTAATGTCAACTGAGACCATGAGAGGAGAACTTACCCTCTTCCTTCTGCAAACAACTGTAAAACTGGTTAAAATACATGAAGTGACTTTTTCAAGCACTGAGGAACAAGCACTAGACAGGCAAAGCATCAGGAAAATATAATCTACAATCGAGATAAAATCAGCCAATAGAAAGAGACACCAAGATAATTGAAATGTTTGAATAAGTAGGCAATTTTTTAAAAAGTTACTTTATTTTTTTTTTACAGCAGTTTTAGGTTTACAGAAAAACTGATCAGAAAGTACGAAGAGTTTCCATATTGCCCTCTTCCCCACCCCTACACATCCAGCTTCCCCTCTTATTTACATCTTGTGTTACTGTGGTACATTTGTTTCAACTGATGAACCAATATTAATATATCAATATTAAAGTCCATTATTTACATTAAGGTTCACTCTTGGTGTGGTACATGGGGCTTGAAAAATATATAATGACATATATATACCATTACAGTATCATACAGAATACTTCTACTGCCCCCCAAATCCCCTGTGCTCTACCTACCTGTCCCTCCCTCTGTCCCCCAGAGCCCCTGACAACCCGGATCTTTTTACTGTCACCATAGTTTTTCTTTTTCCAGAATGTCGTATAGTTGAAATCATACATATATGTAGATTTTTCAGGTTGGCTTCTTTCAGCCTGCAATATGCTTTCAAGTTTCCTCTATGTCTTTTCATGGCTTCACTGATCATTTCTTTTTATTGCTAAATAACATTCCACTGTATGAATGGACAACAGTTTGTTTATCCAGTTACCTACTGAAGGACATCTTGGTTGCTTCCAAATTTGATGATTATGAATAAAGCTGCTATATGTGGAGGTTTTTGTGTGGACATAAATTTTCAATTCATTTGGGTAAACACCAAGCGGTGTGATAGCTGGATTATATGATGAGAGTATGTTCAGTTTTGTAAGAAACTACCAAAGTGTCTTCCAAAGTGGCCATCCTATTTTGTGTTCCTACCAGGAATGAATGGGAATTCCTGTTGCTCCACATCTCACCAACATTTGCTGTTGTCAGTGTTTTGGATTATAGCCATTCTTATAGGTATACGGTGGTTATCTTGTTTTGATTTGTAATTCTCTAATAACATATGATAACGGATATTTTATTTCCCCCATACAGAAGGCTAGAGTTGGATATTTCTCTTCCTCCCAGGTCAGTGAAGCTCTGATAAGATAGTTTCTACTGAGGCACATTTTGTTAAGGACAGAATGTTCTGGATGTATTTCAAAATGGCTACATTCCCTCCCCACCATCTGGAAGTATGAGGGCTTTTCTGCAATTTTCACTGAAAGAAACTGGGAGGGCTCTTGGAAGTGAAAGTCATGAAAAGTATGGGATCCCCTAAGACCTCCCTCACCCCTGCCAGGAGTTTTTAACTCATCTGTCCATACTGAGTCTCCAGGAATCATCAATTAGAAGTTTTCCTATTGCAGGACTGGCTACAGTGGTGATTTCTGTTCATGGGTTTTTGTTCCATTAAGATGGGATTCTCTGTAACTGGCTATCTGACTCACCAATTTTGGGGACAGGAGTTTGCCTGTGACCTTAATTCTCCGATAAATCTAAGAAGAGTTGTTGATTTTTCAGTTCGTTCAGATTTTTTCTGGTTAGGATGGGAGTAACAACTTCCAAAGCTCTTCCATGCTGGCTCAGAAACTAGAATTCTAAGCAAGGACTTTTAAACAATAATTATAAATTGCCCAATGACTGAAAGAAGCTGGTCATAAACAGTAAACAGACAGGGCTTCTCAGCATAAAAATGGAAGTATTATACGTGAAGAGAACCAAATGGAAATTTAAGAAGTAAAATATATAATATCTGAAGTGAAATTTTACTAGATGAGATTAAGAGCAGATTAGTTGCTACAGAAAAGAGTTAATGAATCTGAAGACAGAATAACAGAAATTATTCAGTCTGAAGAACATAGAGGATAAATTGCTGAAAAACAAGAGTATCAAATGATATAATATACATATAATTAGAGTACTAGAGGGAGAAGGGAGGGAAAGAAATGGGGCAGAAAATATATCTGAAGATATAATAGCAAATCTCTTTAAAACTGATAAAAATAACCTAGAGCTCCAAGAATATCAGCAAATCCTAAGCAAGATAAAGACAAAAAAAAACAAACAACAACAAAAACAATAAAACTGCAACAAGGCATATCATAGTCAAACTGCTGGAAAACAAAGACAAGGAGAAAAATCCTAAAGGCAGCCAGAGGGGAAAAATAGTATAAATAACTGACTTTTTAATCAGACTACAGAGGCCAGAAGATAATGGTACTTTTTAAAGTACTCAAACAGAGGGAGAAAACTGTCAGTCCAAGGTTAAATAACGCTATTGACCAACTTGAGCTGATTGAGATTTATAGAATACTCTACCTAAAAAATTTAGCAAAGCAATAAAGTATAAGGTCAATATGCAAAAATCAATTATACTTCTACATCCTAGTAGCAACCATTTGGAAAATAAAATTTAAAAACCATTTATAATAGTATCAGATAATATAAAATGCTTATGAGTAAACTTCAGGCATAAAAACTACAAAAGCAGGTTTTAGAGAAATTGAAGGTCTAAATAAAAGGGGAGCTAGATAGGAAGCTATATCATGCCCACAAATTGTCCGAATCAATATGGTTAAGGAGGTAATTGTCCCTAAATTGATCTATAGATTTTACTTAATGTAAACTGAAATCCCAAGAGGATTAAAAAAAAAAAAAAAAAAGAAATTGACATGATTTAAAATTTTCTGTGGAGGAAGGTTTTCCAATAAAAACCAGAAAACCTGCTAGACAAATTCTAAAAGAGCTGTTAACACTTGATTTAAAATTTATATAGAATTGCAAGAGATCTAGAATAGCCAAAACAATCTCAAAAAAGAAGAAAACCTTGGAGGACTTATGCTATTACCTGGCTGCAAGACTTAGTATAATATTATAACAATAAAGTTAGTGTGGTATTTATTAACATAGAGATGTATAACAGGCCAATGCAACAGGAAAAAAGGTCAAGAAATAGACTCATGCTTATTAGTCAATTGATTTTCAACAAAGATTTTAAGGCAATTCCATAGAGTCAGAAAAGTGTTTTCAATAAATGATGTCAAAAACCTGAACAGAAAAAAAAAAGAAAGAATCTTGACCCATACACCTCACACCAAATTAAAAAATTAATTCAAGATGACCCATGGTCCTAAATGTAAGATCTATAATTCTAATGCTCTCTAAAGCAAATACAGAATAATATTTTTCATGACTTGGGCAAAGATTTCTTAGGACACAAAAGTACTAAACATAAAAGAAAAAAAGATAAATTGTACTTAGTCTCATCAAAATACATCACTGAGAAAACGAAAATATAAACCTCAGGCTAGGAGAATTTAATAAATATATTTGACAATGGATCCATAACTAGAATATATATAAATAATCTTAATAAGTCAGTAATAAAAAGGCAACCTAATTTAACATTTTACAAAACTAAAGTCATAACAAAAACCCTCAATATCAGGAGTCAGCAGAGAAAAGCAAAATAAAGCCATAATGAAATTCCACTTTACCCCTACTATAGTAGTTAAAGACTGACGACACCAAACAATACAAGCATGTGGAACAACTGAAACTCTCATACGTTAATGTTAGGAGTTTAAAACTGTATAGCCATTTTGGAAAAAAAAATGATTTTTTATTAAGTTGAAGATAAATCTACCCAATGACCAAGCAATTTTACTCCTATGTATGTAAGCAATAGAAATAAAAACTTATGTTCACAAAAAAGATCTGTAGAAGAATGTTCGTAGCATCTTTACTCAGAAGAGTTAAGGGGAACAGATAAATGAATTCTGATATACGATACCATAAAATACTACTCAACGATAAAGAAATGAACTACAAATATATACAACATGGGCTAATCTAAAAGAAATTATGTTGACTGAAGTAAATGAAAATTCTATTTCTAATCAAGACAGTAGTTGCTTATGGGGTGTAGGAACTGACCGAAAAGCAGCACAAAGTCATTTTGTGAAGTAATGAAATAATTTTCTTGAAGTATTGAGTAGTTTTCAAAATATGTTATAATGATAATTCAGTAAGTTCATATAGTCATGCTCCACATAATGACGTTTAAGACAATGATGGATCGCGTATAGGATGGTCTCCCCTAAAATTACAATGCCATATTTTTACTGTACCTTTTCTATGTTTAGATAGGCTTAGATACACAAATACCACTGTGTTGCAACACAGTATTCAGTACAGTCACATGCTGTACAGGTTTGTAGCGTAGGAGTAACAGGCTGTATTATCTAGTTTAGGTGTGTAGCAGGCTATACTATCTAGCTTTGGGTAGTATATTCTATGATGTTCTATAGTATATTCTATAATGTTCACACAATGATGAAATCACCTAACAAAGCATTTTCCAGAAAGTATCCTAATCATTAAGTAACACAAGACTGTACAAGTGTTTATACAACCTAGATCTCCTGAATATAAAGATTCTGGGCTTTGGCCTCTCTGAGGACTCTCAATTTTTTAAAAAATCAAATATATCCTGATATCAGGCAAGAAAATCTATGGTAACATAGATATACACTAATTAAATTGAGATTAGAAATCCTTTTCTCTCCCCCTTACCATGTGGATTTTTTCCATTGCATGTAATAAGTATTCCAAGAAAACTGTATTAGTAGCAGATATAAGCACAATACTTTCTCTCAAGGGTTACCTTATATCTTTAAAATTTTTTATCATGACGATAACTGCTGAATATATTTATCTTAATTTACAGGATTTCTTTTACTGGGGAAAAATAAATTTAAGATTTTTCCTGCTGCCCTGATGTCCTGTGCACCAAAGAACATTATCAAGAGAGCTAAAAAGCAACTCATAGAATAGAAGAAAACATTTGCAAATTATGTATCAGATAAGGGCCTAGTTACCAGAATATATAAATAACTGAAACTCAACAACAAAAAGACAAACAACCCAATTAAAATATGGGGAAAGGACCTGAATACACATTTCTCCAAAGGAGATACACAAATGGTAAATAAGCATATGAAAAGGTGTCCAAGGTCACTAGTCATTAGGGTACTGCAAATCAAAGCTACAATGAAAATACCATCTCACTCTTACTAGGTTGGCCATGATAAAAACCCCAAAACAAAAAGCAGAATATAACAAGTGTTTGTAAGTATATGAAGAAATTAGAATCCTTGTACATTGCTGGTGGGAATGTAAGGTGGTGCAGCTGCTGTGGAAAACAGTTTGGATGTTCCTCAAAAAGTTAAACATAGAATTACCATATGACTCAGCAATTCCACTCCTAGGTATATACCCCAAATAACTAAAAACAGATATTCAAACAAATATTTGTACACAAATTTTCATACCAGCAACTATTCATAGTAGTCAATAGGTAGAAAGAACTTAAATGTCTATCAATGACAAACAGATAAAATAATGTAGTATATCCATACAATGGAATTCTGCTACAAAAATAAATCATTATATGGATACATGTAAAACATGGGTGAAACTTGGTACATTATTCTAAGTGAAAGAAACCAGATACAAAATGTTGTATGATTACATTTATATGAAACTTCCAAGATCAGTAAATGAGACTAGCGGTTGCCAGGGAATGGGGAAAGGGGACATGGGAGTGATTCCTTAATGTGTACACGGTTTCCTTTCAGAGTGATGAAAATGTCTTGGAATAAGACAGAGGTGATGGTTACACAACACTGTGACTATATTAAATGCCACTGAATTGTATACATTAAAATTGTTAATGGTTAATTTGCATTACATAAAATCTGTTACCCTCAAAATTTGTTATCCCCACCCGCCCCCCAACAAAATTAAATCTTAGGAAACAGTTACCTATATATATCATGTTACATAACATCTATGCCTTTGAATCTTCTACTTCGGTGGTGCTGTCAATAAACGTTTTGATTTCCTAGCTATTAGACCAACGGCAGCATACTTAGTGTTCTACAGTATTTTTTTATGATTAATTCCAGTGAATGCAGCAAATGGCATGTTCTCTTTAAATTCAACTGGAAAAAAAATCCAAAACTATATTTTATACCACCAAGTTGACACTGAAAACTATGTTTGAGATTGTATTTCTTTTTGCTTGTAAAATATAAACAGTATAGCAAACCAGCGTCATAATAAACGGTATTCTAATGTTATAAGTTTGTACTACTATTTTGTTTGAAGTCTTAATTTACTTCGTTTTTAATACTTTGCAAATTCATGGGAAAGAGATGAAATGTGGAAATATCAGGTCTGCATCTACTGCCTGGGTTCCCATCCAGTCACTACCATGTACAAGATATGCAACTTTGGCTAAGTTATTTCACCTTTCTAGAACCTCAATATTTCTTTTATAAAATGGGAATGACAAAATATTTACTTCATGAGATTGTACTGATGATTAAATGAGTTAACATTTATAAAGCAATTAGTGCCTTACACAGATAATAACTGCTATACACGTTTATTAAGTAAAAATATAAATAAATTACTATGGTCCTTCCATAAACATTCTGTGGGAAAAACAAACAAAACCAAGAGCACAATATAGTCTATCCATCTATGAAGGTCTCCTTTCAATTTTTAGATGAATCCTTGGGCTTACAGGCAGTGGTCCTGGAAGAATCACTGTAATTTCAATAAAGCATTAGTAACAAACCTGTTGCTATGAAATCAAAAACATAAACAGGCAACTACAAGGTGAGAGAGATGTTAGTCAAAGAATAAAAGAGGCTAACCTCATAGAAGCAGAGTTCCATTTTATAGTTCAAGGAAAGACATAATTTTTTTTTTAATAGAGACAAGATCTCACTATGTTGCCCAGGCTGGTTGTAAACTCCCAGCCTCAAGTGATCCTCCCACCTCCACCTTCCACAGTGCTGGGATTACAAGTGTGAGCCACTGTGCCCAGCCAGGAAAGACATGTTAATGTGATGAATTTAAATGAGCAATATTACAGAATACTAAGTAACTGAATAGCAGAGTCACCATATCAACTTGGATTTTTTTTGCTCTAGGTTAGAACCATAAATAACAGTGCACGCATTTTAAGTAAAGCCATATGTTTCCAAAAGGCCCTGCTTCCACACAAGAATAAGCTTAAAATTTGTTTTCTTCTTGAGCAAGGAATTCTTTTCCGTATCTAAGATATATTAATACTTCACATACAGAAATATGTAAAACACAATTAAACCTTTTGATGCTTTAGTATGCTATTTGATAGGGTTGCACCAGATATACTTATATTGAAATATCATTTGCTGTTTACCTGAAATCCAAATTTAACTGGGCATTCTGCATTTCATCTGGCAACCCTATGTATTTGGCTTCAGGATCTTTATTTATAAATATTTTGTATGATAGAACTAAAGATTTATACAAGCTGATGTAACCATCATGTCTCTGAAAGAATGTGAACTCAACTGTTACTTTGTCTGACTCCACTAACCCTAACAAAAGCTTGGTTAGGGCAGCAATGCTAGCACAAAGCACAAAATCTGGCTCTCTGATCTGCAAACTGAATATATTATCTCCCTAATATTGGACTTATAATTCCAGACACAAGTTACAATCAATATTAAATATGGCATCTCTGATGTTATAATAGGAAGCATTATAACACAACAAGAGGTATCTTTGGAAGCACTAGCAATAAAGATCAGTAAAATTATTGAGGAAATAAACTGCAATGAAAGCAAGTTCTCTATAAGACATACTGTTGAGAGACAATTCTTCATGTGTCTCTTGCATTTCTGAAAGGCTTGTGAGCAGAAATCCTGACTGTCTTTGTTACAGACTATCTTTTCAAGGATGCTCGTATTAGGGAAAAGCCTGGGGAAACAGAGATATGTCTCCCTTTGGAGCAAAGAACAGGTCCACTTACAGCATTGGTGGATAAAGCTTGCTGTGCATTATAAAATATTTTGGATCCCTAAGCACAGAGTTTTTCTCCTGTATTGCAATCCACTAGTATGAACCTCGCCTTTTTTATGTTGAGCTGTGGAAATCTAGGCTCAAGGAAAGAGAACAAATGATAATCCTACCATTAATAAGGTCCTTTGTCTCAAGTTTTCTGCTGCTATACATGAATCAATCTATGGTAGGCTAACTTGTTAGCATGTAATTAGGAGGGCAAAATCTCAAGATTCTTTACAGTTCTTGACACATAAAATTCAGGATGATTTCAGATTTTTTTTTGCTTTTTGTGTAAACTGTCCCACTTGATCATTCCATTTTAGTTTGAAATGACAAAGACATTATTCACTTATCATAAATATATTTTATCTTTTTAATTAGTATGGGTCACCTGTAACTATTCACACACAATAGTCTCTATGATGTAGCATGAATGTGTACGGCATGTGACTACAGAAGCTCAACAAGTTTGGATGCCTTAATTTGCCAAAAATTTGAAAACCTGAACTTACTGGATCTTAATATTAAATAATATAGTTGAACCAGTATAAAATTAATTTATTAAATTGTTCTTTTCAAGTATAGATTTACATTTCCTCTTTTTAGTCCAACTCTTTGCTTCACAATTTGCTTTCACACCAATAAGGAGAGATTTCATATCAGAGGTTTATTTCTGTGACTTTGCTCAATTGTGCTGCTTCTGAATTCGTTATCAGACAGCCTATATACTTTATTGTAGCTAAGTCTGTCCCTGTACAAACACTGAATGACCTTTAGACTACTTCAGTTCCTGTAGGCTTAGCACTGTATTCTCAGAAGAACAAGATATTTTATTAGCAAGGTTCCTCTTGAATTGCATAAATGGGAGCCAGATAACACAGTATGCTACCATGTCCACAGTTTTTGTGATACACTGCAGGGAAGGGCAAAGCTTATTCCTGCTTGAGTAACATTAGGACATTTTCTTATTTTGTCTTTATTATCCTTCCATGATTCATTTAGCAATTAAAATAGGCCCTATCTTGGTATCTGGAATGGGGTGAGAAAAGGGAAGCGCTAGGTAAAATTCCAAAGTTTATCTTTGGTATTCTAATTTTCCACAAACCTGATTTTTGTCTTAGTCCCCTTTCTTTGTCCCTTCTTCTCAAAGTTGTGTTCACCAGCTGCTCTTTTAAGTTTACCTTCTTGTTCCTAGTCCACCCAGAATAGCTTCCTTCCCATTGAATATCAAGCTATAAAGTTGCCTCTAATCCTTGCGACCATTCTCTTCCCAGAACTTCCATTCAGGTGACACAAACAGAACAATTTAATGGAACTATAATATTTTTCTCTAGTAAAACATAGTTTTTAAAAAAATACCCTGTCTGCTTGCGGGAACTAAATAAAAACATAAAAATTAAAAAAAAAAAAAGAAAAAACAAAATAAAAAAAAAAGAGAAAAAAATACCCTGAAGATTACCTTTCCCATGTAAAACTATTTCTTGCTACTGGCCTTTACTTCTACTGGTCACTAAAAATAACCTTCAAACAGACTTTTATTTTGTGGAAGAGGTATCAACTCTCCTCTTAGCTTTATAATGTAGGCGTTGGCAAACTACAGCCTGAGAACCAAATCTGGCCCAACACCTGTTTTTGTAAATAAAACTTTATTGAAACACAGCCACATTCACTTATTCATATACCATCCATGGCTGCTTTCATGTTATAACAGAGTTGAGTAGTTTAGACAAAGATGTGTGGCTCCCAAAGTCCAAAATGTTTACCATTTGGTCCTTAACAGAAAAAGTTGATTCTTGTTTTACAGCATAGAAAATTGGGTCGCTGGTTGTGTATTCTGACATACTTTTCAAGAAAACTTTGCCTGAGTTATTGGTATGCATTCACCTCACCTCTTTATAGAGGTGGACTGCCTTTCAAGTCTTGTCAGAGTCCTAAATTTCCAAAAAAAGAATGTCAGTGAGATCCTTTAATGCTTATCAACATCACTTTAATTTACCCTGAAAACTGGCTACCTTTCTGATACTATTACCACAATTCATTGTTGTTCAAAATCTTGGTAGTGAGAAATGATGTTCCTGAAAATTGCGGAAAAAAATATATTCCATTCATTATGCTATTCATTCTAAATTGCTACATTAAGATGATGCCAGACCATTAGTAAGTTGAATACAGTGATTATGCTATTTTATCCATTGTAGAATCCTTTTTATTTAGCCCTTTAAAGAAGGTGATTGACCTTTAATAAAGAAATTCTAAGAAAAAGTCCTATAAAACAACAGTATTTGATACATGGATCCTGTTTACTACAATATAGCAAAAATAATGAAACAAAACAAAACACACAAGGAGAAAATTAACACCACCAAAAATTGCTTTTTCGAAAAGACAAATAAAATAACAAACTTCTGGTGAGACAATTCAAGAAAAAAAGAGTGAAGGCACAAACAACTAGAAACTAGAATAAAATCAGGAATGAAACTAGAAAACATTAAATATTGTAGATATTAAAAAGATAATTGAAGGATACTATGAACTACTTGATTATAAATTTAAAAACTCAAAATGGGCAAACTCCTCCAAAAATATAATTTACCAAAACTGATTGAAAAAAAAATGTAGTATCCCCCCAATACTGTGTCATCTTAATCTAATCACCGGGAAATATAATACAAACCCAAACTGAAGAATAGTTCACAAACTTACTGGCCAATACTCTTCAAAAAAATCAAGGTCACGCAAAGATAAGGAATTAGTCCAGATTAAATGAGTAAAGGAACATGAAAACTGAATTCAATGTGTTCCTGAATTTGATCTTGGAAAAAGCTGTTATGCAAAACATTAGTAAGATGATTGGCAAAACTTAAATATGGGCCATACATTAAATATCAATATTGTGTCAATATAAAATTTTCTAAAGAAGATCAGTGTATTGGTTAACCTAAGAGAATGTCCATATTCTTAGAATATATATGCTGAAGTATTTAATGATAAAAGAATACTATGTCTATAATTATCATATTGTTCAGGAAAAACAATGTATGTAAGTATATATGTATGCATATATATATATATATATGTGTATCTACCTACAAAAAACAGGCAATGATAAAGCAAATGTACCAAAATGCTAATTTGTGATTCTGATGAAAATTATATAGAAGTACTCTGCACTACCTTTTTTTTTTTTTTGAGATGGAGTTTGACTCTTGTTGCCCAGGCTGGAGTGCAGTGGTGTGATCTCAGCTCACTGCAACCTCCACCTCTACCACCTGCCTCAGCCTCCCAAGTAGCTGGGATTACAGGTACTCGCCACCACGCCTGGATAATTTTTGTATTTTTAGTAGAGATGGGGTTTCACTATGTTGGCCAGGCTGGTCTTGAACTCCTGACCTCAGGTGATCCACCTGCCTTGGCCTCCCAAAGTGCTGGGACAGTGTGAGCCACTGCTCCTGGCCAACTTTTTAAAGTCTTCTGTAAGTTTCTGATTATACTTTAGAAGCTTTACAGTTTTGCCTTTCACATTTAAATCTTCAATCCACTTGGAACTGAATTTTATTTAATACTTACCATATGGATACCCAATTGTCTCAAACATCATTTATTGAAAAATCTCCATCTTTTACACCGATCCACATATGTTATGTCCAAAAATGGCTATGTCCATGTCTGGCCTTTCTCTTAGTTTCCTTCTATTCTAAAATTAAGACCTCCAGTTCATTAAAAAACAATATAAAGTCAATGAAAATAATAAACCATGAAATGAGAGAGGATCTATTAGTAAAAACACATAACAAAGGACACAGAAAAGTATCAGAAATAAAGAAGAAAAAAGTTATCTTATTAGAAATGGGCAAAACATTAGAATAGGCACTTCATATGGAGCAAACCTACATAACCAATAATCACACAAAGCAGTGCTCAACTGCATGGGTAATCAGAGAAATGCAAATTAAAGCCACAATAATATACCATTTCGCATCCATCAGTTTGGCAAAGTTTAAAAAGCTTGCCAGTATCAAGAGTTGGAGAGTGTGTGGAGTAACAAACTGTGCTGGTGGGAGTAAAAATTGGTACAACTCTGAAAACTGTCACATTAGCTAGTAAAATTGAAGTTATGCATAACCTATGACTCAGCAATTTGCCTCACAGGTAAGTATTTCAGAGAAACTGGTATGCCAGGACATATACATAAGAATGTTCATAGCAGCTTGGTTTGTAATAGCCACAAGTTAGAAGTAATCCAAGAATCTATCAACAGTAGAATGGATAAATAAATGTGGGTATATTCAAATGGAGATATATTACAGCAATGATAATGAACAATCTACAGGTACTGTCAAAAAAGATGGATTAATATCCTAATGTCTTGAGTGAAAAAGCAAGATAGAGAAGAATACTACTGTACAATTTCATCTATATAGAATTCAATAACAGGTGGAAACAACCTCTATTTAGTGTGCATACATAGGTGATAAAACTAAAATGGAAGGAACTCATCATCACAAAAGACAGTATAGTGATTACTTCTAAGTATTAGGAAGGGTATGGTAATTGGAAAAGATACAGAGAGAACATCTGTAGCATTGAGAGTGTTCTACTTCTTGATCTGGATAATAACTGAAAGGGTGTATGCTTTAATTATTTGATAAAATGTGCCTGTTTTATGCATTTTCTGACTTTATGTGTTATGTTTTATAATTAAAAAATTTTTTTAAAAAAGGAAAAAAATTAATGATGTTTGGAGGAACTCCTAGTACGTAAAGTAAAATCAGGGTGCATGCAGAGTATATAAGGAAACAAGATGGAAAGATAGTTATTTAACACGTAAAACCTCTTGAGATGCTATACAATAAAATTACATAGAAATACCTGCATAATGTCCATACTAGGTCTACAGTAAACATATATGTGTAATGTGTGGACTGCCCCCTCCATCCTGCTAAGTTAATAATACACATTCCTATATTAGGTCAGTGGTAGAAGAAGGGAAGGAAAAGGAGAAGAGGGAGATATAAGTTTGAGACAGCTCTCTAGTTCCTGATTCCTGTCCCTAATGAGGCTTGGCTATTAATTCCTATTCTTAGGTTCCTATTCTATTCTGTATCATATATTTTCCTATTTTACTTACTTTTAGGTGGTTTTTCTTAGCAGCAGGGATTGTGATTGAAATAGGTCATATGCTTAACTGTATTGTTCTATTCTATTATTAATTTTGGAAGTCAAACAATAACAATATGACAAATGTCTCTTTTCTGATTTATCAATATATAGGTAAAAATCAGGTTTGTTTTCATAAAAATTTTCTAAAGGTAAATAATACTCATTAAAATGCTCTAAAATCACTTCTCTTTAACTTACCCTCAAAGTATGGTGCTCTTGTGCTAATAATATTCTTAGTTCTTCGTGTAGCGTTATAACTTCCAGAAACTGTCCCCATAAAGCCATCAAAAGTGAGCAAAGTTGCGCAAGATTCATATTTATAAGTTCTGCCAGTTCATCAGGATTCTCTATTTTCTGAAATGAAAAGAAAAAAAATTTCACTATTTCCCAAGATTTAATGTAACATACTTAAATATAATGTTATTGAGAATATTAATACAAAGGCAAATTTGTGGTTTAAAAAAAGAGATGTGCATTTGTATGTGCATGCACATGTGTAGAGACAAAGACCAATTAACAATGGTTTTTTACTTACCTGATAGTTACTGAAAGAATTTTCAACAACTTAACCAATATTTCAATATCTAAGATGTCTTGTTAACTGAAATAATGTCAATTGCAAACTAAAATTACAAATTAGGATGCTATAGAGAATGATCAGCTTCTAACACCAAAATACTGGGAATTTTAAACACAGTGCTCAAATAATGAGAGTTATAATTGTTTTGAAAGATAATAAATTCTTCAGATTTTTTCCCCAATTAGCTAAGAAAAAATACTTAAAATATCTATGACTCCTTAGAAAAAATTGTGATACTTTCTGAAATAGTCCTTTTCTCTCACTCCTATGTTCTTAGATTCTACTTCACTTGTGAGTAATCCTTTTACAGAATTGTCACTTTATTTTTTTCATTTCTAACAATTCACTCACTTGCTATTTATTGAACACATTTTAAATGCTAATGGCCTAGATTCTAGAGATACAAAAATTAATATGAGAAGTTCACAGTCTAGTGAGGGGAGAAAAGCAGGTAAACAAACTATTATAAAATACTGTTATTAGGACATGATCCAAAGATGGCCGAATAGGAACAGCTCTGGTCTGCAGCTCCCAGTGACACCATCGCAGAAGGTGGGTGATTTCTGCATTTCCAACTGAGGTACCCAGTTCATCACATTGGCACTGGTTAGGCAGTGAGTCCAACCCACGGAGGGTGAGTAGAAGCAGGGTGGGGCGTTACGAGAAGCCAGGGGACCTCCCTCCCCAAGCCAAGCAAAGCCATGAGGGCTGTGCTACCCGGTCAGATCACTATGCTTTCCCCACAGTTTTTGCAATCTGCAGATCAGGAGGTTCCCTCATGTGCCTGTACCACCAGGACCTTGGGTTACAAGCACAAAACTGGGCAGCTGTTTGGGCAGACACTGAGCTAGCTGCAGGAGTTTTTTTCATAACCCAGTGGTGCCTGGAACCCCAGCGAGACAGAACCGTTCACTCCCCTGCAAAGGAGGCTGAAGCCAGGGAGCCAGGTGGTCTCTCTCAGCGGGTCCCTCTCCCACGGAGCCCAGCAAGCTAGGAATCACTGGCTTGAAATTCTCGCTGCCAGCACAGCAGTCTGAAGCCGACTGGGGAAGATCAAGCTTGGTAGGGGAGGGGTGTCTGCCATTACTGAGGCTTTAGTAGGTGGTTTTCCACTGACAGTGCTAAGGAGGCTGGAAGGTTTAGACTGGGCAGAACTCACCACAGCGCACCAAAGCAGCTGTGGCCAGACTGCTTCTCTAGATTCCTCCTCACTGGGAAGGGCATCACTGAAGGAAGGGTAACAGCCCCAGTCAGGGGCTTACAGATAAACTCCCATCTCCCTGGGACAGAGCCCCTCGGGGAAGGGGCAGCTGTGGGTGCAGCTTCAGCAGATTTAATCATTCCTGCCTGCTGGCTCTAAAGAGAGCAGCTGATCCTGACAAAAGGGATTCTCTGAGCACAGTGCACCAGCTCTGCTAAGGGACAGACTGCCTCCTCAAGTGGGTCCCTGACCCCCGTGCCTTCTGACTGGGACAGAACTCCCAACAGGGGTCGACAGACAACTCATACAAGAGAGCTCCAGGTGGTATCAGGATGGTGCCCCTCTGGGATGAAGCTACCAGAGGAAGGAGCAGGCAGCCATCTTTGCTGTTGTGCAGCCTCCACTGGTGATACCCAGGCAAACAGGGCCTGGAGTGGACCTCCAATAAACTGCAACAGACCTGCAGCAGAGGGGCCTTACTGTTAGAAGAAAAACTAACAAACAGAAAACAAAAACATCGACATCAACAAAAAGGACCCCCACACAAAAACGCCATCCAAAGGCCATCAGCCTCAAAGATTAAAGGTAGATAAATCCATGAAGATGAGGAAAAACCAGTGCAAAAGTGCTGAAAATTCCAAAAACCAAAATGCCTCTTCTCCAAATGATTGCAACTCCTCTCCAGCAAGGACACAAAACTGGACGGAGAGTGAGACTGACGAATTGACAGAAGGAGGCTTCAGAAGGTGGGTAATAACAAACTCCTCTGAGCTAAAGGAGCATGTCCTAACCCAATGCAAGGAAGCTAAGAACCTTGATAAAAGGTTACAGGAACTGCTAACAAGAATAACCAGTTTAGAGAGGAACATAAATGACCCAATGGAGTTGAAAAAACAACACGAGAACTTCATGAAGCATACACAAATATCAATAGCCAAATCGATGAAGCTGAAGAAAGGATATCAGAGACTGAAGATCAACTTACTGAAATAAGGCATGAAGACAAGATTAGACAAAAAAGAATTGAAAAAGGAATGAACAAAGCCTCCAAAAAATGTGGGACTATGTGAAAAGACCAAACCTACGATTGATTGGTGTACCCAAAAGTGACAGGGAGAATGGAACCAAAATGGAAAACACACTTCAGGATTTTATCCAGGAGAACTTCCCCTAACCTAGCATGACAGGCCAACATTCAAACTCAGGAAATACAGAGAACAGCACTAAAATACTCCTTGGGAAGAGCAACCCCAAGAACACATAATCTTCAGATTCTCCAAGGTTGAAATGAAGGAAAAAATGGTAAGGGAAGCCAGAGAGAAAGGTCAGGTTACCTACAAAGGGAAGCCCAGCAGAATAATAGCACAGCTCTCTGCAGAAATCCTACAAGCCAGAAGAGAGTGGGGGCCAATATTCAACATTCTCAAAAGAAAAGCATTTTCAACCCAGAATTTCATATCCAACCAAAAAGCTTCATAAGTGAAGGAGAAATAAAATCCTTTACAGACAAGGAAATGCTGAGGGATTTTGTCACCAGGACTGCCTCACAAGAGCTCCTGAAGGAAGCAATAAATATGTAAAGGAAAACCGGTACCAGCCACTGTAAAAACACACCAAAATATAAAGACCAATGACACTATGAAGAAACAGCATTGACTAATGGGCAAAATAACCAGCTAGTATCATGATGACAAGATCAAATTAATAGATAACAATATTAACCTTAAATGTAAATAGACTAAATGCCCCAATTAAAAACACAGACTGGCAAATTGGATAAAGAGTCAAGACCCATTGGTGTGCTGTATTCAAGAGACCCATCTCATGTGCAAAGACACATATAGGCTCAAAATAAAGGGATGGAGGAATATTTACCAAGCAAGTGGAAAACAAACAAACAAACAAACAGCAGGGGATGAAATCCTAGTCTGATAAAACAGACTGTAAACCAACAAACATAAAAAAAGACAAAGAGGGTCATTACATAATGGTAAAGGGATCAATTCAACAAGAAGAGCTAACTATCCTAAATATATATGCACCAATACAGGAGAACCCAGATTCATAAAGCAAGTTATTAGAGACCTACAAAGAGACTTAGACTCCCACACAATAATAGTAGGAGTCTTTAAAACCCCACTGTCAATATTAGACAGATCAATGAGACAGGCAATTAACAAGGATATTCAGGACTTGAATTCAGCTCTGGATCAAGTGGACCTAATAGACATCTACAGAACTCTTCACCCCAAATCAACAGAATATACATTCTTCTCAGTGCCACATAGCACTTATTCTAAAATCGATTACATAATTGGAAGTAAAAAATCCTCAGCAAATGCAAAAGAATGGAAATCATAATAAACAGTCTCTCAGACCACAGTGCAATCAAATTAGAACTCAGGATTAAGAAACTCACTCAAAGCTGCAGAACTACGTGGAAACTGAACAACCTGCTCCTGAATAACTACTGGGTAAACAACGAAATTAAGGCAGAAATAAAGAAGTTCTTTGAAACCAATGAGAACAAAGAGACAATGTACCAGAATCTCTGGGACACAGCTAAAGCAGTGTTAACAGGGAAATTTACAGCATTAAATGCCCACATCAGAAAGCTGAAAAGATCTAAAATGGACACTGTAACATCACAATTAAAAGAATTATAGAAGCAAGAACAAACAAATTCAAAAGCTAGCAGAAGACAAGAAATAACTAAAATCAGACCAGAACTGAAGGAGATAGAGACACGAAAAACCTTTAAGAAAATCAATGAATCCAGGAGCTGGTTTTTTTGAAAAGATTAACAAAATAGGTAGACCACTAGCGAGACTAATAAAGAAGAAAAGAGAGAAGAATCAAATAGACACAATAAAAAATGATAAAAGGGATATCACCACTGACCCTACAGAAATACAAACTACCATCAGAGAATACTATCAACACCTCTACACAAACAAACTAGAAAATCTGGAAGAAATGGATAAATTCCTGGACACATACAGCCTCCCAAGAGAAAACCAGGAAGATATCGAATCCCTGAATAGGCCAATAACAAGGTCTGAAATTGAGGCAGTAATTTACAGCCTACCAACCAAAAAAAGCCCAGGACCAGACAGATTCACAGCCGAATTCTACTAGAGGTACAAAGAGGGGCTAGTACCATTCCTTCTGAAACTATTCCAAACAATGGAAAAGTAGGGACTCCTGCCTAACTCATTTTATGAGGCCAGCATCATCCTGATACCAAAACCTGGCAGAGACATAACAAAAAAAGAAAATTTCAAGTCAATATCTCTGATGAACATCAATGAGAAAATCCTCAATAAAATACTGGCAAACCTAATCCAGCAGCACATCAAAAAGATTATCCACCATGATCAAGTAGGCTTCATCCCTGAGATGCAAGGCTGGTTCAACATATGCAAATCAATAAATGTAATCCATAAGCCACATGATTATCTCAATAGATGCAGAAAAGGCCTTTGACAAAATTTAACATCCCTTCATGTTAAGAACTCTCAATAAAGTAGGTATTGATGGAACGTATCTCAAAATAATAAGAGCTATTTATGACAAACCCACAGCCAATATCATACTGAATGGGCAAAAGCTGGAAGCATTCCCTTTGAAAACTGGCACAAGACAAGGATGCCCTCTCTCACCCCTCCTATTCAACATAGTATTGGAAGTACTGGCCAGGGCAATCTGGCAAGAGAAAGAAATAAAACGTATTCAAATAGGAAGAGAGGAAGTCAAACTGTCCCTGTTTGCAGATGACATGATTGTCTATTTAGAAAACCCCATCGTCTCAGCCCAAAATCTCCTTAAGCTGATAAGCAACTTCAGCAAAGTCTCAGGATACAAACTCAATGTGGAAATATCACAAGCATTCCTATACACCAATAATAGACAGAGAGCCAAATCATGAGTGAATTCCCATTCACAATTGCTACGAAGAAAATAAAAAACCTAGGAATCCAAATTGCAAGGGATGTGAAGGACCTCTTCAAGGAGAAATACAAACCACTGCTCAAGGAAATAAGAGAGGACACAAACAAATGGAAAAACATTCCATGCTCATGGATAGGAAGAATCAATATTCTATCTATACTGACCAAAGTAATTTATAGATTCAATGCTATCCCCATCAAGATACTATTGACTTTCTTCACAGAATTAGAAAAAACTACTTTAAATTTCATATGGAACCAAAAAAGAGACCGTATAGCCAAGACAATCCTAAGCAAAAAGAACAAAGCTGGAGGCATAACGCTACCAGACTTCAAACTACACTGCAAGGCTACAGTAACCAAAACAGCATAGTACTGGTACCAAAACAGATACATAGACCAATGGAACAGAACAGAGGCCTCAGAAATATCACCACACATCTACAACCATCTGATCTTTGACAAATCTGACCAAAAAAAAAAAAATGGGGAAAGGATTCCCTATTTAATAAATGGTGCTGGGAAAACTGGCTAGCCATATGCAGAAAACTGAAACTGGACCCCTTCCTTACACCTTATACAAAATTAACTCAGGATGGATTAAAGACTTAGATGTAAGAACTAAAACCATACAAACTCTACAAGAAAACCTAGGCAATGCCATTCAGGACACGGGCATGATGGGCAAAGACTTCATGACTAAAACACCAAAAGCAATGGGAACAAAAGCCAAAATTGACAAATGGGATCTAATTAAACTAAAGAGCTTCTGCACAGCAGAACAAACTCATCAGAGTGAACAGGCAACCTACAGAATGGGAGAAAATTTTTGCAATCTATCCATCTGACAAAGGGCTAAT
Source organism: Homo sapiens (assembly GCF_000001405.40). Classification (NCBI taxonomy): domain Eukaryota; kingdom Metazoa; phylum Chordata; class Mammalia; order Primates; family Hominidae; genus Homo; species Homo sapiens. Next base: position 70,496,398 of record NC_000006.12, on the reverse strand, counting down.
ATCTAGAATCTACAAGGAACTTAAACAAATTTACCAGAAAAAAACAACCCCATTGAAAAGTGGACGAAGGATATGAACAGACACATCTCAAAAGAAGACATTTATGTGGCCAACAAACATATGAAAAAAAGCTTATCATCACTGGTCACTAGAGAAATGTAAATCAAAACCACAATGAGATAGACTGTGGCAATTCCTTAAGGATCTAGAACCAGAAATACCACTTGACCCAGCAATTCCATTACTGGGTTTATACCCAAAGGATTATAAATCATGCTACTATAAAGATACATGCACACGTATGTTTATTGCAGCACTATTCACAACAGTAAAGACTTGGAACCAACCCAAATGCCCATCAACAATAGACTAGGTAAAGAAAATGTGGCACATATACACCATGGAATACTATGCAGCCATAAAAAAGGACAAGTTCATGTCCTTTGCAGGGACATGGATGAAGCTGGAAACCATCATTCTCAGCAAACTAACACAGGAACAGAAAACCAAACACCGCATGTTCTCACTCATAAGTGGGAGTTGAACAATGAGAACACATGGACACAGGACGGGGAACATCACACACCAGGGCCTGTCAGGGGGTGAGGGGCTAGGGGAAGGATAGCATTATGAAAAATACCTAATGTAGACGACAGGTTGATGGGTGCAGCAAACCACCATGGCACGTGTACACCTATGTAACAAACCTGCAAGTTCTGAACATGTATCCCATAACTTGAAGTATAATAAAAATAAAAAATAAAATAAAATATATTTCTGTGTATGTGTATGTGTGTGTGTATCCCCAAAGGCTGCTTATCACATATGATACTGTTACTCTCAGTTTATTTTTATTTCTTTTTAAATACTGCAATTCAGCAGGCTTTTCTTCCCCAACTCACACTTTCATTTACCTTGCCTAACTCAGAGAAGACGCTAAACAAAAATTAAACAAAATTAGTAAGAAGGGGAGGAATTATGATCATGTCCTATTCGCTTTTGTGACTCTAATTACTGGTACATAGTAGTAATTCAATAAATAGTTACTAAGTGAATAAATGAGTGAATGAGAAGTACAGTCTTCAGATAAGAAAAAAACCTTCCAGAATTCACAACAAACATTTACATGTTTACAGAATTTATGGAAAGTGTTTACATTTTTATGAAAAAGAGCTCCCATAATTTATGGAAAAGGTTTATAAATACCAGAAGCTGGAATGGAAGCTAACAGTCAAGACATAATGAATAAATATTCATCGACATATGATGAATTTCCTGCTGTGTTTTTTTCCCAAGAGATGGTTTTATAAATGTAGCAGAAATGAAGCTAACAAGTTTTTCATGTCTCTTTTAAGAATATGGACTTTAAAATATAAGCTGACATAAGCTGAAACTTGCATTATTATTGTCCCCAAGGAGGGTTTTAATGGAGTTTAGAAAAAGAAGAGTTGGGTAAGTATTTGAGAGTAATTAAATAGCACTGTATAAGATATGAACACTTTACTTAGCATAGTCTATACAAAAGTAGAAACAATTCTCTGGCCTTTAACCCAGGCTAATAAATAAATAAATAAAGTACACAACTCTCTTTTTATTCTTCCTGAAAGCAAGGTTATCTAGATTCCTAGTACTTATTAATTTTATTCCCTAGGGATCATGATACCGCAGTTCTGAAAGAGAAAACTTCAGTACTCTCATTGTTGGAAAAGCATCCTTGAAGCACAGATAAACTATTTCTCTGGTTTTCATAAATCTCATGTAATAAATACCAAAATAAATAATAATATAATTCTTTTTTATATTAAAAAAGGAAATTAGAATTAAGTTTGGCAAGATCTCTTATATATATAAATGTAGGAATAAGACTTTACATTTGTGTATTTTTCTTTTCTTTTTTTAAACTTGAGACAAGGTTTCATTACTTGGCCCAGGCTGGAGTGCAGTGGCCATTCAAAGGTATGAATACAGTCTCATTTCCTGGACTCAGGCAGTACTCCCACCTCAGTCTCCTGAGTAGCTGGGACTACAATTGTGTGCCACTGTGTCTGGCTATATTTGTGTTTTTTTCAAATCACATTATCTTATATATATATTTTCCCATAACATTCACTGATCTTGTTTGATTGCAAAATGCTGCTTTACTTAGAAAATATGGGAAAACAAAAAAAGATGAAAAAAGTTCATTTTAGTGTACCGGCTTCAAGTTTTTTTCAATTATATACATAAAGCAAAAACTAAAACAATATATAGTTTCATACAATTTTCACTGAATATAATACAGTATGAACATTTTCCTACTTCATCAAACACTTGTTTAAAACATCTTTTTTTTTTTTTTTTTTTTTGAGACAGAGTCTCACTCTGTCGCCCAGGCTGGAGTGCAATGGCGTGACCTTGGCTCACTGTAACCACTGCCTCCCGGGTTCAAGCAAATCTCCCTGACTCAGCCTCCCAAGTAGCTGGGATTGCAGGTGCCCGCCACCATGCCCGGCTAATTTTTGTATTTTTAGTAGAGATGTGGTTTCGCCATGTTGGCCAGACTGGTCTCCAACTCCTGACCTCAGGTGATCCGCCCGCTTCGGCTTCCCAAAGTGCTGGGATTACAGGCGTGAGCCACCGCACCCGGCCAAAAACATCATTTTTAAGGCTGTATAACTTAGATTACAAGTATCCCATAATTTGTTTAACTATTCTACCATTGGGCATTTATTAAACATTTTTACAATATTATGAATCTTCACATGAACTCTGTTTAGCTTTTGGTATACACTAAGAGGAGATATTTTTTCTGGCTGTGGATACGTACTGCCAAACTAATCCCTGAAAAAGACATACAAGGTATGAGAATTTGTATCTCACCATGTCTCAAGACGCATTATAATATGTTATAGGTTGTTGATGTTAAAGTTTATGACAACCATTTACATACTGAAATTTAAATATGTATATCTAAAAAATTTATTAGCAATACATGGATACATATGTTATTTTTAAACATTTAATATAGACGCATGTAAAGAAAATTCCCCTTTACAAACCTTATTCGTCACGCCACTTTTTTTCTGTATTACTGTTAAAAGCTTGGAATATATATATCCTTTCAAATATTTCATATGTAATCACATAAACACAATAAAATACACAAACAGCTTTTTAGTTTTAACATACTATATGAAATCATATTATTCATATTTTTCTTTATTTTTTTCAATTAATATATCTTGAAGAGTTTTCAGCACGCAAACAGTATCAAGCTTCATGGATTAATAAATATTTTCTGAATTAAATAATTCATGACAATTTCATAGAGATCCACCTAATGCTTTTAAATGGCTACATGGGAATTGATAATAATTAATGATGTAATTCCTTATATTTGTGTACATTTATGAGTATTTTTGTAGAACAGATTATCAAATAAAAACTGCTGTGCAGATTTGATAATTGTGCAATATATAAGTGTTTTAAAAATACATCAATGCACTAATGTTAAAAAATACTGTGCCAATTTATACCATCACCAACAGGGTATGCAGATACTAGTTTCACTACACTCTTACAAAAAATGAAGCTCAGTAGTCACTTTTATTCTTGCAAATTTCATAGGCAAAAAAAATAACCTATTAGAATCTGCATTCCCCTGGTTTCCAGTAAGAATGAGTATCATTTCAGGAGCTAAATTATTCTGCTAAGAATTTGTTATTTGTACACTGCCTCATTGTATCCTTTTTTTTTTTTTTTTACAAGGGTGTTGTTTTAAAATTGATACATGAGAGCATGTTATATATTGTGAGCACTGACCATTAGCCTGTTTTAAATATTGCAAATATTCTCTTCCAGTCTATCCTTTGCTTTCAAATTTATAGTATATTTTGTTACAAAGAAATTTCAAATCATCAATGTCTTATTTTGTCCCTTAGGTTTTTATTGGTCTTTAAAAAACTTATCTTTTTAAAAATTGTCTGAGGGAGTCATTTCATATCCCAAGATCAGATTGTTTATATTTACATATATATGTAATTTTTTTCTTCCTAATTTCTTTGGACACTTAAGTCTTCAGTCCACTTAGAACTGCTGCTATAGCATGGCATGACGTTAACTTTACCACAATATTTATAGACCCTGATGTTAATATTTTATCATATACTTAGTTATTAAACATAATAGTGACTATTTTAGGGCTGTTTAATTCCTCTGACTTGTCTTTTTATTCTTTTAGAGAAATCCTACCTTATTTCCTTTCATTTTTATTATTTTACATATATTTTAGTATCCAGTCGAGCAAGTCTTTCTACATTTGTATTATTTAAAAATTACATTATTTTAAAAAAAGTTTTTCTTAGCCATCTTTACATTTCTTGAAATGATTTTAAAAACAAGCTTAAATTTCCAGTGGGATTTTGGTTTGGACTCATTAAAATGATTGACTGGAGTAAAATTTGATATCTTTTAGTGATTATCTACAGGAGTATCATATGTATATTTATTCAAATTTTCTTTAATAGCTCAGTGAAACACTGCAGATGATTTCATATTAACTGCACACATCTTAAGATTATTTTTAAATGTTTAATGTTCTTTTGAGCAATTATCATAAGCACATTAGTGACTTTTTTAAAGAAAATATCTTACTTGAACTGCAGAGAAAACCTCTAGGACAGTATACAAAACTGATGTATCCTGCGTATGTATAATTTTCTAAGGAGAATACCTTTTTGAACAGGTCTAGTCTTCATTCAAATTTATATCCAAAAGTATATCCAAACCAAATACATATTTTTGTTTGATTCACACCTCTGATTTCTTCCATTAATGTAGCTGACCAAGAGTGAATGCATAGTGAAACATACATTTAAATAGTTAAAGCATTTAGTTTCTCAGAAAAAGAAAGGCAAATATATTCAATTTAATTGCAAGAGTGAACTGAAAAAATGATCTGAGAAGCAAATTGATCTACTGAAATAAAACAAATTTTTCATTTTTAAACAGTATCATTTTACAAGTTTAAGTGATGTTTTAAAAATGTGTCCAGAAATTGAGTGAGTGAACAGAAGAAAATGTACTGTTTGATCAGTTAATTATCTTTGCTATTTCATTTATATGAAGAATAATATACTTTTTAAAAGGTAAGTTAACTTCATGCTGAAGCCAAATGAATTTTGACCACCTAAGTTGTGGTTCTACCATGATCAACCATTTTATCTTTGCATTTTAGGAACTATAAATACTTTAAGTTTTCATAGACAAAATATTTAGAATAGGAAACAGAAACCACTCAAATAACTTGATGATGTGAATTTAAAAAATCCAAGTACCTTAACTTCTTCACATAGTTCAGTAAGTCGAGCTTCTACATCCATTTCCTCTGGAAGGAGTAAAGAGTAGAGGAAATATTCCAATGTTAGATATTTAATTTATATAAATAAAATTCCCATAAAAAACTGAAAATTAAGAATGATCTGGACTGTATTCAATGAATTAAATTTCAAGGTAACATATTTTCATAAACATATTAATTACATAGGTAATGTGATTATTAAATTCTACATTCTGATAAATATCATTTTTTATTTTTCACAAGAGTTAACACTGTCAAGGAAATATTAACTATATACATAAAGTAACTTGCACAACTGTGTCACAGAAAAGACCAACTATATAATTAGATTTTACTGTATTTCATATTTTATAATTTCCAGTACAGTTTAGTATTTTGTGTTATATATACATATGCCTTGCTTTCTTGTGTTTTACAAAAGCTATTCCTAAAATGCTCAAGTAAAATTAATTTTATCACTGAAACATTTAAAACATACCTGGTGTGTAGGCTATTTAATAAAAATGAATGTCAAGATCCTTTAATAGTTAGTTCCTAATGTATTTATTTTTCTATAAAATATTCTTAAACTGAGGCAGATATTTGCATAGAATTCTGATTTACTTAATGTATGCTATAATAATCTATAAAGAGGTGCACAAATTTACAATTAAAATGATAATATTTACCAGGAAAAACAGAAACTAACAAAATATAAAGATTTATAAATTATTTATTTTTGGCAGGGAGGAATTACACTAATGTCTGAAATATCTTTACATACACTTAATTTTTAAGTAGAAATCAAACAGGTCTTTTAAAAGAACTGTAACAGCATAGTTATAATCATACAAAATTCCCATAATCTTGTTGTGAAAGAGTTTAATTGATCTTTCTCACACAAAGGCAAGAACACATTCTATAACATCCCTGAATTCACTCATCAGCTGACTAATTTGTAAAACAGACTGAATGTTTACTACATGATAAAAATGATAAACATTTAAATTTGTTTAAAAAAGCAATCACAATTATGTGGTAAAAACACAACCACAGTATAATTGTTAGAGTGGGGAGACGGCCAGATACGAGCAGGCAAGGGAGCCTCTGGGCAAAGAAGTCCTGGAGATGTCGCCCACTGACAGCAAAAAGGACAACGGCTATATTGGTTATACCTGGCCTTGTGGTTGGGCTCCTGCGACCCTGAAGCATGTGCACTCCTCCAATAACTCACCCTAGAGTGGTCTTTTGCTCATTATAATAGTAAAAAACACATCCCTAGGTGGAGATTTTAAATGCTAACGAGACAAGCAACGTGTGTACTAGCATGTACAACTACAGAGCATGTATGCCCAAGGGGATCATCTAAAACATGATTGCAAGTGACACCTCCTCATGCCCTTTCATGAATAATCATGTATTCTTCATAGAGTTCCCCAGCACTGGCTGCTGCTAGCTCACTCTCTCCAGAAGCTTGCTCTGCTTTATCTTTCAGAGTATACTACTGTCTCTTTAAATAAATTCTGCTGCTTAACCCTTGCTGCGTGTCTCTTGGCTGAATTCTTCCTTCAACAAGAATCAAGGACGCTGTACCCCACCCGGTAACATAAACAACAAATACTCTGTTGTTAACTAAAAATCAATGGAACACATGTATTTCATAACTCACAAAATATACAAGTAAATTGTATTTAGATATTGATATATACCAAAAAATAGATCACTAATTTGGCCAACTTGTTGGTAACTAAAGAAATTTGCAATGATTTCACAAATCATTTCACTGTTAGATAAACCAGTGGCTTCTAATATTGGGCTTTCCAAAACTAAAAAACCAGCAACAGACTCTGCATTAAAACCACCATCTGTTTTCACATTACTCATGATCTTTTCCTGTGACAGAAAAAAAAT